>NC_000008.11:38951011-39254041 GCF_000001405.40 Homo sapiens
GCGGGGGGAGTGGGGGTGTGGAAGTGTCCATGGTGTGCCCATGATGTGCTCGGAGCACTGTACTGGGGAAAAGGAGGGTGGGAGTGGGGGGCAGCTGGTGCCAGTGGAGCCATCAGGAAAGTACAGGTCATGTTACATCCCCATTCATGGGTGTTAGTGACGGCAGTGCGGAAGTGGAGGCTGCTGCATCTTGAAGCCATGTGGCCTGTGCAGTTCTGTGCCGAACACGGGAGACACAGAAGATGAGGGTTTGTGAAACCATAGGAAATGGGACAGAGCATGGCAAACAAGGCTGGAAACCAGCCTGGTGTCCCTGCTGGTTCACATTCCCTATCCTTCCCTTTCTCCTGGGTCGGCCCAACCTCCCTGATGCTGGTTCTGTGAAAGTACCCAGTAGAGTGCATGACAGAGAAAGGAAAGGTTTATTTTCCTGTTTTAATTATTTATATTTATTTAAGTTTTTTTTTTTTTTTTTTTTTTTTGAGATGGGGTGTCCCTCTGTCACCCAGCCTGAAGTGCATATACACATAATCACGGCTTATTGCAGCGTCTGCCTCCTAGGCTCATGCAATCCTCCTGCCTCAGCCTTCCTAGGCTCAAGTGATCCTCCCACCTCATCTGGGACCACAGGCATGTGCCACCACGCCTGGCTAAATTTTTTTGTATTTTTTGTTGGAGATGGGGTTTTGCCATGTTGTTATTTAATTTTTTTAGAGACAAGGTCTCGCTGTGTTGCCCAGACTGAAGTGCAGTGGTGCAATCATGGCTCACTTCAGTGTCAGACTCCTGGGCTGAAGCCATCCTCCAACCTCTGCTTCCTGAGTAGCTGGGACTACACGCCTGGGTAATTCTTTTTTTTAATTTTTAAATTTTAAAATCAAAATTAAACAAAAATTTTAAAACAATTTTTAATTTTTTTGTAGAGACTGGGTCTCACTGTGTTGTCCAGTCTGGTCTAGAACTCCTGGGCTCAAGCGATCCTCCTGCCTTGGCCTCCCAAAGTGTTGGGATTACAGGCGTGAGCCACTGTGCCCACCATTTATTTCTTCTTTGACTTAGGGCAAAGAGGCCAGAGATTCAGGCAGAGGGAGGTAGGTGGGGCTGTGGCTGCATAGAGGGAGGGAGGCGCTGATACTGACACTGTTTCCTTGCAGAACGGTGGGGATGGGCAGGAAGGGAGTGAGCCCGGGTCCCACACCATCCTTCGAAGGTCTCAGAGTTACATCCCCACGTCAGGCTGCCGTGCTTCCACTGGGCCTCCCCTCATTAAGAGTGGTTACTGCGTGAAGCAAGGGAATGTGGTGAGTGTCAGCACAGGGGCTGAATTGGGGTTCTGGTGACTCCTCAGAGCCAGTGGCTGTAGACATAGCAGAGGTGAGAGGGGATTGACAGGAGGTGCCTCAGTCCTCCATGGAGCCTCCACCTTTGAGGGTGAGATTTTGGGACTGACCTTTGGCTCCCACCTGTCAGAGGTGTTGCCCCTGATATGAAGAAGCCCTTGCCCCTGCTGAATGTGGGAGCCGGACTTCCATGGGGCTGGGTCCTTGGGAGCTTAGCATGAGTACACCCTCCACAATGCTGGGCACCTCTCGCTAATGGTCTGCCTTTTATTTTTTTATTACAGCGGAAGAGCTGGAAACGTCGCTTCTTTGCACTTGATGACTTTACCATCTGCTACTTCAAGTGTGAGCAGGTTTGTAGTAGCTTTGCTGCCCTTCTGAGAGGTCATGGAAACTAAGAGGTGCATAGGTGCACACCCACAGGAGAGCGTGCATGAGTGGAGATGTGGGCACACAAAGACTTCAAAGGCGCCTCTGTCTTATCTCCATTCTGTGCACACATCTTTACAGTGACACTAAAGTGTCCTCTCTGCAGTGAGCTGCTGTGTGGTCAGAGTCATAGCTACACAACATCTTCTTCTTATATTTTTTTGTCTTTTTTCTTGTTTTTGGAGACAGGGTCTTTCTCTGTCACCTGTCACCCAGGCTGGAGCACAGTGGTGGATTTTTTGTAGAGACAGGATTTCACTATGTTGCCCAGGCTGGTCTTGAACTCCTGGCCTCAAGCAATCCTCCAGCCTTGGCCTTCCAAAGTCCTGGTATTACAGGCATGAGCCACTCTGCCCAGCCAGATTTTTTTTTCTCTTGCTGATTATTTTGAGACCAGATTATTTGTCAACCTGATTTTAGCCAACCATCTCTGAGAAAGGGGTATTGGTCAGCTGGTCTGGGTCGTGATATGACACAGACAGCCTCACTTACCTGTCTTTCTGTTCTTTCCACCAGGACCGAGAACCACTGCGCACCATATTTCTTAAGGATGTTCTGAAGACCCATGAATGTCTGGTCAAGTCTGGGTAATTGTGTCTGCTTTTTCTCTTCTAATCCAAACCTCCATTTGTCCTCTTAAATCTCCCTTTACTACCCTTCAGAGACTCTATGCAAGAGTCATCTTCTTCCAAGAGCCAGGCACAGGAGCCTAACACCTTGTGGCTGACTCACTGCATCCAAGCTAACACAGGGAGGAGACCGCCCTGGGCACACTTGCCCTCTTCCCATACCTTACTCTGGCTCCTAAGCAGATAGGCCTACGTAATAGTTTCTGGTGGGCAAAAAGAAAGGGTATAGAAACAAAGAGTGGGGCTCCGAAGCTTCTCAGGTGTTAGGATTAGATGCTCAATCCCTAGCAGAACACAGGCTCAGAGGAGAGACCACGCCTCTAGGTCACTCACCTCAGTGCTTCTGGTCAGATCACTGTACTAGTGCCTCTTCCCTGACCTTCTTATTCCTTTTCTCCTCCTTTTGACCCTGATGTCCCATTAACACAAGGTGATTCATAGCATCTCTGTGTTACTCCCACTGGGAAGGAAGAACAGGTATTTTAAAGGGATTCCTCTGTCCACTAGGAAATAGTTACCTTCCAAGTGCCACTTTGCATAGGATGAGTTTGGGACCTGGCAAGGGATCTCCTAGGTCCAACACCAAATACAGATGCCTATAGAACTAAACTTTAGAGACCCTAAGGGTATTGGGGCATCCAAAAACCCTTTTTCTGGCCACCAATCTGCAGTCTTTAGAGACAGGGTGTTTGTGTCCCTCCGTCTCATGGCTTGTACAAGCAGAACCCTCAGATATCATCAGGAAAGCTGTTCACAGCAGGCCGACTCTTCTCCCATGAAGGCACAAACAGTCTTGCATGAAAACAACATGCTGTGTGACCCAAGGGGGCAGAGACAGAAGCACTCTCCCGAGTCTTGCAAATGGCAGTTGCAGAGTACAGAAGACTGGGGAGGTTCCCAGTGACTATTTATAATTCGGGAAAGTAGCTATAGATGGAAATTCCAGAAGTGTGGCTCTAGAAGTAGGCAGAGGGAAGATTGGGCATGATGAGATCCTTGATTGTACTTGACCCTGGAGGGCCCTTGCAGATGTGAGACCACCTGGGCACATGGGGGAAGCTTAGAGAACCATAAGGAACTTACGGTTAAATCCTAAGAATGCCTTGAACTTTCTCTAACTCTCTAACTCTGCCAGAGTCACACTAAACTGAGTTAAGGAAGTCAGGGACTAGCAGGGAAGGAAGGTCCTTAGGGCTCTGCAGCTTCCATGCCTGTTAGACTGCTTGGCCTCCCTGGAACCCAGTCCAGGGTTTTAGGATATCTTGATAATCAATTAATATTTGTTGAAAGGCACCATGTAGCCTGGTGCCGTTTTAAAAAAATATATATCTTTTTAGGCCGGGCGTGGTGGCTCACACCTGTAATCCAATCCCAGCACTTTGGGAGGCCGAGGCGGGCGGATCACCTGAGGCCAGGAGTTCCAGACCATCCTGGCCAACATAGCGAAACCCCTTCTTTACTAAAAATACAAAAAATTAGCCGGGCATGGTGGTGGGTGCCTGTAATCCCCGCTACTTGGGAGGCTGAGGCAGGAGAATCGCTTGAACCCGGGAGGCGGAGGTTGCAGTGAGCCAAGATCGTGCCACTGCACTCCAGCCTGGGCAACAAGAGTGAAACTCTGTCTCAAATAAATAAATAAATAAATTTTTACATTTTTTAAAATTTCTATCGTTTTGGGGGAACAGGTGGTGTTTGGTTGCATGGAAAAGTTCTTCAGTGGTGATTTCTGAGATTGTGGTGCACCCATCTGCAGCAGTGTCCACGGTGCCCAAATGCATAGTCTTTTATCCCTCACCCCCCTCCTGCCCTTCCCACCCTGAGAAGTAGATGTGAAAGGAGTGGGGATTTCCCACCTGCTTTTCTTTCACCTCCTCAATAGTTGTTTATGTGACTTTACTGGCTATGCATGAGTAGAATTTGAAAGGCTAAGACATTTTAGCCAGAAAGAGGCATTTTTTATTCAGAAACTCAGAAAGTAATCATAGTTGGTGAAATTTGCTTCAAGTGACTATTCTGTGACATACATTATGCCGGATGCCTTCTGTACCTTATAACTAACTGGTCTTTGTAGTGACCAGCCTGATCAAGGGGGTCCTCTTATTTGTCTCTGTTTTATACCTGGGGTCACAAAGGCTCCCCAAGTTTTTACAACATTCTCAAACATCTCTTCCCTACATGTAGTCAGGATTCACCCCAGGTCTATCTGGCCCCTATCCTGTTGTTCTTGCTCATGGATCTCTGGTCTCATGCACTCCTTTGCCCAGGTACCTGTGGCACTGGCCGAGGTAGTGCCATTTTCTTGCAGGCTTTCTCATTCATAAAGCCAACCCCACCTGTGATCAGTCCTTTCCAACTCTTGGCATATAACACACAATCTAACATCTGATGGTACAGTTTTGCTTCCTTATGTTCTTTTTTTGTTGTTGTTGAGATAGAGTCTTGCTCTGTCCCCAGATTGGAGTGCAATCTCAGTTCACTGCAGCCTCTGCCTCCCAGGCTCAGGTGATCCTCCCGCCTCAGCCTCCCGAGTAGCTGGGACTATAGATGTGTGCCACCACACCTGACTCAGTTTTGTATTTTTTTTTATAGAGAACAAGGTTCACCATGTTGTCCAGGCTGGCCTAGAACTCAAGTGATTTGCCTGCCTTGGCCTCCCAAAGTGCTGGGATTACAGGCGTAAGCCACTGCGCCTGGCCCTTATGTTCTTTCACTGGGTAGGAATTAGATCTTTTACTCCTTATGTATTCCCCGCAGTGGCTGGGGATATACGCGGCAGGCATTTAACACTGGGAAATAACTTGGGCTGCTTTGAGGTTTGTCACTGAGCATCATCTACTCCCCGCCCTCTTCCTTGCAGAAGTCAGGATTTCTTTTCCAAAACCCACACCCAGCAGTGTCCCCTAAAGGAGTGCCCTGAGGTCATCTCCTCTCCCCTTGCTTTCCTCCTCTTTAGCTCTTTGTCTCCTGGGCCCCGCACAGTGAGGCAAGGAGCAGGAGCTGAGTGAGGTTGATGGGGCTGCTGTGAGGGTGGAGGAGACGGTTTAGGGAGCGGAGAGTTGGCTCCCTTAGGAGAGGCCAATGGCAGTGGAGTAATTAAAAGCATAGGCTCACTGGGTTCAGTGGCTCATACCTGTAATCCCAGGACTTTGGGAAGCTGAGGCAGGCAGATTGCTTGAGCTCAGGAGTTCAAGACCAGCCTGAGCAACATGGAAACACCCTGTCTCTATGACAAATATAAAAATTAGCCAGGAGTGGTGGCATGTGCCTGTAGCCCCAGTGAGCCATGATTGTACCACTGTACCCCAGCCTGGGCAACAGAGCGAGACCCTGTCTCAAAAAAATAAATAAATAAAGCAGAGACTCTGGAGTCAGACCTAGGTTCCAAATCTCCAGCAACTTGGAGGAGTCATTTAAGCTCTGACCCTGAGTGTGGGTCTGGGTTTCCTCATCTGTAAAATGGGGGAAGTCTTAAGTGCCCCCCGGGGCTGTTGTGAAGATTAGATGAAATAATCTACAAAAAAGCACCCGAAACGGTGCTTCCCACAAAGCACTTCATACACCTTAGAGGGAAGGAGGGAGGCAGGAAGGAAGGAAACTGTAGGAGATGGTGGTGGTGGGGTTGGATATTAGGCAGGAGGTTTTGGAGGGAAAGGAGCTTGTTAGAACTGCTGGTGGGAGAGGGGCCTGGGGAGGGTCCATCTGGATGGCAAAGCCTCCTGAGACCCTCTAGGAAATGAAGCTAGAGGAAACCCCTGGAGTGTTTTTCAAGGCAGGAGCTGAAGGAAGAATGGCTTGGAACCACCCCCCACCCATCTTCCTTTTTTATGGTAGAGGGCACTGGGGTCTTAGGACATATCGAGTCCTCTCTGAGTATGTCAGCACGCCATAACATTCTTTCTCTTTCTCTGTCTAGTGATCTCTTAATGAGGGACAACCTGTTTGAAATAATAACAAGCTCCAGGACCTTCTACGTACAGGTAAAATGCTCCCTTCCAGAAGACTCCAGCATTCTGTTTCTGTGAATGGTGCCCTCACAGGCCGTGTCCTTTCCTTTGCTTTCTCTTTTCATTTGCTTGAAGTTTCTAGGCAGTAAATTTAGCCCCTGAGAGTCAGTCTGAGTCCCATTTCATCCTAAACAGGATGTTTGCCAAAAGCTTCCCAACCATAAAATAATGAAAGCAGGTTGAGCCGCTCTACTGAGGAATGTGAGTGTGTACCAGTTGCTCTCAGCTGCTGGGCTCCAGCTAAGCAGAGAAAAGGAGAACCGGTCAATGATTTCACTTCTCCTTTGGAGGGTATTTATAAGTCTCGTCTGTGTGTGGACATCACTGTGTGCGGAAGGACAAAAGCACAGAGGGCCCTGTGCAGGCACCAGGTGCAGAGCCCAGCTGCACAGAGGAAGCCATTGTTCAGGCTCTGATGGTTCACTTATCAGGAGCTTCTCCCCTCCACCCACAGCTCTGGAGTTCTCCCAACTCCTTCTAAAGTCATAGGAACTAGAAAGGCAGATTTCCAAGCAGGGACTAGACTTTCAGGGCCAAGTCCTAACCCAGCTTGCCTAGCAGTGCACAGAGAGTGCCTTGATTCGCAGCCCCGTGGTGATGCTGGACTTTTAGTATTGAAACTGACACTTGGCCAGGCGCGGTGGCTCATGCCTGGAATCCCAGCATTTTGGGAGGCCGAGGTGGGCGGATCACTTGAGGTCAGGAGTTTGAGACCAGCCTGGTCAACATGGTGAAAACCCCATCTTTATAAAAATACAAAAAAATTAGCTGGACATGGTGGTGTCTGTAATCCCAGCTGCTTGGGAGGCTGAGGCAGGAGAATTGCTTGAACCCGGGAGGCAGAGGTTGCAGTGAGCTGAGATCATACCACTGCACTCCAGCCTGGGTGACAGAGCGAGACTTTGTCTCAAAAAAAAGGGAAACAAAAAGAACAGAAATAAAAAACTGACAAGTAAGCAGGTTGGTTTAAAGGTGTGGTTTCCCAACTAAAGCTTTTCAAGCTCCCGCTGCCCTTTCTTCTGGGCCTCGAGTGTCACTCCCTGTTAAGCAACCTCCCTTCCCCAAGGAGCTGGTCCGCTTTCCCATTTCTTGGGCAGCAATTCCTGTCACAACTCCTTCCGCCGAGCCCAGCACGTGTTTGAGTAACTTAGTCATCTCGGGGCTATATCCATTTGGACAAGCACATACCATCCAGGAAGAGACAGCGGAGTGGGGGCTTGGGAGTGAACTGGAGCTGTGGAAAGGGCTGCCATGGGCATCGGAGCTACTAATTCACCAGCAACACTGCCACTCAGGGACAAGGTTTAACCTGTAGATTGCTCTACAAGTTTGTAGTTCTTGCATTCAACAGATATTTGTAGAGTATCCTCAGAGTGCTGGGCATTTTGTCTCAGGCTGGGGACACCAGGTTAAACAGAACAGATCCCGAACCCAAGAGAGAGAGAGCTCGTCAAGTCCATAGGCAGTTAAACTGTGGCATGGCGCAGGGGAGGGAGTGCTGGGGGAGATGGAGCACAGGGGAGTTTGCAGACAGTGAAACGATTCCGTATGACACTGTGATGGTGGGTGTGTGATGAAGAACTTGACAGCACAAAGAATTGACCTAATGTATGCAAATTGAGAAAAAAATTTAGGAGGTCAAGTGATCCTAGCAGGAAATGCAGAATGTGACAGTAATCGAAATGTATTACAGGTCCTCCCTGAAGTGGGTAGGGGAATACAAAATAAAAAAAAAAATGGTGTGATAAGTGCTACTGCCATTAGACTGAAACGTGAACCATAAGCAGGTCGCCTCACCCAGTCTTAGGGAGTTGGGGAGGGTTTCTGAAGAAAGATACAGCTAAGCTCAGTCTGTTGGGGGAAAAGTGGCCCAGGCAAAGGAAATAGGAGGTATTTTTTTAAAGCCTGGTAATAAAAGGAGCAAAGGGCCAAAAGGAGGCTGGACAGTTAGGCACGGAGGACCCTCATATGCCTTATTGAAGAGCTCGTATTTTATCCTTAGAATTAATGCCCTTAGAGGTTAAACAAAGGGCTTGATCTGATCTGCCTTGCCATTAAAAAATACCACTTGGGCAAGTTATTTAACTTCAGTGCCTGTTTTCCTCATCTGTGAAATGGAGATGATGATCTTCAACCCCAGCCCTTTTAATGACATGCTGTCAAGGATTGCCTGGCCCTGTGCAGTGTGGAGGACAGAAGAGAAAAGGCTAAGATAGGATGAGAGAGAACAGTTTGAAGGCTGTTGTTAATAATTTAGTGAAGGATAAAGGAAGCCTGAATGAGGGTAGATGGAGAAAAGTGGAAAATTTGAGAGATATTAAAAAGGTATATTTTCCAGGACTTGAGAGTCAGTCGGATGAAGGGAGAGAGGACAGGTATGCCCGGATGTTTGGCTGGAGCCTCAGGATGGCTCATGGCACCAGTCATTGTAACAGGAGCATGGGAGGAGGAGCTGTTGAGAGGAAACACAAGGTTAGCATAGGTGGTTCAGAGTTTACAGTGCCTGCTGGACATCCAAGGAGATGTGCTATGAAGACCATTGGATACACACTGCTTGGCATGTTGCTGACACTAAATAAATATTTGCTAAGGGAATGATTGTGCTGGTTGAGTTCAGGAGAGAGCTTTGGACTAAAGACAGCAATTTGGGAAACACGAAACCCAACCAAAAAATGTTCCAAAGATAATCTACATGAGTGTATGCACATTTACCAGAAGATTCTAATCACCCCATCTTCCATTGCCTTCTGCTTCCCACATTTCTGGGATAAGAGAACACTAGCGTCACACTGAATAAGTAAACGAGAGGGAGGACAAATCTGTTTACAGCACCTAACTCAAAAAACAGTGGAAAGAGAATAGTATAGATTAAAAATCACTTAAAATATTTATCAATTCATTAAAAATAGCAACTATCAAGCTGGGCACCATGGGATGCACCTGTCGTCCCAGCTACTTGGGAGGCTGAGGCAGGAGGAGAGTTTGAGCCCTGGAGTTTGAAGTTGCAGTTAGCTATGATCTCGCCACTGCACTCCGGCCTGGGTGACAAATCAAGACCCTTTAAAGACCTTGTCTCAAAAAAAAATGAGCAATCATAAACTCATTATAAGTTAATAAAACAGATTTTGTGAAAAAAACATATTTCTAAAAAATAGCAAGAATAGTATTGTTTTTACAGTTTTGCACATCTATCTTTAATGGCTGGCATAATAGAAGACAACAGGATTCTCCTATCTGCTTCTGCATTCTATCTGTGGCCATATGTTGTTTTGATTGAAGAATATGGAGAAAATCTTGCCTCACACAGATGTGTATTTGGAAAAAAGGAATATTTTAATAGCCTTTTTAGATAATTGTGGATATTCTTTGATTCTATACCAAAACTTGACAAATGTTAATTTCTTAATGTTTAGGTACAATGTACAATCTGAAGCCATATCAAGAAATTTTTATACTCTTACATTAAAATCCATTGGTCAATTTTGCACTTTGAATAGATACTTTTTATCCATGCATGGTTTTTAACAGTATGCATTGGTCATTTGGAAAACAATGGTCTCACTGAGGTATGCAGATATTCAAAATGTTGACACATTTTATTATGTACTATCCAAAATCACATCATTAAGATATCACCACTAATATCATTAACAGTCTTTGAGTGTAGAAAACTATTAAGCTCATGGAGGTAGCCAGAATTTTTTTTGAAATTCTAGTTTTTGCTTTGAAAGCTCAAAGCTTACTCATTTTGGGGATAAAAATCTACCAAATACCTAACTCGGAATAAGTTTGACTGACAGTTTGTATGTCAGTCATTTGTTCTAAGTAAAAATTGTGTTTTAGGCCAGGCACGGTGGCTCACGCCTGCAATCCTGGGACTTTGGGAGGCCAAGGCAGTGGATCATCTGAGGTCAGGAGTTCGAGGTCAGCCTGGCCAACATAGTGAAACCCTGTCTCTATTAAAAATACAAAAATTAGCGGGGTGTGGTGGTGCGCACCTGTAATCCCAGCTACTTGGTAGGCTGAGGCAGGAGAATCTCTTGAACCCAGGGGGCGGAGGTTGCAGTGAGCCGAGATCACACCACTGCACTCCAGCCTGGAAGACAGAGTGAGACTCTGTCTCAAAAAATTAAATAAATAAATAATAAAAATTGTGTTTTACACAAAAGATGAAAGAATATGCCTACTGGTAGAGCTTGGTGCTAAGGTGCTGGCAGTTTTACCCACCATGCCAAAGTGTCCTTCTGACCTGCTCCCCAAGGTTATGCTCAGTAAATCTGCCAGAAAGAACCGTTCATCCTGAGTATCTAAGAGAGCTAGACCAAAGAGCAGGGCAGATCATGGTGGAGAAGACTCCCTAGACAGAAGAGAAAGACTTGGGTTAGATTCTAACCACTTAGATCTTGGTCGTTTAACTGTTTAACTCAGATGTCATATTTACGTATAATTTGTACCCTGTGATTTCTCACACTGTAGTAGTCTTTTCTGTTAAGAAAAGCTACCATTTTTTGGACACCTAGATGTCCCAGGCATAGTGCTAAACAACTTACAGGTAGTATAAGTTAAAGTTTATCACTTTGTAGTATAAGTACTATAAGTAGTATAAGTTTATCACTTAAATCTCAGCCGTCTCTGAAATTATCTCCAGTTTACACACAGGAAAAAGAAGGCTTTGAAGGTAAATTATTTGTGCAGGATCATAATAAATCCAGTGAATTATGGAACCAACTGGGAAGCACCAGGTGCTGGAGCAAGATTTGCCAACTTGGGTTGTTTGCGAGCAGCCTGGTCCAGGCCGGGTGCAGTGGCTCACACCTCTAATCCCAGCACTTTGGGAGGCCAAAGTGGAAGGATTGTTGGAGCCCAGGAGTGCGACACCAGCCTCAGCAACCCAGTGAGACCCCTGTCTCTAAAAACAAGCAAAAGTAAACCAAAAGAAAAGAAAAAAATAAGAGCAGCCTGGTCCAGAACCCATGATATAGAGGGTGTGGTCACAGACAACCAGGGAAGTCTGACTCTGTTGGAGAAGACCAACTTGGGGTAATTGGGTGTCTTGGCAAATGGATCATGGTGACCAAAAATCCAAGATCTGGAAATAACCAGGTATCTAAGCAGGTAGAAAGGCCAGTGATTTCAGCAAGCTTGTAAGCAGGTAAACAGTTCTCAGTTCTGGGCAAAAGTTCAAAATCACATTTCAATTCTTGAGCTACCAGGCAAGTAGAGGTCACCATTTCCCCATTTCCCATTCATAGAATGTCAAGGGAATTAGGCAGTTTATCAAGAGGGAAATTAGTTATTCGAAATGAGAAATGTGGTGCAAACTGGTCTTAGCTTGGCATAAGCCCAGTTGTTAGAACTAGGGTGCTATGTCAGGACAAGAGTAGCAATAAGTGGACTCAAGTGAGTTGCAGAGTGTTGCATTAGAGCTCTTCGGATACTTACTGTTTAATTTAGACTACAGGGTGAATGATGTCACCTAGAACTATGTAGTGTGCAATCTACACAATCGTATGTGGCAGGGCTGTGTCTAGAGATGGCACTAGTTCTTGGGAAAGGAGGGTTGCAGAGGTGGAGAACAGAATGAAGGAGGAGTTGCCTAAAAATTTTGGATAGCGGCAATGGCAGTAACCAGAAGTAGATATGGAAGCCTTTATGGCCTCTAGAATTCATTGCTTCAAACCATTGTATCTATTATAGTGCTGGGCTTATGTTAGATAGTCAATAGAAGCTCACTGGACTACAATAAAACTGCAGGCTGCAACGATTCATTTTAATACTGTCTGTCCTACTCATCTCAAAAACTGCCCTCAAGGACAGAAGCCCTGCTTTTTCTTTTGAACCGAGCACCAGAAACAGGTGCACACACATAAGCACACCAGGAAGAGATGAAGCTATGACCTTGGCACTTCCTTTTTTGTTTTACTGAGTTTAAAGTATGTTTTTAGTCTCATGGTAATTCATCATGGGTGGGTAGACTTCAGCTATATATATTTTTTTAAACCTCTGTTTCATGAAGCTACTTTGTGATGTGGTTTTACGATTTTGATGAAAGCTAAGCACAGGCTTTCCGTAAAAATAGATATGTACATAACCATAATTTTTGCATACAATTTTGGAGTTTCATTGAGTTTTTGTTTCTCATGAATCCCAGTTCTTAAAACTACTAGGAGAGATTATAGGCCAGGCCTGGTGGCTCATGCCTGTAATCCCAGCACTTTGGGAGGCTGAGGCAGGAGGATTGCTTGAGGCCAGGAATACCCTGCTCCAAAAAAAATTTAAAAATAAAACATTGTAATTGTGATCTCAATAAAATAATATTGTTTCTTCTCATATGGAATTCATTGCAATATCTGATTTTCTTTTTGAGCAGTATTTTAAAATAACATTTATTAGGGAGTAGCATTTATCTTCATGGCTGAGTTACTATCTAGGTTATCTGACCGAAAAATGTTCTTAAGAAGGAATTAGAGAATTAGGGAAGAAATATAACTAGTAAACAATTTCCGTCTTCACTAAATTACTAAATGTTTTAAGAAAGAGATTTAATTATTTTACCTATCATATTAGCAAAGATTTAAAAAATTATAATATTTAATTCTAGCAAGGGTGCATGTAACAAAAATGTTGGCAAATGAAATTTATATTATTGGCCAGAAATCTCTCTGGCCAGATGTAAGAAGAGATTTAAAAGGGTGTGAATTCTTTAATTTAGTAATTGCCTTGGGAGCTGAGGGTTCCTAAATATTCCTAAATACGAAAAAAGCTTTATCCCCAAAGATGTGAGTAGCAGCATTATTCATATGAGGAGAATAGGGAATATTCAAAAAATATTTTAGAGCAGCGATCCCCAACCCCTAAGCTGTGGACTGGTACTGGTCCATGGCCTGTTAGGAACCTGACCACACAGTAGGAGGTGAGCAGTGGGAGAGCAAACATTATCGCCTGAGTTCCACCTCCTGTCGGATCGGCAGCGGCATTAAATTCTCATAGGACTGCGAACCCTATTGTGAACTGTGCATGTGAGGGATCTAGGTTGTGCGCTTCCTATGAGAATGTAATGCCTGATGATCTGAGGTGGAACAGTTTCATCCCGAAACCACCCGTCATCCCCCTCCCTTTACCCTTCCAAGTTCATGGAAAAATTGTCTTCCACAAAACCGATCCCTATGCTGAAAAGGTTGATGACCACTGTTTTAGAGGACTAGGTGGGTGAACCATAGTATATCTACTTGGATCCCCTGAAAATGCTTACAAAGACGTCTGGTAACATGGAAAAATCCTTCTATTATTAACTGAAAAAAAAAATCAAGATATAATGTATCTTTGTATTTTGGAAAACAGAAATGAATAGCAAAAAGACTGGATTTGCTCTCAATTGTTATTTTAGAATTTTGTGAGGTTTTAAAGTGATTTTATTTTATTTTTTCTTGTTACTTCCCTTTTTTTTTTTTTTTTTTTTTTTTTTTTTTGCAAAGGTTAGGGAGAAGAGGTCTTGCTCTGTTGCCCATGCTGGTCTCGAACTCCTGGGCTTAAGCCATCTTCCCACATTCTAAACTTTAGCCTCCTAACATTGTGGGATTACAGGCTTGAACCACAGTATCCAGCCGATTTTAATTTTTTATTTTTCTACATTTATTATCTATATTGTCTTTAATGAGCCCTTATTACTTGCAAAAAGGAAAACGGGGAAAAAATAACAAATTGTATTAGGTAGTCATCCAAGAATAATAGTGGTATTTTGATTCTTGTACTTGAGTGCCCATCTAAATCAGGATAGTCCTAGTTTTCTGTGATTCTGTGATTTCTTGCTAAGCAGAGGCTGGGTGAAGACACCTGGGTTTCCTGTGTGACAGTTCCTGGAGAAGGAGTTTGTGGGGAGGCAGTACTTCAAAGCGCAGTCAGGCAGGTGGCCTGTGGCCTGTGGGGGTAGCATTTGACATGACGGAGAGCATTTCAGTAGACTGCTGGAAGGAGCATGGAGATAGCTTAACACCCCTGGAAACTGATTATCGGATTGTCATCCTGGGGATGTTCCTGTCTGTTTAATGAAAATGTCAGATCTCCTATGTGACATAGGAGACTTTCTCCCTCAGCTCATATGCCTCCTACCAAATCATCTTTTGTTCCCCTAGGAGGAAAATCTCTTAATAAATGCTTTTCTCCTAATGGATGATGACCTCCATCTCATTCAAATTCAAAATAACCTTTTTTTTAACCTCCAAATACATGATCTTATTTGATCTTGATGATTTGATCTTTGAGGTAGGAATTAGCTGCAGTTTGAGGATGAGGAAACTGAGAAAAGGTCTTCTTATGGAGAGGGCAATGCGCTTATCTGTAAATGGTGGCGTTTAAGGCTTCATTTTTTTGTCGCATATCATATAATACCAGTGAAAACAACAATAATATCTGCTACTTACAGAGCCCATTCTGTGCGTTCGGCCCTGTTTCAATAGTTTTTCCTAATTGAGGTCATTTAATTCCCTCAATAATTAAGCTTGTGGAACAGGCCAGCCCTGATATTTGTAAAGAACCTTCTGGAAGGATCTTGGAGTCCTTATCCTGGTGATCTTTTTGGACAAAGGATGGGTTTGTCTTTTTCTTGGGAAACCACCAGATTGTCAAATAACTGGAAAAAGTCAAGCGGGGAGACAGCGCTAGTAAGTTTGCAGGCAGAGCACACGTTAGAGAGGTGTTCACTTTGGCCACTTGTCACTACACCCTTTTTGCCCTCGTGCACCAGGACCTGAACGGTTTTCCTTGTAGGTGCACACATCTAACCAAGGAGGGTTTGTTTTGGGGTGACAGGAAGGGGTAGGGATGCAGGTTTGAGAATTTTTGTTTTACTGTCTTTTCCTGATAGAATGCAAAGAGGAGGGGTCACTTTGGGGATGGGGGGATGAGGGGGGATGTGGAGTCCTTTGGGGGCTAGTGTGTGGTGGTGGCACATACATCTGCATGTGCACACCAATGCACGCGTGTGTGTTTTGGTGGGACTGTTAGGGGATGATGCTGGAGACAGAGGAAGGCTAACATGCATATTTCTGGAGATTCTGCCTGGTCCCATTGCTGTGTCTGGCACCTGATGCAGCATGTAACACCGGGTGGGGCCCTTAGCCAGCGTTTGCTCTGTTCACTTGAACTCAACCCCTATAAAGCTGGAGGGCACTGACAGGCTCCACCGGCAGTAGCGAGGCCGCTGGAGTTTCCTCCCTTTTTTCATAGAGCCGCTGCTGCCCCCTTCTGGGGTTTATAGGTTGTTTCTGGGAGGAAATAAGTAACTCGGCTTCATCCTTCACATACTGTGAAGCTTGGTGCTGCGAGTCCCACAACTCTTTAAATTTTTTTAAAAGTTTTATTCACAATAGCAAAGTCACAACTCTTTTTTTTTTGTATAAATTTAAGGGGTACAAGTGCGGTTTTGTTACATGAATATATTGCCTTTTGGTGAAGTCTGGGCTTTTGCTGTAACCATCACCTGAGTATTGTGCATCGTACGCATCAAGTAATTTCTCATCCCTCACCCGCCTCCCACCCTCCCTCCCTTCCATGTCTCCAGTGACAATTATTTCACACCCTATGTCCATGTGTACCCATTATTTAGCTCCCAGTTATAAGTGAGAATATGTGGTATTTGACTTTCTGTGTCTGAGTTGTTTCACTTAAGATAATAGTTTCATCTATATTTCTGCAAAAGACACGATTTCATTCATTTTTATAGATGAGTAGTATTCCATTATACATATGGACACCACATTTTCTTTATCGAGTCCTCTGTTGGTGGACACTTAGGTTGGTTCCATGACCTTACTATTGTGAATATTGCTGCAATAAACACAAGGGTGCAGGTATCTTTTTGATATAATGATTTCTTTAAAAAATTTTTAAAGTTTTATTTTAGGTTTGGGGGCACATGTGAAGATATAATGATTTCTTTTCCTTTGGAGAGACACCCACTATTGGGATTGCTGACCTGAATGGTAGTTCTATTTTTAGTTCTTTGAGAAATCTCTCTACTCCTTTCCATAAAGGTTGTACTAATTTACATGCCTTTCAGCAGTGTATAAGCAGTCCCTTTTCCCCACATCCTTGTCAGAATCTGTTTTTTGTCCTAATAATAGCTATTCTGACTGGTATGAGATGATTTTAATTTGCATTTCTCCAATGATTAGGGATAGTGAACATTTTTTTCATATGCTTCTTGGCCACTTGTATGTCTTGTTTTGAAAACTATTCATGTCCTTTGCTCACTTTTTTTTTTTTTTTGAGACAGAGTCTCACTCTGTCACCCAGACTGGAGTGCAGTGGTGTGATCTCGGCTCACTGCAACCTCTGCCTCCTGGGTTCAAGCAATTCTCCTGCCTCAGCCTCCCAAATAGCTGGGACTACGGGCGCACGCCACCACTCCTGGCTAATTTTTTGTATTTTAGTAGAGACGGGGTTTCACCATGTTGCCCAGGCTGGTCGTGAACTCCTGAGCTCAGGCAATCCACCCGCCTCGACCTCCCAAGTGCTGAGATTACAGGCATGAGCCACCACGCTTGGCCTACACTTTTTAATGGGATGATTTATGGTTTTGTTGTTGTTGTTGAGTTATTTGAGTTCCTTGTAAATTTCAAAGCGACCCAGTAGCTTGTATTCTGAGAAAAGCCCCATTTCTGAAGGCAATACATATCTTAGAGGATTTACAGTGGGATTTGGCTTTAATAGGGCTGGAATTGAAAGTGGGATTATTCTGTTCAGATAGTTACAGTGGAAAGGCAACTATGTTGAGAGTGAGGAGAACTCGAATCTCTACCAGCCATAAACCTTGGGCTTTGGCTTTCTGGGCCTCATTTTCCTTTTTTATAAAACTAGGAGGCTAGACTGGATCAGTTGTTTTCTGGAGGGGGTGATGGACTTCAGCAGCGGATAGGGTCTTAAACTTTCCCCTTCCTCACAGCCTGTGCCTCATTTCAGAGCAGCTCCACTTTGAGCGGTTTTATTTATTGGGTGTCAAATAAGATATTGCAGGGAAAACATGTCCTTAAAAGTCTGAAAGCTACTGGACTAGATGATTTCTGGGATGCTTTCTACCCCTAATGGTGTAATTTTATAAACTTAATATTGAGTCAGAGACTTGGAAGCTGAAATCATAGTGCCTAAAATTTCTTGGTAAGAGCCATGGATGTTTTGCAGGCAGACAGTCCAGAAGACATGCACAGCTGGATTAAGGAGATTGGCGCAGCTGTCCAGGCCCTCAAGTGCCACCCCAGAGTAAGTCACTTCCTTTCTGTTGCACAGTGTCAACTCAGAGATGAATTCCTCTCAAGCAGGCATGTTTTATTTGGTGATGTAGGCAAGCAGCCTGGTCCCGAGGTGCAGCTGAAGCCCCAGGCTGTCTTGCTTGTTTTTCTCATTCTACTAATTTGGGTACACATTTTTATTTTTCTCTGTTTGGTTGTGGGAGGAGGTGAGGTAGGGTTAGATAGAGAAATGGAATTTCTTTTTTTTTTTTTTTTTTGAGACGGAGTCTCACTCTGTCGCCCAGACTGGAGTGCAGTGGCACGATCTCAGCTTACTGCAACCTCTGCCTCCCAGGTTCAAGTGATTCTCCTGCCTCAGCCTCCCAAGTAGCTGGGATTACAGGCACGTGCCACCACGCCCAGCTGATTTTTTTGTATTTTTAGTAGAAATGGGGTTTCACCATGTTGGCTAGGCTGATCTCAAACTCCTGACCTCAGGTGATCCACTTGCCTCGGGCTCCCAAAGTGCTGGGATTTCAGGCATGAGCCACCACGCCCGGCCGAGAAACAGAATTTCTGATATGTCCTGCAAGTTTCACTGCCAGGCTGACGTTGACACATTTGGAGTGAATCCTTTTGACTGTATTTCATTTTTGTAGGCAAGCATCCTTGGACTTATGAGGTGGTGATCCTGGTTGGGTACTCTTTCTGGGACTCTGTGATAAACATTGTCTGAAAAGCCCTAACTTTCTTTTGTCTTTTTCTTCCTTTTATTTTTATAGGAAACGTCCTTTTCTAGATCCATTTCTTTGACCCGACCTGGAAGCTCCAGCCTTTCAAGTGGGCCCAACTCTATCCTGTGCAGGGGGCGGCCACCTTTGGAGGAAAAGAAAGCCCTCTGCAAAGCCCCCTCTGTGGCCTCCTCCTGGCAGCCCTGGACACCTGTCCCCCAGGCTGGGGAGAAGCTGCTTCCACCTGGAGACACTTCAGAGGACTCCTTGTTCACGCCTCGTCCTGGGGAGGGCAGCGCTCCTGGGGTGCTGCCCAGCTCCCGGATAAGGCACAGATCGGAGCCCCAGCACCCCAAGGAGAAGCCGTTTATGTTCAACCTTGATGATGAAAACATACGGACCTCTGATGTGTGATGGAGCACAGTGCCATGGGAGGGAGGGAGGGAGGGAGGACTTGAGAGAAGGAGGCTGTGACTCAGTTTCTCTACCTTGTTGGAGGGTAGTCAGAGGCCTTTATGTCACTCATATTCCTGTGGATGCTCTTTGGGAGGGAGGGGCCCATCCAGCTGGGCTGTGTGTGTGTGTGTGTGTGTGTGTGTGTGTGTGTGTAATATCAACGCAGTGTATTTAATTTGGGGAAGTCACTAGGTTAGAACTGTAGGCATACTCAGTGGAGAGGAAGCTACCTATTCTATTCTAACTATTCTGAGGTCTTCCTGGAGAGGGATTGTTTTAGCAGCTCCTCTCCAGAGGGGGCTGGAAGTCCAGTTTCACCAATGACCAAGTTTTATTTCCTTGTCCTTGTTTTAGTTTTTTCATTTTGTTTTCAGTCCAGGTGCCTCGCAGCTCTTTTGGAATGGGCCAGCATTAGTCTAATTTTAAGCGCTATGTGTTTTGTACCCTTGCAAACTTGCTTTCTCTTTCTTCTTGCTGTTGCCCTTTGAATGAAGCCTTGTGTGCTTGCATGATCAGACCCTGTAATAGGATGAATTTCCATGCACTTAACATGAAGAGATACAAAAAGAATCTAGAGAGAGATATATATTTTTAATGAAATAGAAGCTTGGCATAGAAACATTGATTTAGATGTTATGAGTTGCTGGCCAGAGATTCCTCAGATAAAAGAGCCTAGAAAATTGAGTTTTGAGCGGGCATGGTGGCTCACGCCTGTAATGCCAGTAGTTTGGGAGGCTGAGGCGGGTGGATCACCTGAGGTCAGGAGTTCGAGATCAGCCTGGCCAACATGGTGAAACCCCGCCTCTACTAAAAAATATGCAAAATTAGCCGGGCGTGGTGGTGCAGGCCTGTAATCCCAGCTACTCAGAGGCTGAGGCAGGAGATTCACTTGAACCCAGGAGGTGGAGGTTGCAGTGAGCCAAGATCGCGCCATTGCACTCCAGTCAGGGCAACAAGAGTGAAACTCCGTCTCAAAATATAAAAGAAAATTGAGTGTCCCACCCAAATTTTAGGGCGTACCTCCTTCCATTTGATAAGAAGATGCTATTTCCAGTGTCCCTGGGAGAATTCTTCCATCCAGTTTATATGGTGAATTGCCACCAGCGTTCCCTAAAGGAAGAGAGAACTTAGCTTATTTCTGTCTGTGACTTTTATCAGCTAGATCAGTTAATTGTATTTTTAAATTAAAAATTAGTAACTAGAGGAAGAGACTAAGAGAACTATTTTTACCTGAGTAAATGCTCTCCTCTTCTTGTGTCCAAATCTAATGCAGAGGTGAAAACACTTGATGAGAAAATCCTTTGTGGCTTGAGGGGAATCATGTTTCTTTCAGGACGTGTTGTTTCCCTGAAGTCTATGTCACACTGAGAACTTTTTCTGACTGCACTGCTTTGGAGCTATTCATTTAAATTGAGTTTGGCCTAGTTTTCCTGGTATAAAACAGGAAATCTACATTGTTCCCTCTTTCTCTCCCTTCCATCCCTTCCCCTGCCTTTCCTATACACGCTGGTGTGCTTTTGCCCTCAGAAATTCTTGGTTTGGGAGTTATGTATTTTTGAGTGATCGAGGTTATGACATACTTGGAGCGGCATGATTTCAAGAAGCCATTCCAAATTCTTATAGCTCCTTAGCTCTGGTTTTACTCTCGTATTTTCCCCAAGAAAATTTTTTGGCTATTCAAAGAAAGCACAAAATATGTGATGTGGAACTCATGAAAATAGGGACTTTTGATATCTCTTTAAATATTCCCTGACTCACGGAAAAGATGTCCTCTTTTGGTGTATACATTGTGAAAATCTACCCATTTATCTCTCTCTCTCTCTTTTCTTTTAAATAAATTATCTGATAAGGCCGGCAAGGTGGCTCACGCCTGTAATCCCAGCACTTTGGGAGGCCGAGGCGAGCGGATCACGAGGTCAGGAGATCGAGACCGCGGTGAAACCCCGTCTCTACTAAAAATACGAAAAAAAAATTAGCCGGGCGCAGTGGCAGGCGCCTGTAGTCCCAGCTACTTGGGAGGCTGCGGCAGGAGAATGGTGTGAACCTGGGAGGCGGAGCTTGCAGTGAGCCAAGATCGCGCCACTGCACTCCAGCCTGGGCGACAGAGCAAGACTCCATCTCAAAAAAAAAATTATCTGATAGGTTACTATTGCTAAATTAATTGGCCATTATAATAAGCTGATTTGTTTCTTATTCAGCAAGATCTCTTTTGAGAATGTGACAAATTAAACATACATAGAATCCATATGGTATTATCCTGATAAAGGGAAACGAGGACACTAAGACTGTCAAATGGAAATCTTCTTGTCAATTGGCAAACACTTGGGAATTCCACATTAGAGCATTGCTTGTTTTTAATTTTTTTTTTTTAATTTTTAAAAGACAGGGTCTCACTCTCTTACCCAGGCTAGAGTGCAGTGGTGTGATCATAGTTCATCATAACTTTGAATCTCTGGGCTTAAGCAATCCTCCCATGTTAGCTTCCCAAGTAGCTAGGACTACAGGGTTGTGCTACCACGCCTGGCTAATTTTTAATTTTTTTTTATCTACAGAGCCTGGCTATGTTGCCCAGGCTCTCTCAAACTCCTGGCCCAAGTGATCCTCCTGCCTTGGCCTCCTAAAGTGTTGGGATTACAGGTGTGAGCCACTGCACCTAGCCAGAACATCGTTAATGTAGTTCAATATGAGATAAATTATTATCTTCAATGAAACAAGCTCTAAAAGCATTCCATTCCTAAATTGTATTTCAAACTTCCTATTTTGTTGATATTTCTTAACTTCTGGCCAGTTTTGGACCATAATCTTTTAATGTGAACCAAAGATGGTACGTATTTGACCAAAGCAGTTAGTTTTAAATGTATAAAATTGAACCAAATGGAAAAAATAGGTTGGGGATGCAGTATAGATTAGTGACTAAGTGCATAGGCTCTGGAGTAAATCTGAGTTTTTTTTTTTTTAAAGGAACTAAAAAATGTACTGCATTTTCTTTGTGGAATAAAAGCCTTGCCTGAGTTGTGCTATTTTCATAAGGCTTTTGAAGTGGTCTTGACCCACTGTGTGTAACAGTATTTCAGGTGGTCCTCCCCATGGCTGAATAATGCCATCCATTATTCTTTAATTTTTATTTTTAGAAACAGTGTTTCACTCTGTCACCCAGGCTGGAGTGCAGTGGCCTGATCATGGCTCACTGCAGCCTGGACCTCCTGGGCTCAAGTGATCTTCCTGCCTCACAGCCTCCCAAAGTACTCAGATTATAGGTGTGAGCCACCACGCCTGGCCACCATCTATTACTTTTGAAATCTTCAAAAGACTTGCTTACTCAATGTCAGCTGATGGTTGGTAAAAATAATTTGGCCTTTAGTGTTAAGTGAGACATCATAAGGGTATTGAGGTATACATTATGGAGATTGATGTCAGGTCAGAATATTGGAGTTATACATCTATTTCTGAGTTGAATACTCAGCTCCCACGAGAAAGAAAGTAGTTTTAAGGTCCAGCTTCTTAGTCTACTTGAAGCAAATTTTTTTTCTTTTATATTTCTGAATATAAATATACTCTTATATGGGCTAAAAAGACCCCATGAATAAATAGCAGGTTCAGTAGTTGAGGAGTGGAGTTTAGTAGGTTTGTTTTCAGTATAAATTAGATAACATGTGGAGGTCACAGCATTTTGGAAATTGAGTGTCCCCAAGTGAGCTTTGTTTATAAACTTTCAAAATGTCGGAAGTGGACAGGTTTGTTAAATCTTGTCTGCCAGCACCCTTTTCTTCCTTTGTTCCTTTTCCTCTCTGTGTTATTGCCTGCGGCAGCCAGTCCTTCATACTAGATAGAGTTCAGATAAAGCAAACGTTTGGCAAAAACATACTGTTTGACCTCCTCCCCCTCTGCTTATGAAGGGGTAGCATGATTCTGTGTTTTAAAGCAGTGATGTTTCAGCTGTGAAATGCACTCGCTGTAAGCTCTAGGC
Organism: Homo sapiens; assembly: GCF_000001405.40. Classification (NCBI taxonomy): domain Eukaryota; kingdom Metazoa; phylum Chordata; class Mammalia; order Primates; family Hominidae; genus Homo; species Homo sapiens. The sequence goes on from NC_000008.11 coordinate 38,973,793, forward strand.
TGAGTGCATGGAAACTGTTACGCTTCTCATTTTATGTGATCTCCTAATTGGTATGTAGCAAAAATTTTCTAAAACTGTTTTGTGGCTTGTTTTGTAATAAAACCATGTGAAATACTGAAATATGGTCATGTGTTTTCCTAATACTGACCTTCTGACCATGGGTGGGTGAGCTTTCTTATCAGTCTGCCCTCATTGTCGGTTTTAGGGATTTCAGGAGGTAGGTTCCTGCTCCGGGTAGGGCTAGAGACCTTCCCCTCATTGCCTGGGGGAGAACCTGGCTCCGGGGCGCCGACGGGGGCGGGTGGTAGGGGATGTACGGGTGTGTATATGCAGAGGTATGCCAGGCTCTGCCCCTTAAAGTTTGGGGGCCGGCGGAGGCGGCGCCGTGGCCGGGAGAAAGTGTCTCTCATTTAGGAGGGTTTGCAGGTCCAGAGTAAAGTCACTGAAGAGTGGAAGCGAGGAAGGAACAGGATGATTAGACCTCAGCTGCGGACCGCGGGGCTGGGACGATGCCTCCTGCCGGGGCTGCTGCTGCTCCTGGTGCCCGTCCTCTGGGCCGGGGCTGAAAAGCTACATACCCAGCCCTCCTGCCCCGCGGTCTGCCAGCCCACGCGCTGCCCCGCGCTGCCCACCTGCGCGCTGGGGACCACGCCGGTGTTCGACCTGTGCCGCTGTTGCCGCGTCTGCCCCGCGGCCGAGCGTGAAGTCTGCGGCGGGGCGCAGGGCCAACCGTGCGCCCCGGGGCTGCAGTGCCTCCAGCCGCTGCGCCCCGGGTTCCCCAGCACCTGCGGTTGCCCGACGCTGGGAGGGGCCGTGTGCGGCAGCGACAGGCGCACCTACCCCAGCATGTGCGCGCTCCGGGCCGAAAACCGCGCCGCGCGCCGCCTGGGCAAGGTCCCGGCCGTGCCTGTGCAGTGGGGGAACTGCGGGGATACAGGTGAGCCGCGGGGGCGCGCGCCCTCGGAACACTTTCTAACTCTGGAGGAGCGTAAAGGAACAAGACCTCACTGAGACCGCACAGTTCGCGCCTGGTCCTCCTGCGTCATTTGCCTCCTGGATTCGACACCTCTGTGTTCCTGATTTCCTTTCCTCCTTAACAGGGGCTCTTTACCGGCTGCTACGTGGTTTCTCCCTCCCCATGCACCTTTTGAACACTGTCTTGCCTTTAACATTTTTCCAACTAGGATAGCAGGTCTGGTTCCCTCGAGGCGTACTCTTGAGCCAGTATTTTTTCATAGGGACCAGAAGCGCAGGCCCGCTCAGGAGGAATTACAACTTCATCGCCGCGGTGGTGGAGAAGGTGGCGCCATCGGTGGTTCACGTGCAGCTGTGGGGCAGGTAAAGGAGGAGGAGGAAGACCTCCACTGTCCCAGCTAATGGTTTCTGCGTGCCTACCTGCTCCAGACCCTTCGCAAGCGTCATTTAATCCTAAAAAACCAGTGAGGAAACTGAGACGTAAAGAGGTTGAATAACCTGTTCAAGGTCATTTAACCAAAGAGCAGAGGCACAAGGATGCTGACTTCTAAATCCCAGCTCCCCCTGCCCACTTAGGTGGCTGGTGCTTTTTCCCCCTCCTGCCACAGACAAAATTTAAGGTCAGATATAAGAGCTAGTAGGCAATTTCTTTTCTTTTTTTGAGACAAGGTCTTGCTCTGTCGCCAGGGCTGAAATGCAGTGACAGATCACGGCTCACTGCAGCTCCATCTGCTGGGCTCAAGTAATCCTCCCAACCCAGCCTCTGGAGTAACTGGGACTATAGGCAGGTGCCACCATACCCAGCTAATATTTGTATTTTTTTGTAGAGACGAGGTCTTGTTATATTGCTCAGGCTGGTCTCGAACTCCTGGGCCCAAACGATCTGCCACCTTAGCCTCCCGACGTGCTGGGATTACGGGTGTAGCCACCACATCCAGCTTAGTAGGCATTTTGGTTGTGATCTTGCTCAGCCCCCACTTTGGATACAAGGAAATCCAGACCCAGAGAGCAGGGTTAATTTGTCCTATGTTACTATGTTACGAGGCCAGTTGGCGGTGGAAACTAAGCCAGAATCAGAGCCCTTTGATTCTCTCCTGCCTGGGTCCTTGATACTGTGGTAAGAGGCTGACTTTTGCCTCTAGTATTAGGATTGGGTTCAGTCTTTTCGCAGCAGAGAACCCATGGGCTGCTACACTAACCAGCTCTGAAGAAGCAGTGTCCCTGGAAAAGGAGAGCTGGACCCCACTCTCAACCATGCTCACAAGAGATGGCTGGGGCCCTGTACCTGCCAAGTCCACTGATACATGGAGAAAATTTACGCATAGCCAGGGAAAAGTGAAATGTCTGAGAAAACTGAAGGAAGGCTGGGTACGGTGGCTCATGCCTGTAATCCCAGCACTTTGGGAGGCCGAGGCGGGTGGATCACCTGAGGTCAGGCGTTCGAGAGCAGCCTGGCCAACATGGTGAAACCCCATCTCCACTAAAAATACAAAAATTAGCCAGGCGTGGTGGTGCATGCCTGTTATCCCAGCTACTTGGGAGGCTGAGGCAGGAGCCTGGGAGGTGGTTGCAGTGAGCCGAGATTGCGCCACTGCACTCCAGCTTGGGCAACAGAGCGAGATTCTGTCTCAAAAAAGAAAAAAGAAAAGAAAAGAAAACTATGATGGAGGTATGTTTAATAAGAGTGAGGTTCCCATGACTCAGATTATATGGCTGTATCCCCTAACTTTCTTGCCCTCTGTTTACACTATTGTCTTGTGGAGACAGGTTACTTCACGGCAGCAGGCTTGTTCCTGTGTACAGTGGCTCTGGGTTCATAGTGTCTGAGGACGGGCTCATTATTACCAATGCCCATGTTGTCAGGAACCAGCAGTGGATTGAGGTGGTGCTCCAGAATGGGGCCCGTTATGAAGCTGTTGTCAAGGATATTGACCTTAAATTGGATCTTGCGGTGATTAAGATTGAATCAAATGTGAGTATTTCAGGGCTGAGTCAGAGTCTACATATTTGGGGATTTTTATCTATTTGCTGATATTTTCTGCCCCACTACACTCTCACACCACATCTTTTCTGTTGAATATATGCTTTTCTCTGGTTTCTTTCTGTTCTTTACTCCCTCTTTTATTTATTTGCTTCAACGCCTTTCTGTATATCCCTAACCGTTTCTTTCTTTTCTTTCTTTTTTTTTGAAACAGTCTCCCTCTGTCACCCAGGCTGGAGTACAGTGGCTCAATCTCAGCTCACTGCAACCTCTGCCTCCTGGGTTCAAGTGATTCTCCTGCCTCAGCTTCCTGAGTACCTGGGATTACAGGTGCCTGCCACCACGCCTGGCTAATTTTTGTACTTTTAGTAGAGACTGGGTTTTACCATGTTGGCCAGGCTGGTCTCGAACTCCTGACCTCAAGTGATCCGCCCGCTTCGGCCTCCCAAAGTGCTGGGATTACAGGTGTGAGCCACTGCGCTTGGCCTCTAACTGTTTCTATTAACTATCAAGCAGTCTTTTTTTTTTTTTTTTCCTCCTTCAACAAATGCTGCTTCAGGGAAAATTATTTCTCTACTTGTCTTAGGATATCAGAAATTACTGCGATGGACTCAAAGTTGCTAAGGAATACTTTGAAGTCCTTCCTACACATAGTACTGGTAGTCTGCACATCACATATATTGACATGGTGTCTGAGAGCTTTTTAGAAGTTCAGAGTCTCAGCCTTTACCCAGATAGATGTGCTGACTCAGAATCTGCATTAACATAACATCCCTAGGTGATTTGCATGCACATTACAGTGTGAGAAGTGTCACCCTGGGTGATCTCCTTTCTGTTTGTGGCTTATTCACTTTGACTGTTAAGCTTTGAGCTGGAATGGTGCTGTGTAAATTCCTAATGTCAGTTTATGTTCATCAGTGACTTCACTGGCTGTTTACTAATAGTAATTTCTACAAAGTAATTGTTTTAGATCTTAGAAATGATCCTAGTCATCTTAACACTCAAGAGCTTCATGGTAGTTGGACTTTGAGGAAGAAGTAGAAGGCAATCATAGAAGCTGTGTGAGTGGGTGCTTCTCAGGTGGTAAGGGCCAAGGTGATAGAGACAGCGTCATATATGTGTTAGACACACACTTTGGTCAATTCTGATCGTGATTTGTTCTTTACCCTTTCTGTCCTCCCCATCCCTTTTTGGGCACGTGCAGGCTGAACTTCCTGTACTGATGCTGGGAAGATCATCTGACCTTCGGGCTGGAGAGTTTGTGGTGGCTTTGGGCAGCCCATTTTCTCTGCAGAACACAGCTACTGCAGGAATTGTCAGCACCAAACAGCGAGGGGGCAAAGAACTGGGGATGAAGGATTCAGATATGGACTACGTCCAGATTGATGCCACAATTAATGTAAGTCACTTAGGACAGAGGTGCCCAACCCATGGGCTGTGGACCAGTACAGGTCCATGGCCTGTTAGGAACTGGGCCGCACAGCAGGCTGTGAGCCATGGGCGAGTGAGAATGACTGCCCGAGTTCCACCTCCTGTCAGATCAGTGGCGGCATTAAATTCTCATAGGAGTGCAAACCCTATTGTGAACTGCGCATGCAAGGGATCTGGATTGCATGTTCCTTATAGAATCTAACTCATGCCCGATGATCTGAGGTGGAGCAGTTTCATCCCAAACCACCCCTCCGTCTGTGGAAAAATTGTCTTCCACAAAGCCGGTCCCTGTGCCAAAAAGTTTGGGGATTGCTGACTTAGGAGGCCTTTCCTCAGATCACACAATATTGGCAGTTCAGTGAGAAGAATATGTCAGAGTGAACTTTGGGGATGTCCAGGTTTGGTTGAATCACTGTGGGAGGAATGGAATGCCACTTTGTTAGAGTCTGTCTCGTTCGCTGTGATCGCTGGCATCCATGCTATTAGGTGGTCTGTTGTAGAGGTCACCCCTCCTGTAAGAAGGTGGTGGTCCCTTGGCCAGGCACGGTGGCTCATGCCTGTAATCCCAGCACTTTGGGAGGCCGAAGGGGGTGGATCATGAGGTCAGGCATTCGAGACCAGTCTGGCCAACATGATGAAACCCTGTCTCTACTAAAAATACAAAAATTAGCTGGGCATGGTGGCGGGTGCCTGTAATCCCAGCTACTCAGCAGGCTGAGGCAGGAGAATCACTTGAACCGGGAGGCAGAGGTTGCAGTGAGTCGAGATTGCGCCATTGCATTCCAGCCTGGGCAACAGAGTAAGACTCCGTCTCAAAAAAAAAAAAAAAAAATGAAGGTGGTGGTCCCACTGCTATAGTTCTTTACCTACACTGACTTTGGTATTGGTGATGATAGGGGCACAATTTTGCCGGCCTGGGGGGAATAGGAGCTTGGTGGGCTGCTTTTGGTAAACTGTTTTGGGAGCTATGTGTAAAGGACAAGGGGGAATGTATTCATTAGCTTCACTGATGTCTTTTTCAAATTCTGCTTTTAGTATGGGAATTCTGGTGGTCCTCTGGTGAACTTGGTAAGTGATCACTTTCCTTGTTGCTTCATGTTTCTTCTTAACTTTCAAAGACTTTATTAATTCCAGGCCAGGGGTGGTGGCTCATGCCTGTAATCCCAGCACATTTGGGATGACTGCTTGGGGCCAGGAGTTTGAGACTAGCCTGGGCAAGACAGCAAGACACCATATCTACAAAAACAAAAACAAAAAAGGACTTTACATATTCCATGATGCAGACTTGGGTGCCACTCTTGTGTAGAGAGCTGTGGAATGGTGCTTTTCTGTTCTTGGACCTTAAGTCAATAGTTAGAAAAAATTCAAGATTGTTATCCTGGTGTGTGATCTCATCCCACTGAGAACACTAGGGTTCTAGCTCCGGCTTCCTTTGAAATTTCTCTCTTCCCCGTGCTTTCTGTTTTCATTGGCTAGTTACCCAAAGCCCTGGATTTTATTTATTTATTTATTTATTTAATAGAGACGATGTCTCACTATGTTGCCCAGGCTGGTCTCAAACTCCTGAGTTCAAGTGATCCTCCTGCCTTGGCCTCCCAAAGTGTTAGGATTACAGGCATGAGCCACCATGCTGTGCCAAAAGCCCTGGATATTAAACCCAGGTTTATGCCAAATGACCAGCTTTGCTATGAAATGTAGGTCCTTGAAGACTCCTTGATGCTGCATATGAAGAACTATCTCTCATTTAAAAATGCTAATTACATAATGTCATCTGTCCAGGTTTTTAGTCTTGACCTCTTGACCTGCTTATAGATGAGAGAAAAGCCACAACCAGCACTCCTGACTTCAAGTGAGCTGCCTGCCTTGGCCTCTCAAATACATTGCCGTGTCATGTATTCTTAAATTGTATTCCGTGTCTCTAGTGGAAATGTCAGGGTTTCTAGTTGCCCAAATACATGTGAAAACCTAAGAGAGTGCAATGCTGTTTGACACATAGCATGTGATCATCCTTTCTGAGTCCCTTTGCACTGATTGCTTTTGGTTCCTGTTTAAATATTACATTTGCTTTTAGAATGAATTTTATGCAAAATGATTGTTTTTTTTTTTTTACTCATAGCATTGCATGTCATTTTTCTTTGTTTTGTTCCTGCCTTCTCCATTAGACAATGAGTTTACTAGAGCAGGGATGAAATGCAGAATTTCAGGCCATACCCCCGACCTACTGAATTACAATCTGTAGTTTAACACAATCAGAAATCTCTTTTCTGGCTGGGTACGGTGGCTCACTCCTGTAATCCCAGCACTTTGGGAGTCTGAGGTGGGTGGATCACCTGAGGTCAGGAGTTCAAAACCAGCCTGGCCAACATGGTGAAACCCCATCTCTACCTAACATACAAAAAAAAAAAAAAATTAACTGGGCATGGTGGCATGCGCCTGTAATCCCAGCTACTTGGGAGGCTGAGGCAGGAGAATCGCTTGAACCCGGGAGGCAGAGGTTGCAATGAGCCAAGGTTGCACCAATGCACTCCAGCCTGGGCAACACAGTGAGACTCCGTCTCAAAAAGAAAAGAAAAAAAAAAAGAAATCTCTTTTTTATCCTTTCCCATTACCTAAAAGGCTAAAGGAAGATGAGGTACATAAAGAGGAAAATATTTTCTACCTCATACCTTTAGCTTAGCAGAGCTTTGTTCCCTAAGGTCAATTTTGCTAATTCTCAGTGCAGTGTTACTGACAATCCCACAGCTTTTTACCTTTTCCATGTTTATTTTTACTTTTAAATAATAAAAAGGCAAATGCTCCTTGTCCTTCTACCTTTGTCAAAATACAAACTGTGGCTCACTTTTAAAGTCAATGTAACTTACTAAAGGAAAAAAATGAGCTTAAGTTTTTTTTTTTTTTTTTTTTTTTTTTTTTTTTTTGAGACGGAGTCTCGCTAGGTCGCCCAGGCCGGAGTGCAGTGGCGCGATCTCGGCTCACTGCAAGCTCCGCCTCCCGGGTTCACGCCATTCTCCTGCCTCAGCCTCCCGAGTAGCTGGGACTACAGGCACCCGCCACCAGGCCCGGCTAATTTTTTATATTTTTAGTAGAGATGGGGTTTCACCATGTTAGCCAGGATGGTCTCGATCTCCTGACCTCGTGATCCGCCCGCCTCGGCCTCCCAAAGTGCTGGGATTACAGGCGTGAGCCACTCTGCCCAGCCATGAGCTCAAGATTTTAAAAAGTCCTCAGCATCCTTGATCCTTTGGCCATGAAAAGAAGGTAACTTCTGCGCATGTGCAGTTACCCTTTGCTGTCCCATCACACTATTTGCCCTATAAAGGAACATCCGTTGCTCTCTTTTGAAGTACAAAGTTCCTCTCGGCCCTGTTTTCTGACCCTAAGTAACTAGCTTCACTCCTTCTTCTGCTTGTTCTGGTCTTGCACTCATCAGTTTGCAAAACTTCATGACTGAATGATGTCCCCTCCCTTGCCAGGATGGTGATGTGATTGGCGTCAATTCATTGAGGGTGACTGATGGAATCTCCTTTGCAATTCCTTCAGATCGAGTTAGGCAGTTCTTGGCAGAATACCATGAGCACCAGATGAAAGGTAAAGCAAGTTGGGATTTTTTTTTTTTTGGTTTCGTCTTGTGCTTTTCAGGAACACTCAATCTTTTGTGGTGACAGCAATTTTTTTGTTTTTGTTTTTGAGACAGAATTTTGCTCGTCATCCAGGTTGGAGTGCAGTGGCGTGATCTTGGTTTACTGCAACCTCTGCCTCCTGGGTTCAAGCGATTCTCCTGCCTCAGCCTTCCGAGTAGCTGGGACTACAGGCACCCACTGCCACGCCCAGCTCATTTTCGTATTTTCAGTAGAGACGGGGTTTCACTATGTTGGCCAGGCTGGTCTTGAACTCCTGACCTCCAGTGATCCGCTTGCCTCGGCCTCCCAAAGTGCTGGGATTACAGGCATGAACCACCATGCCTGGCCCGGAGACAGCCATTTGAATCCTGTAGACTACTGGGTCACTCATTTGTACTCAGCTCCTATAATGGTGATTTGAGCAGCAATATTGGGGGACTAGGCACAAACCAAGCATGAGTTGTACCCAGAAGTATTTGGATTGAGCTAATGTGGAAATGAAACCCAGGGGCTGGAGGTGGGAGGTGGGTGGGAGGAGTGTAAGTGCTAATGACAAAGGTTCTCTGAAGCCTGTGTTTCATCCAGGTAACCTGAAAGGACAGCTGTGATGGCAAAGAGATCCTGGGACATGGGTGTCTTTTAAGCTGCGCTAACAGGAAAGAGGTTTTGTTGTAACACATCATAACTTTCCTTTCCAGGAAAGGCGTTTTCAAATAAGAAATATCTGGGTCTGCAAATGCTGTCCCTCACTGTGCCGTAAGCATGTGTTTGAATATGTCTGGGTTGTTTTTCAGAGGCAAAAACCATAGCTGCACAGTCTTAACAGAAAAGCTGAGCCACTTGGACCACAGCCAGGTACTCTTGTGACCATAGGCCCTATCTGTCTCAGGGTATGTATCTGCCTCTGCCTGCATCAGCACTAACTATACATAGTTTATTTCATTGTGGCTGTATTTTATAATGTCCAGTGGTTCTAGGCTTTGGGATAGAGGCTCAGCCCGAACTGAGAGGAGAATGACTGTGATTAGCTTGATGGAATCTTCCTCGGCCCTTGTGAACCTTGAGCAGAACAGAGTACCTACTAAGAATTTCAGGCTTTTACCAGGGCTCAGGAGACTAATTCATTGTTTCCTAATCTTCTCACTTCTCTTAGCCTTAGTGAAGAATTGAAAATGCATTATCCAGATTTCCCTGATGTGAGTTCTGGGGTTTATGTATGTAAAGTGGTTGAAGGAACAGCTGCTCAAAGGTAAGAGAAGTGAAGGCCTTTGTCATCTACCTTTGCTTTTTCTAAATGTGTGCCATGGTAAAATGCATGGGGGATCCAGACTTGATCTGTCCAATACAGTGGCCACTACTTACATGTAGTATGTACTGAGCACATGAAATGTGGCCAGTGTGACTGAGGAACTGAATTTTGAATTAAAGTAAGTTTAATTTAAATTAAAAAACCCAGGCCAGGTGCAGTGGCTCATGCCTGTAATCCCAGCACTTTGGAAGGCCAGGGTGGGTGGATCACCTGAGGTCAGGAGTTTGAGACCAGCATGGCCAACATACTGAAACCCCGTCTCTACTAAAAATACAAAAATTAGTGGGTGCGCCTGTAATTGCAGTTACTTGGGAGGCTGAGGCAGGAGAATCGCTTGAACATGGGAGGCAGAGGTTGCAGTGAGCTGAGATCACGCCACTGTACTCCAGTCTGGGCGACAGAGCAAGACTCCACCTCAAAAAAAAAAATATTATCATTATATAGTAGTATATTGGGGGGGTGTGTTATTTCAAGTGGATTTCAAAGACATAGGAAACAGAGTGTAAAATAACTATTTTAAAAATATCACGTTAAATGATAATATTTGGATATATTGTATTAAATAAGATATATTATTAAATTAAATTCATCTATTTAAAAATTTTTAAAAATGTGGCTACAAGAAAATTTAAAATTATGTATGTGGCTTGCATTATTGTCTACAGGACAGTGCTGATTCAGACTTGGGTACTTATAAAGGCTTTTTTTGTATTTTGGGAGGGAGGTGGTTCTCTATAGTCTAAGAAGAGCTCATGTTATGAGTTAATAGCATAAGTTTAAATTAATTTGGCTAGGAATTCCCAAATCTACCCTTTCAACATTAATAGTTATTACTTAATAACTATTAAGTGATTAACACCTATTAGGTATTAGTAACTATTAATTATTCATTAATAGTTTTTTTTTCTTTTGAGATGGAGTCTCACTCGTTGCCCAGGCTGCAGTGCAGTGGTGCAATCTTGGCTCACTGCAACCTCCACCTCTCAGGTTCAAGCAATTCTCCTGCCTCAGCCTCCCGAGTAGCTGGGATTACAGGCACCCGCCACCACGCTTGGTTAATTGTTGTATTTTTAGTAGAGACAGGGTTTCACCATGTTGGCCAGGCTGGTCTCGAACTCCTGACCTCAAGTGATCCACCCACCTCGGCCTCCCACAGTACTGGGATTACAGGCATGAGCCACCACGCCTGGCCATATTTTAGGTATTTTAAAACACATTTTTCGGCTGGGCATGTTGGCTCAGCCCTGTAATCCTAGCACTTTGGGAGGCTGAGGTGGGAGGATTGCTTGAGCCTGAGAGTTCGAGACCAGCCTGGGGAACACGGTGAAACCCTGTCTCTACAAAAAATAAAAATTAGGCCAGGTGCCGTGACTCACGCCTGTAATCCCAGTACTTTGGGAGGCCAAAGTGGGCAGATCACTTGAGGTCAGGATTTTGAGACCAGCCTGGCAAACTTGGTGAAACACCATCCCTACTTAAAAAATATAAAAATTAGCTGGGTGTGGTGTCGCATGCCTGTAATCCCAGCTACTTGGGAGGCTGAGGTCAGAGAATCGCTTGAACCTGGGCAGCAGAGGTTGCAGTGAGCTGGGATCACGCCCCTGTACTCCAGCCTGGGCAAGAAAGCGAGACCCCATTTAAAAAAACAAAAAACAAAAAACAAAAATTAGCCAGGTGTGGTGGTTTGCACCTGTGGTCCCAGTTACTTGGGGAGGTCGAGATGGGAGGATCACCTGAGTCTGGGCTGTAATGAGCTGTGCTCATGCCACTGCACTCCAGCCTGTGCAACAGAGTGAGACCCTGTCTCAAACAAACAAACAAGCAAAAAAAAACTACACCAAAACCTCACAAAACCTACATTTTTCTTTGAACTCTGAATGACAATATCAGAGGCCAGCGCTAAGACCTGTGTAATAAAGCAAAGGCTAGGACAGCTTCCAAAAGAAGGTTCTCCAGCTGATTTCACTGTTGTTTCAAAACATTTAATACTAAGTACTGAGAGAGGTGGCTTGTCCTACAAATATCATTCTCCTGGGCTTTTCTGTTGTACTTCTTTTTTTTTTTTTTTTTTGAGACGGAGTCTCGCTCTGTCACCAGGCTGGAGTGCAGTGATGCGATCTCGGCTCACTGCAACCTCTGCCTCCTGGGTTCAAGTGATTCTCCTGCCTCAGCCTCCCGAGGAGCTGGCACTACAGGCGTGTGCCACCACGCGCAGCTAATTTTTGTATTTTTAGTAGAGATGGGTTTTCACCATGTTGGCCAGGATGGTATCCATCTCTTGACCTTGTGATCCGCCTGCCTCGGGCTCCCAAAGTGCTGGGATTACAGGCGTGAGCCACCGCCCGCGGTCTGTACTTCTTTATTATCCCTTTCTCATTGTTTTTATTTTTCAAGAGCTCAGTAATCTGTTTAGATTATGGCACCACTTTCACTGGGGCTTTCCCCCTAGTGAAATCAGAGGGCACTGTTCAGCACAGCAGTCATAGGTCTCATGTTACTAAATTTGGCTTGTCCCTGGTTTCTCTGGACTTTTCTCATTCCTGCTCTGCTCCACTCTTCCCCCATTTCCTTAAGTTCTGGTTCAAGACCAAAGCTATTTCTTTCGGCTAAGTCCTTGCTACTCAGAATGTGGTCTGTAGACCAGCGTCATTAGCTCAGCTGGGGCTTGTTGGAAAGGCAGAATCCCAGGTCCCACCTTTGATCCACTGAATCGGAATCTGTGTGTTTAACAAGATCCCCAGGTGATTCATGTGTATGTTAAAATGTGAAAATTAGTGCTGGAAGTTGCTGATAAACAGAAATCAGGACTGGGCATGGTGGCTCATGCCATGATGTGGGAGGATCATTTGAAACCAGGAGTTTGAGACCAGCCTGAGCAACATAGTTTCTAAAGACAAATAAATAAAATAAACAAAATCAGCTGGGTGTGGTGGCAGGTGCCTGTAGGGAGGCTGAGGCAGGAGGATCATGTGAGCCCAGGAGTTTGAGGCTGCAGTGAGCCATGACTGCACCACTGTATTCCAGCCTGGGTAAGAGAGTGAGAACCTGTCTCAAACAAATCTATTCTTTCTGGCTTTCACTGACTTATACCTAATATAATGATAATTACACCACTATCTGGCACTTACAAAACTTTTACTATATCTCAGGCACTATTTGAAGTGTTTTATTTTTATTATTATTATTTTTTTGAGACTGAGTTTCGCTCTTGTTGCCCCAGCTGGAATGCAATGGCATGATCTCAGCTCACTGCAACCTCCGCCTCCTGGGTTCAAGCGATTCTTCTGCCTCAGTCTCCCAAGTAGCTGGGATTACACACCTAGCTAATTATTGTACTTTTAATAGAGACGAGGTTTCACTATGTTGGGCAGGCTGGTCTCGAACTCCTGACCTCAGGTGATCCACACGCCTGTGGCTCCCAAAGTGCTGGGATTACAGTGTGAGCCACTGCTCCTGGCCTATTTGAAGTGTTTTATACACCTGTTTGTGCTCCCAACATTTTATGATATAGGTATTATTTTATAGAGGAAGCAGCTGTGGTACAAAGAGGTTCATTAACTTGTAGAACGCAGTAAATCAGAGAGCAGAGAGCAGGGATGTGGGCCCTGGCTGAACCCTTCTATTATCCTGCTTTGGTGGCTGCTTTTCTGTTTCTGACAGGCAGAGTGATTTAGTGGCAAGAAGATGGGTTCCCAAGTCTGAAAGACCCAGGATGAAATCCCTCTCACAAGTTGCATGACACAGAAAAAGGTCATTTGTCCTGTCTGAGCCATAGTTCCTCATATTTGGTGCATAGGTTATTAGTAATAATTTGCAGGTTTCTTTTTCTCTTTTCTGACTCACAGGACTAGTATGAATTAAGTTCTCTATAAGTTCTTTCTTTGTACTCACTGGTCCTAAGTCATCCTCCTAAACTGTCTTTGTTCTAAGGTTATTTCTTGATTTTAGTTTTATACTTAAGCGTCTCTTCATATCCTCTTGCGTTAAGCTTCTTCTTTTTAAACTCCACATATCTTGATGATCAAACCACATTATCATTCTTCCTTGAGCTTCCCATTTCTATCAAGTGGTGTCTCCTGGAGTCATTTGCTGTTCCTTTTTCAGCCTATTTTCACCAAATCACTGGCATGGCTATTTCTGTATTGTAGTGTTTTGTATTTGGAGCTGGTTTTTGCTTCTAGAATATATACTCTATGTGAAGCAATTATGTTGAAGGCAATAAAGTCACAACTTTGGAGAAAAGGAGCCTAGAGCCAGAGCTGGAAATATTTAGACTCAGAAGGTTGGCGGGTTTTTGATTTAGTGGAAGCAGAATTCCTATAATGCAGCTCAGCATCCTTCCCAGCTCCATAAGCTGGGGCGGGGGGGTGGGGTGGGGTGGGAAAGACAGGCAAGTGAGTGGGCTGCCAGAATCAAACTGAGCCGAGTTTAAGTGTCTGGGAGAAAACATATTGCTTGGGCTTTTCACTTTGGCTGCTGAGGCTGGGAGCATGTTTGAAGTTCACAGAGGTCAGGGGTTGATAGAAATTAAAAGCTAAACTCCCCCTTCCAAACCAACTCCCCAAAATGGGAGGAGTAAACTTCTCACATGATTCTGATAGGAAATTAATTTTATAAAGGTAAATAAGACAGTTGTCCTCTAGGTGACTTTTTTGCAGCATATTTTAGAATAGCTTTATGATTTGGAAGGATTGAGGCTATTTTCTCGTTTGTATGCTTAATGCCAGCAAAATAGTGCCATTAAGACAGAAATATTAAATTATAGATGGGGATAAGTAAAATTCTTGTTATAGTTTCATGATCCTCTTTTTTTTCTCCCTCTCTCAGCTCTGGATTGAGAGATCACGATGTAATTGTCAACATAAATGGGAAACCTATTACTACTACAACTGATGTTGTTAAAGCTCTTGACAGTGATTCCCTTTCCATGGCTGTTCTTCGGGGAAAAGATAATTTGCTCCTGACAGTCATACCTGAAACAATCAATTAAATATCTTGTTTTAAAGTGGGATTATCTAAAAAAAAAAAAACCAGTTATATCACGTGGTTTGTATTGGAGATGTGCCAAACATGGCAAGAAGTTTTTGGATCTTTTTCTTACAAAGAAAAATGGATGGTTATCAACCCAAATGCCCATCAATGACAGACTGGATAAAGCAAATGTGGTACATATACACCATGGAATACTATGCAGCCATAAAAAGCAACAGTCCTCTGCAGGGACATGGATGGAGCTGGAAACCATTATCCTCAGCAAACTAACGCAGGAACAGAAAACCAAATACTGCATGTTCTCACTTATAAGTGGGAGCTGAACAATGAGAACACATGAACATAGGGAGGGGAACAACACACACTGGGGCCTGGCAGTGGGTAGGGTAGAGGGAGGGAGAGCATTAGCAAAAATAGCTAATGCATGCTGGGCTTAACACCCAGGTGATGGGTTGATTGATAGGTGCAGCAAACCATCATGGCACACATTTACCTATGAAACAAACCTGCACATCCTGCATATGTACCTCAGAACTTAAAAATAAAAATAAAAAGAAAAATGGTAATGTTGTGAGATTACAATTAAAAAATAAGAAAAATGGAGTTTGAAACACATATACACATTCAGGGATCATTAGGTTGGGGTACTATACTGTTGCTAAGATGCCTGACTATGTCAAGTGGAAGAAGAACACAGTGCCAGGAAATCTGGGGGAACTGATAACATTTTATTAAAGGCAAGAAACAACTAAAAGGCAGGCAGCTTCTAATTTAACCTTGAGGGAAGGACACTGTAGTATTTTAAACCTTCTCTATAGCCATAAACTAGATATAACACACACATATACAAATGGATCTGTCTACCAAAATTTAAGAAACAACCTGAATAAAGTGCAAAGGCAATCAATTGTTAAATAGTACTCCTTTAGTCCATCAGGTTTTCAGGTTGTATCACATTTGGCCAGGTTTGTGGGCAGATGGATGATGGGTGTCATTTACAAGTCAAATGAAAACCAGTAATTTTGGATTGTCACATAGGAATACTGATGATTCTCAAATTACCACTCTAGCAGCGAGAACAACTTCTTTTGTCTCCAGCAGCTTTACTGACAGTAAGAAGGGCATCTTCAGTAGTTTCTAGTCTTTTAGCCCTTCAACCAAGCTCTTACCCCTGGCAACATAAATGACTTCAAGCCTTGGAGCTGCAAAATTTCTTTTTTGGTCAGAGTCTCACTCTGTTGCCCAGGCTGAAGTGCAGTGGCAGGATCTCGGCTCACTGCAATCTCTGCCTCCTCAGTTCAAGTGATTCTCTTACCTCAGCCTCCCGAGTAGCTGGGATTACAGGTGCACGCCACCACGCCCGGCTAATTTTTGCATTTTTACTAGAGACTGGGCGGGGGTGGGGGAGTGTGTCTCACCATGTTGGCCAGGCTGGTCTCGAACTCCTGACCTTAAAGGATTCACCTGCCTCGGCCTCCCAAAGTGCAGGGATTACAGGCTTGCACCATTGCGCTGGCCCTAAAGTTTCTTATTTTTTAAAGAAAACAACTTTTGGTAGGGTTATGAATATACTTAGGAGGTTAAAGTGTGAAATGAGGCAGGACTTGGTTAGGTGAAAAGTAGCATCTTATTTTGGGTAATATTATAATTTATGTTTTTTAGACTTCCCTTAGAAATTTTTTTAAAATATACATATGGCATCCTTGAACTCCCTTAAACTCTTTTATTTGTATAAATTTATAGGGTACCAGTACAATTTTATTTCATGCATAAATTGTGTAGATGAACCCAAGTTCTATGTAAATTCTGTGTATGTAGATTTTTCTGGGGAGAGGGTCTAGTTTCTTCATGACCCATAAAAATTTAATAAATACTATCTTAGGGTATAAAGATTATGAATTAAAAGTTTACCAATTGTTATGTTATAAGCAAGGTTAAGGTCAGTGTGGTACAGAACTTTCAAGACAGAATAGGATCATCTGTTTTAAATTTTTTACAGAAAATTGCCACCTTTAATAATGTAAAAACAGTGATTAATCAGGAATGATAAAGCAAGAAATTCTTAGGAAAGCTACAAAATGATAGAATGTATCCAGGGAAGTTATTTCAACTGTGATATTTGGTCTTAAATTCAATTATTATTAGGTAAACTGAGTGAGTTCTACCTTGTTTCTAGAATTTGTAAGTTATTCTGAGTAAAGCCTCTTCCATTGACTTGGCCACATTGCCCACCTTTGATTTTATATTTAATAGTTCTTTCAACTTAGATTGCAAACGATGAGAACTGAGTTTTTAAAACCACTTACAATCTGGAACATTTCCTTTTATTCCTGGTGACCGGGGAATGCAGAGGTGTGGCTGTTATCTCTTTCTGACTGCTGCAGCCCACAGGGAGAGCTAATCATGAAGAATAGTTTTACAGAAACTTGTATGAAATCTTAATTTTATTAGCATGGGCTGGTAAACGCTGATTTTTAGATTGGACAATTCTGCCAGGAGGAATAGCTCAACTCACACATCTGATGCCGCTGGCTTTCAAAACATAAGTGGAATGAAAAAATTATTGCACTGCATATACTGCCTCTGGAACATAATGGAGACAAAAGAGGGCTTAATAGGATGGCTCATTTCAAATGACTAGGTTTCTGCAAAACAAATATAATTTTGAGTTTATTCCCCCTACTGAAAATACTCATACAGTACTCCAAGTTGGTAAAATTTATTCTACATTTAAATTCAGAAAGTCAGAATTTCAGTGTGTATTACAATCCACGGCCATTTCTATTTCTGCTGAAGATTTTCATTGTTCAGCTTCAGATCTCCTTGCATGAAGACTCAGGGTCACAAGAGGAACATGGATCCAAATATTCATTTTGCTCAACTTGTTAGGTCCACTTGCTCCAAAGGACTGAAGATATAGCAATGTACAGAAAGGAAGACTATGGAAACCCATCCACAGCTTGTAAACTCGCCACTATCCTTTATGTTTTGTGCATGAGGAAAGGAACAAATTTGATTCCCCACAACACTTTTTGCTTGTCATTCCGTCTGCAAGGTAAAATCTGGGTTGAAATTCCAAAGTCCAAAGAAGCCTTCTTAACCAAACAAATGCCCTCCAAAAGAAGGAAAATAACATCAGGTCTGATATCAAAGAGGAGTTTTGAGCCTGTAGAGATGAATTCAGAAGACGGAGCTTTCACCCGCCTCCCTGGGCCATGATGGCAGCTCTTCTTAGTAAACAGTGCACCAGTTGCTGCCATCACTTGGCATCAGCCCTCCAGTAATTAGCAAAATAAGGTCAACAAACCACCAAATCCCAAGTCCTCCAAGCGTCAACAGCTTCCCTACTGCAGTGCCAGTGTGTCCCAAACAGAATCGATCCACACCAAAACATCCCAGGAAGAAGGAGTAGAGTAAAGTGGTTATGAAGTAGTGTCCGGTATACCTAGGTGAAAGGAATGAAAAGGAAGATGTTTTACTGCACGAAAATTTAAACCCTTAAGGATTAGTGAATTTAACGTAAGTGATGAGACAGTGCAGTGGACCCTCTGTGGCCTTTTACCCTCCATTTTGTTTTCTTTTATGATATGGTCAGTGAGGTGAGAGGATCAGGAAAAACCAAAGTTTATTATACTCATAGGTCCCAGAGACAGGAGGCACATCATGTTATACAAGGCTACCTGGCAAAGATACCAGGGTGGTTGGAAGATAGAAGGGAGGGGAAGGTTTTTGGCCACTATCTTCATTGGGGTTTCTGCAGGAAAGGCAAGACAGGGCAGGGCGAATAGTTTAGAACTGGCTAGTTTGAATAACCTCAGCAGGCTCTAAGCTATAGGAGTGGTCCCTGGTTGCCTGGCACTTGGACCTGAGAAGACTAAGGCAGAGGAATATTATTTCCTGGGGTGTACAGGCCAGAAACAGAAGATATGTCTCTAGACTAGTTTGCATATCAAAGGCATGCTGCTGGTTGGGCCCTTTGCTATCTCTAAGAAATGACTAGCTTCAGGAAGAGCAGTCTCTTCACAGCCAGAAAGGTTTTTAAGATGTCAAACATCATAATGTACAATAATTTAAAAAACTTTTTGACCATGGTGGTGGCTGATGCCTATAATCCCGGCACTTTGGGAGGCCAAGATGAGAGGACCACTTGAGCCCAGGTGCTCCAGGCCAACCTAGGCAACATAGCGAGACCCTGTTTCTACCAAAAAAAAAAAAAAAAAAAAAAAAAAAGGCCAGGTGTGGTGGAGCACACCTGTAGTCCTAGTTACTCGGGAGGCTGAGGTAGGAGGATCGCTTGAGCCCAGGAGGTCGAGGCTGCAGTGAGCCCTGTTTGTCTGTTTGTGCCATTACACTCCAGCCTGGGCAATGGAACAAGACCCCATCTCCAAAAAAAAAAAAATACGCATTTTTTTATAATACACCCTCTTCACCTTTACTTTACTCTCCTCTAAGAATCTCTAGTTGGTAGAGGGTCTCAACAGAATACTTGCTAAGATATGGAGCATCTCTAAGAACAAATACTGACTTTTGCAGAGTTGGATTGGACAAGAAGTCATCAAGCACATTTGCACAACAGGCACCATGGTAGGAGTAGGAGTCTGGGCTCCCATCCTCCTCTGTAGAGGCTCTTTTCCTGAGACTCAGCTGGCTTCCTGCATGTAGTTCTCTAAGGAAGCACTGTTCTTAAATGAACACTTGATCTCCATACACTCTTTCCTGTTGTTTTGAGCAGCGAAAAGCGAGGACTTCTTCATAAGGCTCTGCCCTTATCCACTGTGCTGACACAGCTGCAGTTACCCTAATATTACTAATCATACTCATAGACTGTTTCCATTAGCAAACTGTACAAGGAAATTCTGTGCCTTCCTTTACCTTAATGATAAACTGATTTTCAGAGTGTGGAGCCTACACTTTTTATAATAAAACCTTTATTCCTGAAATACTAGGGCAATTTGCACAAGATTTATATCTATTGTAGGAATTTTGGGGCTAGATCATCTGGCCCAAAATTCTGTAGATAAGGGATAAACTGAGTGCCCACAGGCACTTAGCAAGTTAGAGAAAGAGACAGTTAGAACTTCACCTTCCGGGCTTAAGTCCAGAGTCCTCTCTACTATAAACATATTGCTTCTGTCAATGAATTATGCACAATGGTAGCCATAGACCCTCTTTGGTGCTTAAAAAAAGTCATATCAAAAAATAACAATGAGCTGAACACAGTGGCATGTGCCTGTTGTCCCAGATACTCGGGAGGCTGAGGCAGGAGGATTGCTTCAGCTCAGGAGGTCCAGGCTGCGATAAGCCATGATTGCACCACTGCACTCCAGCCTGGGTAACAGAGTGAGACCCTGTCTCTTAAAACAAAAAATAAATAAATAAAAAGACAAGGAAAATGGCTCTACCTCCAACCAAGTACCAACTACTCCAATCAAAGTAACACTTACTTTATACAAGGTTTATTTTCTCGTAGAAAGGTCCTAGGACTGGCACACTCAATTCCATCTAAGGCATGGCACTGGACTGAAGTGTGTTCCACGTCGCTGTAGGCCTGACCGCCGAACTGTGGAATAACAACCAAGACCAAAACCAACTCACCAGAGCAAGTGACACAAACATCTATCTTTATATTCACTAATAACAGAATGAAAGCGGCCTCAGGACTACAATTATTCCAACAAGGTTGAGGTACAGCTGTGCTCAAGGGCAAGGAATTTAGTGACACACTTCTGAGTCCATCTTAAAGGTACACTGTCTTAAATAAACTCCTGCTTTCTTCTTCATGACTGGCTTCTTCAATAATATAGTAAAAAAAACCCCCAAACACACTCAGTGTCATTAAAGGCCATTTAGAAGAGATGAACACAATGCTTTACTTATCTTTACTTATAAGCATATGTATATGCTTATACATATTTATATGTATAAGCTTATACATATTTACAGGAAAAAGAGCATATAACTGAGCATTTGGGAGTGGGTATTTAAAAAGTCACTGCCTATTAGAGGTCTCTTTTATATCTATTAAAAATGAATAGAATTAGGAAAGAACTCAGGATATTATCTGACTCAGGACTTTATTTAGGTCATAAATGTGTATTACCTGATATCTGTGGGACACCTGTTAAGTTTAAATTCCAGCCAAAAATTTCAGAACTGGGCCTCTTACCATTGCTTAACTGAATTCTAGCCAAGAAATCACAGATATTCATTTTTTACTGGTACCTTATATCAGTGCTTATTACTATTTTCATTGGCGAGTTCCTCAAAGGGAAGGGACTGGGAAATAAGAATGCTTACAGGATAAACTCAATTTTTAATTAAAATGGGCAAAAGTGATCTCTATACAATATTAACTCAAACTTTAATCAATAATTATCAACAGAGTAAAATTTCATTGTCTTAAATATTTATCTATACATGATTTCAGTAAGAGTTGCCCTTTTAGTCTTATTACTGTCAGGTTTATTCCTCTGTGTCTGATTTAGTACAAAACATGCCTTCCCATCATTCTCTTAACATCTGACCAAATCTTGACTTGCATTATGTGGCATAATAGGATGGCGAGTCCATGGTGGGGAGGAGATACATGAACTTCATTGGTTATTTTGAGAGATTGATTAGGAACTGTACACTCAGCTTTAGGGATATTACTAATAAACCTTAATAGCGTTTTTCCATTCCAAGAAGCCACTGTTAACCAATGGCTTCCGCTGGAACGCTTTAATGTCCTACAAAGACATATACCGGTAGACTCTATCTGTCTCCTACGGACATGGTGGAACCTGTTTGCCTGGAGAAAAGAAATGTCATTGGCAAGAAAAGCTCTGCCCCAAATGCATGTGTAACAAAGATACTGCCCAATCCATCACCAGTGTTGCAAAGTGCACAGACTTCCTTTTGCTCTTTCAGGAAAGGTTCATGCCTTGAAGGAGAGTCAGGGGTGACATTTTAGTTTCAAAATCTGTCAGTGGCCAAAGGAACCAAAGACAGGTTGGTCTTTGCACCTGGGTGGTTTTAGCACAGAGATTGCTCCTTCATAAGGAAACCAAATATCTTGTTCAGTCACTGACCCTGGCCATACTGGAAATTTCCAGTAACGGTCTTTCTGAGGAAATTCTTCAAAAAACTTTGTACCTCTTATACTTTTATGTAATAGCATTCAGACATTCCTATTTCGTTATCGAAGGGTTTGCTCTTACGACAAAACAAAAACTCACCTTGAGACAACCATAACCAAGTTCCTGGGATGCAGTTGCATTTCCAACATGATCCACTGGGTCTTCACATTCTATAAATTCATCAGGTCTGTAATTCACCAGTAAGATCATGATCATCATCATACGGTCTTTGCAAATCGCTGTTTGCATGCACGTAATCAAAACGGGCAAAAGACATTTCTTCATCAAGTTTTCTGGGGTTCGGTTTCACCCTGCTGACCCCTTTCCAAGCCAATTAAACTGAAGCACAGCAGGTCAAACGGACAGCCACCAAAATGAACCTTTTGTTGGAGAAGGGAGGTGTTTCTGGTCCTGTTTCTATAAGGATTCTACTTCTGCCATGGTTTCATCTCTTCAGTAGGCAAACAACAAGATTCTGGGGGCAAAATTTAAGCCAAAGTATTCTCAGTCCTCTTTGCATTTCCCAAATGCCTTTTCTTGTTTGATCAAAAAGAGATGTTAAAAAATGGCGTGATTCTGCAACGGTAAGAATATTGATTGCTTTTTTAAAAGATGCCTTGTAGGCAGAGACAAGTCATTTACTCCATTTATGCCTTACTCAGTACTGGCACCGAATCGACCGACTAATACTCTCCTTGGGCTAAAGGGCGCAGGGCAAAGAAAGCACAACCTTACGCCCTTCTTCCAGAGGCTATATGATGTTACTCCTACCCAGTTTTCCTCTTTGGGGATCTCAAAGCCTCTGTCACTGACACACAAGAGTTTTCTCTGCACGGGCTGTGAGAAACCTGGTTCATGATATTTGCCTCCGGAACGACCTCAGAGAGGCAGGGTCTGAAAAAATGCAGCGTCCCCCCAACCCTGCCTTCCCTTAACACCCATATATTCCTGGCACACCCTCCACGTCCACCCGCCTCGACCACTGGTAGCTTACAGGTAAGAGCAGAGGATGACCGGAGAGTGGGGGTCGCCATATTCCCAGCTCGCAGCACCCCCGGGGCCCTCCGGCTGGGCGGCGCCAGCGGATGTGAGCTCAGGCTCAGCGGTCGCATTTTGCGAGTGGCTCCGAGACACACAATGCAGCAGAAGTAAATTCCCCAGCAGCAAAGCCGCCTGGCCGCACAGAAGTAAGTAACTAACCGGGCAACCACCTAGCACCATCTTCCCGGGCACAGGAGCGGAGACCCGGCCTCAACCACAACCCCAGGCCAGCAGCACAGACCCAAGAACTGCGTGGTCAGGCCTTTCCGCGTAGCCCCGCCCGCGTAGCCCCGCCAAACAGCCAATGGACGCGCAGCTCGACGCTCCGCGCACCTCCGCCAACCAACTAGAAAAGGTCGAGCAGACGGGCGGGGCTACTCCGCCCTCTGCTTCTGCTTCTCGATTCCTCTTCTGGGTCTCATGCTCCTCCTTCTTTTGCGCCGAATGCGTTCTCCAATCGGATCCGTCGACCCCCCTAGGTGGGCGTGCCCGGCAGCCGACGGGGCGGGGCGGATATGACTGGCGGGCCGACTAGTGCTGGTTGCCACCGCCGGTTTAGAAATCCTATTCTCGCGCCGGGGACTGGATTTTTCCCTACGTCAGCGCAGCTAGGCGATGTCGGGAGCGAGCTCGGACCGAGGGCTCAGTTGCGTCAGTGCCGCGCGCGTGCTCGTCGGGCGCGCGTGCTCGTCGGGCGCGCGCGCTTCCCGGCCAGACTTGGGGCCCCGGCAGGGTTGGAAAATGATGGAAGAGGCGGAGGTGGAGGCGACCGAGTGCTGAGAGGAACCTGCGGAATCGGCCGAGATGGGGTCTGGCGCGCGCTTTCCCTCGGGGACCCTTCGTGTCCGGTGGTTGCTGTTGCTTGGCCTGGTGGGCCCAGTCCTCGGTGCGGCGCGGCCAGGTGGGTGTCCGCGCCCCGGGTCGGTTGGGACGGCTGCTTCCTAGGGACGGGGCGCTCGGAGTGAACCTGTGGTGCCTGGGAGTGGAGGGGCCCGGCCTGGGGATCGGACCCGGGGTCGGGGGGCGCGGCCGCTCCAGGTGTGTGCGGACCGGGGTCGCACCCGAGGCGCGGGGTTTGGCGCCCCAAGCCCTTCTTGGCCCGGGTCCTCTGCCCGGCACCGCTTCCTCCGTGTCCTGTTCGATGGAGCCGTTCCCAGCGTCCCCCCATCCCTCGCCGCCTCGCGCGACCCCGGGTCCCCCAGACGCCCCGAAACCCGCTCTGGGGCGGGCGCTGACCTCGGCGGGCCGGAGCCCTGCAGGCTGGGCGCGCCCGCGGGCGTTCAGTCCTCCAAACGCCTGCAGGGAGGGAGCTGGCTCTCGCTCGTGGAGTTAATGTCGCTTGGAAAGAGACTGAGAGATGAAACTTTTGCTGCAGGTTATAATTTGAAATTTTGACGTTCATGGTATCCTTGGGTCAACACAGCTAAATTTAATGGTGGAATAAAGGTGGGTGGGAGGACGCTCATTTCTCTTGGGTCATTTTTGTAGTAAGAATATTTTGTAAACGATGTGCTACCTTTCTATAGCCAAACCATTCTTAAAAAATCTGTGTTTTTATTGGGTTCGTACTGTGTTAAATCCGGACAGATAATCCCTGCTCTTTTGAACTCACAGGATTATTGTAGGAATTAAATCATTTGTGTGAAATCGTTTTTGAATTGTGAAACTGCCCTTGACTATGTAAGATACTTGTATTGGAGATGCCCAAACATAGTGGAAGCAGATTGTCAGCACGCTGGCGTCTTTCTGGAAACAAGTTGTTTATTTTGGATTTTGTATGATATAATTGTTTGCATGGCTGTATTTTCTCTATCAGCGACAGAGGATGATGGAGAATGGGAGTTTTTACTAAATCATTGATTGAAAGTTATTCAAAGGTGATGATAGAAGATTTCAACGCAGGACTGTTGACCTTCAGGAAACTAATTACTTGTTTTTCTTATCTTTGGCTGCTTTATTTGAAATTAAGTAAATTTGCCCCAGTGTGGAAATGTTGAAACTCTGACAATGTTTTGAATGGGAAGTTGCCAAATTTCTTCTGGTTAAAACTACTTTTCCGGTGGTATTCTAGATGGTTAACACTCACCGATGTTTAAGGTGAAGACGATTATACATCCGGAGTTTTATTAATCTGTGATTTTTTTTTGTGTTTGTAAATGTAAATAAGACTGTATTTTTAAATGTTAATATAAATTGTCAGTCATTACCGACCTGCATTAGGTGAGTGGAATATCCTGATGGTCTTTAACTGTGGTTTTGGCCAGCTCCTCACTTCGGCATGTGTATGCCCCTTCAAAGTTTAGCCACCGTTTATGGAACTCCTATAAACACCACACAGTTGATTGTAGAGGGGCAGAAGGTGACCAAATATGCTAAGCGCATCTGAGAGATGTTGGGGAAGATTTTTAGAGAAAATAATATTTGAACTGGGCTACATCGGTGATTTTTCAAGTAGAATAGTAGATACATTCTAAGCAGAGGAAAGTTTTTGCAAGAGTATGGTGGGGCGGGGGGCGTATGAAAGAACATGACTTTTTAGGAAATGATAAAAATGTCAATATGTCTTCATGCAGACTATAAAAGGGAGGGATGGAAGATCAAACTAAGGTAGGTTGTTACCAGTTGGGAAGAGTCTTCTATGCTGAACTAAGGGGTTTGGACTTCACCCCGTAGGAAGTTCTTTGGGCAGTGGAGGTTTTAAGTAGGGGTGCGACCTAATCTCATTTTCTGTTAAGAAAACGGGCAACACGGTGGAGGATAGAATCTAGGAGGGAGAGACTAGAGGCTGGGACACCGGTTAAGAGGCTTTTGTAATAGTGTGCAGTGAGTCAACTCTTGTTTCTCTCGGGGAACGTTCATACAAAATCAGCTGACCACATTTTTGCAGTATAAGGTGTTTAAAACGTGCACTGAAACATTTTCCAGGATCGAAAGAGGAATTTGAGGTACCAGGCACACGTCAGTTACATTAGGAGTTAATTAGGTTTTATAGGATTTTTACTACCTTTTATAACATTGTCTCAATGAGGAAATGCAGTATAATTTCCAAACAGCTAACTTTCAGTAAACTTTTTTTTTTTTTTTAAACTGACAAAGGTAACTGTGTCATTGTAAAAAATAAGCGGAATCAGGTATGAAACCTCTTCTGATTTTCTAAGGTAGTAATTATGAGGAACAGATTTAGAATTTTTTTTTAAACAAAGACTGGCATTCTAAAGAAAATGACTTTGAAAGCTTACTCATGGTGAGTCACTGTAAAATCATTTGTGTAGTAAGAACTTAGGTCCATACTAATCTCGTTTTCAGATGCCAGCAAAATATTTGAATTTGATATGTTTGTGTTTGTGCCGATAGGAGAATGTAGCCTTTTACATTTAAGAATGATTTGGTTTTCAACCTTTTAAGTAAAAAAGAAAGCATATATAATTAAAATATGTACAAACCTAGTTCCTGGTTTCCAAGACAGTTTTCAAAAAGCACTTGAAGCTTTAACTTACCAAATTTATATTTGCTCTTTGTAAAAAATCTGGGTTTATAATAGAATTTATTATGGAATCCCCCAAAAGATGCAAGCTCTAAGTAACTGGAAGCTTTTTCTTGGGAATATCCGCAAGCTCAAACATATGACATAGCCTCATATTTCTTTTTCCTTTTTGGTATGTAACATATACTGGAGGCTTGGAGTCATGCCATCCTTTTGAGTCAGCGCTATGGAACTGCCTCATAAATGAATGCAGTCCTTTTGTATCTCAGTAGCTAATCCCTCACAGTCTTTTTTTTTTTGAGATGGAGTCTTGCTGTGTCGCCCAGGCTGGAGTGCAGTGGCACGATCTCGGCCCACTGCAACCTTCACCTCCCGAGTTCAAGCAATTCTCCTGCCTCAGCCTTATGCCTGGCTAGTTTTTTGTATTTTTAGTAGAGATGGAGTTTCACGGTATTAGCCAGGATGGTCTCGACCTCCTGACCTCGTGATCCGCCCACCTCAGCCTCCCAAAGCGCTGAGACTACAGGCATGAGCCACCGCGCCCCAGCCTCTCTCACAGTCTTTGAATGGGTCTAATGTGGACCCAACTAAAGTTGGGTAGCACAATGTTGTTTGTATATTGAGAGATTATTGTAGTTTATTTTCCATTTCATGTTGTTATTTTAATCAGATTATTTTCCCTAAGTGATCATATGTGGGACACTGCTTGAGTCACATCTTTTTTTTTTCTTTCTGAGAGACAGGGTCTTGCTCTGTTGCCCAGGCTGGAGTGCAGTGGAACAGTCATAGATCACTGTAACCTCGAATTCCTGGGCTGAAGCAATCCTCCTGCCTAAGCCTCCTGAGTAGCTGGGACTGCAGGGGTGTGTCACCATGCTTGGCTAATTAAAAACTTTTTTTGTGTGTGGAGAGGCAATCTTGCTCTGTTGCCCAGGCTGGTCTCGAACTCCTGGGCTCAAGTGTTCCTCCTGCATCAGCCTCCCAAAGTGCTGGGATTACAGGTGTGAACCACCACACCTGGCCTTAAATCACATCTTTTAAGAGTGAGCTAGGGAACCTTAGAAATTAACTTGGTCCGTTTTAAAATATGCAGTTCTGTTTGTATTTATTTATGTTTATGGTAATGTAAGTATTGTGTTACTAAACCTTACTGGAAGAAAAGAAAATGATATCACCCCCAGACATGTTATAATGTAGGGCAGAACTCAAAGGGAATGGGACGTTCCCTTTGATGAATTGTTCTTTTAATGAGATTTTTCATGATTTAAGTCATTTTAGGATGATTTTAACGTCTTCCTTCTAGTAGTGTAGAATCTTCATATGAGTAGACCCCAGGAGAGCCTGATTCTAATCAGTCTTATTGAAAGGCTGAGAATCCTGTTGTGAAGATATCTTGGGCCTAACCTCCCATCCCAGCCACTTAAGAGAAGTGATTAAGCAGTCTGTGGATAGCAATACAATGAAATACGATTTTGCTATCAAAATGACAAATGTGTAGGCTATGTAGATTTGTAGAAAAGTTGATACAAAAGATGTTAATCATAAAAAGTAAGGTTCACTTTAAGTCATATGTGATAATTACAACTATCAGAACTATGTTTGTTTAGCTGTAACCATCAGAAGAGGTTATTTATTCAACACATATTTTATTGAATACGTACTGTACCAGTGCAGGAAGTACATGATGAATAAGATACCGTCCTTGATCTCAAAGAACTTAAATTCTTTGCTGGAGGAACTTAAATTGTCTAGGGCATTAAATCTTAGAAATGGGTGGTGTTTTTCCCAAAGGGACACTTAAACAAACAACAGAAGCCATTTCTTTTTAAATGTAAAGATGGGTAAATATTTAAGAAAAGTGTAACACTAAAAAAAGTAAGAGTGTAGACCTAGCAGTAGAAATTATAATTAAGTATGTTTGAAGGTAGTTTTTTTTTTTTTTGAGATGGAGTCTCACACTGTTGCCCAGACTGGAGTGCAATGGCTCGATCTCAGCTCACTGCAACCTCTGCCTCCCAGGTTCAAGCGATCCTTCTGCCTCAGCCTCCTGAGTAGCTGGGATTACAGGCGCGTGCGCCACCACACCTGGCTAAATTTTGTATTTTTAGTAGAGACAGGGTTTCACCATGTTGGCAAGGCTGGTCTTGAACTCCTGACCTTGTGATCCACCCGCCTCGGCCTCCCAAAGTGCTGGGATTACAGGCATGAGCCACCACGCCCAGCCCAAAGGTAGTTATTAATATACGGTATGTATTTATCTGGAATTGACCTGGCGAATACTAGAATGATTAAAAAAAAAAAAAAAAAAAAGGCAAAAACTGCAATTACTTTTGCACCAACCTATTATATGGCTCGAAATAATAGTGCTTTGTAGATCTAATTGAAACAATTTCTCTACAAGAAATACTTTGGAAACAGAATTATCTTATTTATCCTGAATGTGGAGGCCAGGTTTATTTTTATTTTCTACAGTGGAAGTACTTAAAAGTGGCTGTTTGTTTATGTAGTAGGCAGGAGAAGCCCATGGTTTGGAGTTCACATTTGTTTGCTTTGCAATTAGGTAGAATTCTTTTTTTTTTTTTTTTTTTTTTTTGAGACAGAGTCTCACTCTGTTGCCCAGACTGGGGTGCAGTGGCACAATCTGGGGTCACTGCAACCTCCACCTCCCAGGTTCAAGTGATTCTTCTGCCTCAGCCTCCCGAGTAGCTGGGACTACAGGCACGCACCACCACGCCCGGCTAATTTTTGTATTTTTTTTTAGTAAAGACGGGGTTTCACCATATTGGCCAGGCTGGTCTGGAATTCCTGACCTCGTGATCCGCCTGCCTCGGCCTCCCAAATTGCTGGGACTATAGGCTTGAGCCACTGTGCCCGGCCACAATTAGGTAGAACTCTTTTAACTCACTTCCCTGTACTACAATTACTATTATGAAAAGTGTGCTCAGACTTCCTCTAAAACACACTACAGTGTATAGAAAGATCTACGGAGTTAGAGAAAGAAAGAAGTGCAACTAACACCTTTTCCTTTCTTTAAGATTAGACATGTTAAGTTTCATGTTTCAGTGGTTCACGTTTTCTCTTCAGGCCGTTTTCTCTTTTTCTTTTTTTTTAGACGGAGTCTCCCTCGGAGGTTGCCCAGGCTGGAGTGCAGTGGTGCAATCTCAGCTCACTGCAACCTCCCCCTCCTGGGCTAAAGTGGTTCTCAGCTCACTGCAACCTCCCCATCCTGGCTCAAGTGGTCTCGTGCCTCAGCCTCCCGAGTAGCTGGGACAACAGGAGAGCGCCACCAGGCCTGGCTAATTTTGCATGTTTTGTAGAGGCAGGGTTTCACCATGTTGGCCAGGCTGGTCTCAGACTCTTGATAAAATAAATGATTAATTGTGGCATTTTGGTTTTCAAAATGAGAATTGTGTTTAAAATGCAAAAGAGGGAAAGAAAGTTATATGTAATCTTCCTATATTTAGCTTTTATTTTACTTCATTGGCAGTCTGGGTAAAAAATTCATAGAAGACAGAAGACTTGGTTTCTAGTCTTGGCCTGAAACTTTTAGCTGTCACAACTGGGGGATGCTGTTGGCATCTAGTGGGTGGAGGCCAGGGATGCTGCAAAACATTCCACAGTACACAGGACAGCGCCCTTACAGGTTGAAGGTTTATACAAATAATATTAAAGCTCTTTTTTTATATTAATGTGGAAAAATGTTATTTTGGTTCCCATGAGAAACTGCTACTATTTGGAATTTAAAAAAAAAAAAAACAACTAAAGGGAATTTGGGGAAAATCTATGCAGGATATGAACAGGAAAAAAGAAAAAAACCTGACCTAGAGATAAGAAAGGAATTTTGGGAAAAAAACATGGGAAGGAGGATTTTCATACAATTAGTATGTATTATTTTGATGACATTCCCCCAGTATGTGCATTTGTTATGATGTTTTGGAACTTTTTATGGCATGGCTTTAATTCAGAAAGTGGTTGCTTGGATTTTAGAAGCAAGATGTCAATATCAGAATAACAGCCCTTACACACAGAAATTATTTCAGGGTGCTATAATTTTGAAAGTCTTTTAAAAATAAGTGATTAGTTACGGCATTTTGCTTTTCAAATGAGAATTGTGTTTAAAATGGAAAAGAAGGAAAAAAAGTTACGTATAATCTTCCTATATTTAGCTTTTATTTTACTTCATTGGCAGTCTCGGTAAAAGATTCATAGAAGACAGAAGACTTGGTTTCTAGTTTTGGCCTGAAACTATAAGTAAAGTAAACTAACTTTGCCTATAAAGTAACTGAACCTGTTTCAAAATGAAAGCTCTTTAAATACCTGCCTGCCCATAAGAACTACAGATGCTTTATTTTTGGAGGCATTTCTTTTTCTCTGTTATGTTTGGTTCTGAGTTGTAACGAAAAAACTTCAGTTTGGTTCTATATTGTTTAGCTTCTAGTGTAACAGTTGTCTGTGTCTATCAGCATATGTATTCTTTATTTTTTTTTTTTGGCAGGGTCTCCCTCTGTTGCTCAGGCTGGAGTGCAGTTGCATAATCATGGCTCACTGCAGCCTTGATCTCCCAGGCTCAGGTGATCCTTCCACTTTAGCCTCCTGAGTAGCTGGGACCACAGGCATGTGCCACCATGCCCCACTAATTTTTAAATTTTTTTGAAGAGACAGGGTCTTGCTCTGTTGCTCAGGCTGGTCTTGAGCTCTTGGGCTCAAGTGATCCTCCTGCCTTGGCCTCCCAAAGTGCTAGGATTACAGGGTTGAGCTACCATGCCTGGCCAGCATATGTAATCTTGTCTGTAATGATTTACTTAAAGAGAATTTTTTTTTAAAAAGTGAAAGCATGTTTATTAAGAAAGTAAAGGAATAAAAGAATGGCTACTCCACGAGCAGAACAGTGGCACGGGCTGCTCAGCTGAGTATACTGATAGTTGCTTCTTGGTTATATGCCAAACAAGGGGTGGATTATTCATGAGTTTTCTGGGAAAGGGGCAAGGATTTTTAGACCATATAAGGTAACTTCTGGGCATTGCCATGGCATTTGTAAACTGTCATGGTGCTGGTGGGAGTGTCTTTTAGCATGCTAATGTATTATAATTAGCATATAATGAGCAGTGAGGACGACCAGAGGTCACTTTCCTCGCAGTCTTGGTTTTGGTGGGTTTTAGCTGGCTTCTTTACCGCAAACTGTTTTATCAGCAAAGTCTCTGTGACTTGTATCTTGTACTGACCTCCTATCTCATTCTGTGACTAAGAATGCCTAACCTTCTGGGAATGCAGCCCAGTAGGTCTCAGCCTTATTTTATCCAGCCTCTATTCAAGTTGGAGTCAGTCTGGTCTGAGTGCTGCTGACATATTTTCCCTCATCCTTTTACATGGGAACCTTAATCCTAAAGATTGTAGAGGGACAAAGATCTATCTTCTGTGACTTCTTCAGGCTGAATAGGGGCAATCATGTTCCTGCCTAACTATAGGGTATCTTGTATCCGGGGTAGAGAGGAGCTCAGTCACACAACGTCATTATGCTGAGGGCCATTCACAACTCTGAGTTCTGTTGAGTTCACAACACAAAAGGTGATATCTAGAAGATTAGTAAGATTAATAATTAATAAGTGTTCAATTTAAGAAAACATTCAGTAAGCTTATCCTGCATTCCTACACAAAGATTACAATAGCAATATATTTCATGACAGTATAGCAAATAAGTAAAATTATTCCAAGTAAACTAAATAGAAAGCTGTTCCATGAACTGGGCAATTGTTGGAACCCAGCTGATATAGGGTCACTAACTGATTCCAATATATGCCCAGAATTAGAATACTGATCCAGATGTTAACATTAGCCATCCCTCTTGTTTATTCTGAGCTGCAGTTAGAGATCACTGATTGGTTCACTGAAATAAGCAGAGTCAGTCCAAATTGCAGGGAAAAACTCAGAAACAACTGATGAGACTAGAATTTAATGTCAGGTGTACTATAGTTCTTGAAACGTAATTTTTCCCTTTCCTGTCCTCCATTTTCATTAAAAACAAATCATGATAGGACTGATAGGATATGATGGGTAGCAAAATAAGCTTTAGTCTTATTATGCTTGGCCTGATTGTTTGAAATAATTGCAGTAAGAATAATTATTTGCCACATAGGCACTTTTTAATTGGCTTTGATGGAACTTTGTTCCATAAGGAATCTCACCTGAGATGTTTTTTAAAGCAGAGCTCAGCCATGGGTTTGCACAGTTAAATACAGGTATGAGTTGGGTAAATTCCTCTCCTCTTGAGGTCCCAAGATAACTTGACACACCTGGGACTGTAGATAGTGACAGTCTTTATTTACAACAGATCAGGAACCTCGTACAGGGACTGTGTAGACAAGGTATGTGGCCAGTTTTCTCAAGGGGCTTTTATCGGTTCTATAAATCAAGTTTGATTCCTTAAAGGAAAGCACAACATTCCAGTCAAAACTTGGTAAAATAACCAGTTTCTCCAGTTGTGTCCTGTGCAAAAGAAAACAGATTCTTACAGAAATATAAGGGATTGATGGGTAAAGAGTTTAAAAGCTGTTTATACATGCAGTACATTGGATATGATATAATTTATGGTTTCTTGTTTGCAGCTGTTTGTATCTTTTTAATCCCAAACCAGACAAAATTATAAACATTTTATATACAATGTTATCTTGGAAAAAGTTAGATGTAAATAATTCATCTTAATCTATATTTGAGAAATCTGAGGGGTATTAGGAAACTCATGAGTGAATGAACATATAGATTGGATCAAAGGAGGAGAGTATGAGAGTAGGGAGACCAGGTAAAAAGGTATCATAGTCATCTAGAGGTGAGGTTAGTAAGGGTTAAGCCATTGGTAATAATGCTGGAAGAAAAAGAGGTTGTGTTGGACTTATCGAGAGACTATGTATTGGACTCCCACATGGTGTGTCTTCCTAAGAGATTTGTGTTGGCAATTTTGATTATACTCAATTTCAATTCAAGTGATGACTTTAGAACCCAAGCCCTGCTTAAGACATCATGATTCCATGCGGATAGACTGAACAGAATTGGAAATGGGAGTTAGTCTGCATGACTTTCAGAGCTCTTAACTGTTAAGAAATTTTGCTTAAAATTTGTGTTTTTGTGATGGATTAATGGCTATAATTTGAAAGCGTGGCTACATTGTTGAGTATGTATTTGTCAGAGTTAACCCATCAGATATTAAAAGTACCTTTTCCCTCTTACAGTCCTTGTCCATTTAATAAGTGTCTTAGTCTGTGTTGCTATAAAGGAGTACCTGAGACTGGGTAATTTATAAAGAAAAGAGGTTTATTTGATTCACTGCAGGCTGTACAGGAAGCATGGCACAGGCATCTGCTTCTGGTGAGGGCTTTAGGCTGCTTCCATTCATGGCAGAAGGGGAAGCGGAGCTGGCGGGTACAGAGGTCATAAGGCAAGAGGAAGCAAGAGAGATGGGGGAGAGAGGCTCTTTTTAACAACCAGCTCTTGAGGGAACTAATAGAACAAGAACTCTTTCTCCTACCCTGGCCCCTCAGGGATGGCATTACTCTGTTCATGAGGGATCCACTTCAATGACCCCAACACCTGTTACTACACCCCACCTCCCAACACTGGCACACTGGGGGTTAAATTTCAGCGTGAGATTTGGAGAAGTCAAACATACAAACTGTAGCAGTAAGTATTTAGTAGTATCATCTGAGAGGATGTTATTCATGCTGGGTGAGGGGGAGGAATGGGAGATGAGTGAAGGGTGCTAGACTCTAGGATGCCTTTCCCCCATTTCCCCACCAAACCAGTTCTTTTCTTTCTTCTTGTGTTTATACCTTAAGATTTCTTTTGAGAAAAAAGGGTTAGGGTTTATAGCTAAAAATGTTTGAAATGATTGCTATGTATATTTATAATGTTTGGATAAAGACTGATATTCTTTTTTAAGAAAATACATTTTCCTCCCTCATACTTACCTAATGCATTGCTATTTTCATGTATTAATACAACTTTATATGAGTACTTTTATTATATGCATATTGTAATATGGGAATGTCAGGTGATTTTTCTGTGATTTGAACATTTTGATTTTTCATTATATTGTGTTCCCACGTAGTTTTTCAGTTTCACTTATTATATTTGTTTTTGCCTTTTCTGTAGGCTTTCAACAGACCTCACATCTTTCTTCTTATGAAATTATAACTCCTTGGAGATTAACTAGAGAAAGAAGAGAAGCCCCTAGGCCCTATTCAAAACAAGTAAGTTATAATTGTTGAGAAATAATATGTGGTTAATTTTTTTCTTTTCTGTTTTAGCACAAAGGTGTTATTTGTAGCAGTGATCAGTTCAGTGAGTTATTACTTGGCTGTTACTTAGAATAGCACCATATGGTACTGATGTCCCCTGGATGTTATGCTAGTAAAAGCAACATATTGAGCCTTAATATCCTTTTTTTTTTTTTAAAATGGAGTCTTGCTCTGTCGCCCAGGCTGGAGTGTGCAGTGGTGTGATCTCGGCTCACTGCAACCTCCACCTTCTGGGTTCAAGTGATTCTCCTGCCTCAGCCTTCTGAGTAGCTGGGACTACAGGCATGTGCCACCATGTCTGGCTAATTTTTTGGTATTTTTCAGTAGAGACAGGGTTTCACCATGTTGGCCAGGCTGATCTTGAAGTCCTGACCTCAGGTCATTCGCCTGCCTCGGCCTTGCAAAGTGCTGGGATTACAGGTGTGAGCCACCACGCCCAGCCAGTATCTTTTCTTTTTTAAAGACAATATGATCAACTCGAAACATAACAGAATAGAATAGTTAAACAAAATTGTATCACTAGGGTAGGCTGCTGATTATATACATTTTAACTGACAGGCAATGGTCACAGTGATTTTATTATAATAAGAATTATAATTCTTACTATAATTATATAACCTCACTCAGTTTGTGATAGCTAGAACACTTTATACTATATCTTCACTGACGGTGGAGAGTGATAATGTGTTAAATGCGTATATTTTATATTAGGGAATATTTACTAAAATACAAGTTTTATTTTCATATTGGAAGAAACCTACTGTGCTGTAAATGGGGTAACCAGTGCACAAAAATTATTTTTTCTACTATTCTTTTGTAAAGTTTGTTCAGAAGTAATCTTATTTGGACTTTAATTTTATAAGTCCTTCAACTTTATAGAAGTATAATTAAATTTTATTATAATTTAACAATGACAGGTAATAATGCATAGAATTTAGCTTATGAATTGTATTAATATCTGAATTGCTGATACACTCAGAAATGTAAGGCAGCGTGCCTGTTTTTTAGGGAGTGGGCATTGTAAAAAGAACACTGGAGTTGAGGATCAGGAACTTTTAGTTTTGGTCCTCCCTGTGAGTACCACCACCTACTAGTTGGGTTGGTCACTCAACTCCATTTACATCTCTCCAACTGAGGAGTAAATGACTCTAAGATCTCCTCTGTAGATGAATTTATACATTTTACTTGTTTTTGGTTTGAACTGGGCAGACTACCATTTGATTATGTTTTGTCTTAGGATAGAGTTAATCAGTTAATCCCTGTTTGGGTGCGATCTTGGCTCACTGCAGCCTCCGCCTCCTGGGTTCAAGTGATTCTCGTGCCTCTGCCTCCTGAGTAGCTGGGACTACAGGCATGTGCCACTATACCCAGCTAATTTCGTATCTTTAGTTGAGATGGGGTTTTGCCATGTTGGCCAGGCTGGTCTCGAACTCTTGGCTTCAAGTGATCCACCTGCTTCAGCCTCCCAGAGTGCTGGGATTACAGGCATGAGCCACCTGTTTTCCTCCTTTTCTACAGTCAATGGTAGACTTTCAGCCTAGGGACCATGTTTTCTCCTTTTTTGTGTCTCTGATAGTATCTTCATTTAGTACTTCCCTCATTAATACTTGGGATCGTCATAGATAATTGTCATTTTTATGCTTTGGTTAATATTTGGAGAAGTGATATAGTCAGTGCATATTGAACTGGATTTTGCTCATTCAACAGTGAATGTAATTAACTCGTTAAAAAGTATTTATTGAGTTACTATTGTATGCTAGGCACCATTTAGGTATTGGGGATACGGCAGTGAACAAAACAGACAAAAATTTATGCCCTTGCATGAATGCAGTCTTGTATTCTATGGAGCTTGCATTCTAGTGATGGGGGGGGGGGGCAGGGAGAGAGAGAGAGAGAGAGAGACAAAAACAAAAACAACAACAACAAAAACAAACCCCCCCCCCCAAACCAAAAATGTATATTACTTCAGATGGTGATAAGTGCTATGGAGAAAATTAAAGCAAGAAGGGGGATAGGGAGGCTGGAAATGGTGAGTTGCTGGGGAGAGGATTGCATTTTTCAGTAGGATGGCCAGGGAAAGCCTTACGAGAAGGTAGCCCTTTAGTAAAGACTAGAAGGAGGGGGGTGAACAATCCAGGCAGATACTTGGGGGAGGAGTAAACTATCACAAAACAATCTTCAGTTTCTCAGATTTCTTTTTAGTAGACATAGCAGTGATGTTATTACATCACGTGATTATCTAAGAGCAGAATGAGTAGAAAGGCACATGACAAAGCTGTGGCAATAGAAAGAGCTTGGTGGTTTTGCTGGCCCACTGGAGACTGAGGTAGATGATGAAGGGTTCTTGGATTCCCATGCAGGATGTGGAGGTGGATGACAGGATCCATAGGTTGGTCTAGCGCTTAGAAGTCAGAGGCAGATGTGCCGTGGTGAAGGGGTTGATGCTGTTTCTTGACAAAAGGTTAACTGAGTCTGGAAACGGAAGGGAATATTAAGTAGACACTTCTGATAATGTTAGTTGTCGAGTCCCTCCATGACTTTCTTTTTTATTAAAGAGTTAAGGCGAAGTCACATCTCTTAGTTCCAGAGATCACGTTAAGCACTTGTGGCTAATGACATGGTGAATTGCTGGGGAAGTTGTTTCAGAGTTGCCTGAGGTAGAGAAGATGATCCCATGAATTGGAGGATGTGTATATATGTTACTTTAATTCCTTGACTCTAAGATGCCATCAATTGTGAGACACACCATATTGTTTTATGTACCACTAATAAAGACACGGAAGTGGCCCAGCAGGGTGGTTTATGCCTGTAATCCCAGCATTTTGGGAAGCTGGGTGGATCACCTCAGGTCAGGAGTTCAAGACCAGCCTTACCAATGTGGTGAAACCCCGTCTCTACTAAAAATGCAAAAATTAGCCGGGTGTGTTGGTGGACGCCTGTAATCCCAGTTACTTGGGAGGCTGAGACAGGAGAATTTCCTGAACCCGGGAGGCAGAGGTTGCAGTGAGCCGAGATTGTGCCACTGCATTCCAGACTAGGTGACAGAGTGAGACTCCATCTCAAAAAAAAAAAAAAAAAGACAGAGGTGCTGCTAGTTAGTCTAGACTGCTTTGCCTTTGTATGATGCATCCTCATTTCAAGGACGTTAATGTGAGGGAAAAAAGCATGTTTTAGAATTGATAAAATGAGGTAAGCCCTGTAATTTGTATCATAAAAGGAGTTGAATTTCTTTTTAACTTTATATAAGTAGAACTAGGTATAATTTCTTGAAACCAAGAGTTTCATTTCATTTAGACAAAAGCAGGAACTATCTTTGTACTGTAGGTAATACATCGATGGACTTGAGAAGATAATCCCTGCAGTTATAGCTGAATTAGAAATGAATTTAAGAAGAGTTAGATAGACATGGGGTTATTTTCCATGATCAGTTATGAAAGGAAGGAAGGGATGATCAGAGTATATTTTTTATTATTTAAGAATAGACACAAAGTTCTTCTATTAAATAGTTCAGCCAATACCAAATTATTTTAATTCAGGATGGAATTTCCTGCATCTTATAAATGAGATGTTGTTGAAAAGTAATTTTTAAGATGATGTTTTATTCTTTTCCCCTTCTGTGCATTTAGGTATCTTATGTTATTCAGGCTGAAGGAAAAGAGCATATTATTCACTTGGAAAGGAACAAGTAAGACATTTAATTTATTTTGGCTTTTCAGTAATGTTTTTCCAATAGTATATTGGTTTTCTTTCTAGTTTGATATGGTTTAGTGGATCCTGAACCCTGGGATTAAGCAGATTTAGCTCTTCATATTGGTGCTGCACAGTGGCAGCTGGCTGGGCAGGCAGTGACTTCTAAACAGGAAAGAAGGCAGAGACTGGAACCAAGTACCTCCAGTTTATTCTTTTCAAATGCATCACTAAGGGAGCAAAGGCTACACATATGTGGGGGAGTTGGGGAGAAGGGGAGCCTGCAGTGACTGAATAGGGTCCAATTACTGGAAAGACTAAGGTTCCACAGGCTACTTCTATGCCTACTCACATAGACTTTAATAAAGGTAAAGGATATAATGCATCAGGACAAAGAAAGTGCAGGCAGTCATCAAGGCATGACCCCCAGAGTCCTTTCTCAGTTGCACAGATGTGCTTTGCCTCCAGATTATGAACCGCTGAGATATGTGTGAGGCATCATATTTTCTGGGGAGCCCAGGCACAAGTTTACTGAAGGTATCTTTCCTACTTTGCTGATCATGTAGCTAAAGTCAGGCTGTGTACCTAACTAAATCGGACAAAAACCTTCCATTTATTCATCTCTAGTCAATATAGACAGGCTGTCAACCATTGTGGAAGACAGTATGGCGATTCCTCAAGGATCTAGAACTAGAAATACCATTTGACCCAGCCATCCCATTACTGGGTATATACCCAATAGATTATAAATCATGCTGCTATAAAGACACATGCACACATATGTTTATTGCGGCACTATTCACAATAGCAAAGACTTGGAACCAACCCAAATGTCCAACAATGACAGACTGGATTAAGAAAATGTGGCACATAGACACCATGGAATACTATGCAGCCATAAAAAAGGATGAGTTCATGTCCTTTGTAGGGACATGGATGAAGCTGGAAACCATCATTCTCAGCAAACTATTGCAAGGACAAAAAACCAAACACCACATGTTCTCACTCATAGGTGGGAATTGAACAATGAGAACACTTGGACACAGGAAGGGGAACATCACACACCAGGGCCTGTCGTGGGGTAGGGGGAGTGGGGAGGGATAGCATTAGGAGATATACCTAATGTAAATGATGAGTTAATGGGTGCAGCACACCAACTTGGCACATGTATACATATGTAACAAACCTGCACGTTGTACACATGTACCCTAGAACTTAAAGGATAATAATAATAAAAAAATATATAGACAGGCTGGTCCCGGGTGCCTCCAGGGGAGTTTTGAACTTGAAAGGGCATATTTATGAATCACTAGTTAGCACATTACATCTCTGACTTGTCCATAAGGCCTGGAAATAAGCATACAGCTGCTCCAGTCCTGCTGCAAGAGAACGTGATCCTCATAAACATGCTTGATGCCACTGAACCTCCTTAACATGGAGTGAAGATTTGGAAATCAGGAATAATTGTTTCTTTCAACAATTGAGACAGAAATTTGCCTCCATACTTAGGAGGTTAATTCTTATTTATATAGAACTTTAAGAAAAGAGTGTAAAAAACCATTTATTTTTCTAATGTAAATATGATATACTGTCAATAACCCAGTTTTTACTTTTCCTGTGAGCCATATCTGAAAAATTTAGGGACATTATTTATGTTGTCTTAAATTTTTTGGAACTAGCATTTTAAGACCATTACAAAATGTGTAGCTTAATATTAAATATTATTTATGAATAAGTAATGTACACTATTTCAGAGTTGTCCGTTTATGAGCTTTTTTTTTTTCTCCTTTTTTTTTTTTTAAGAGACAAGGTCTTACTCTGTTATCCAGGGTGGAGTGCAGAGGCATGATCATAGCTCACTGCAGCCTTGAACTCCTGGGCTTAAGCAATCCTCCCACCTTAGCTTCCTGAGTAGCTGGGACTATATGTGTGTGCCACTATGCCCAGCTAATTTTTTATTTTTTGTAGTGACAGGGTCTCACCGTGTTGCTTAGGCTGGTCTCAAACTCCTGGCCTCAAGTGATCCTCCTACCTCAGCCTTCCAAAATGTTGGGGTTACAAGTGTGAGCCACTGCACCCAGCTGTTATGAGCTTTTAATTTTACAATAGCACATTTAAAAATAATTTATCTGGTGAAAGTTCTTATTTACTCCTGCTTGTCTCCTCTAGGAATAATGCCTTATGAATCGTGTCCTTAGTTGTAGATAGATAACATATATATAAACGGTGTTTTATTTCTCTTCCAGAGACCTTTTGCCTGAAGATTTTGTGGTTTATACTTACAACAAGGAAGGGACTTTAATCACTGACCATCCCAATATACAGGTAATGTATTTTTCTCTTGATCCCATAGCAAATTTTAAAACAATTATAATTTAAAAATGAGTTCTGTATAGGCACTCAGGACTGTTACATTGCACAGCCCCACAGGGTACCTTTAACATTATAACATATGGGTTATCTTGGGAAAAGTGGGTGCATTTCTATAGACTAAGCTGTACCTTACAGCTCTCCAGGTACTCAGTAGTTAAGGTTTTTTTTTTAAAGACTAGGAAAATAAATCTTCTATTTAATGGTAATCCTTACTGATGAGAAAATTTGATATGTTTTGAAAATAGGAGTTTCTGATTTTTTTGTTGAAAGTTAATATCTCTAAAAGTGCACTTATTAAAACATTTAATTTGTCAGTGATATTTAGTAAAGAAAAACACTCATTTGATGTTATGTGTTCTAATGTTCTAAATTTTTTCTGAAAATAATTGTTTCCTAAAAGAGGTGTGGTCCTCTCTGCATCAGAGAACAGAGTACTCCTGGGGACAGAGCTGGCCAGAATACCCAAAATAATTGGCAGATGTCAAATTTGGCTTTCTGTGTTTATTACTAGAGCATAAACATTTCTAGTTTTGTTTGAGTGTTTTACAGTCCTTTTTGGCAGTTAGGTATTATACCTTTTTTTCTTTTGCAATGGTTTTCATGAGAAATCTTTATTCCCATTACATGTGTATGTTTTATTTTTCTTCTGAACTTTGTAATACTTTGCTATGTTGAATTGTTTCTGTTGGTAGCGCACTTTTGCAGCATTCTTCAAATAGGAGGCAAAAAAATCTTTAGATTAATTATTAGTACTTACAAAAACCAAGGAAATGCTGACTTAGGCCTATCTTCTGGTCCACTATCTGATTTCTTTATCTTAGTGTGTTGTTGGTCCATTGTTTAATAGAAAATTAGTAGAGGAGTTTGAATTTACCTTACAGCATAAACCAGATAGAAAA
Organism: Homo sapiens; assembly: GCF_000001405.40. Lineage (NCBI taxonomy): Eukaryota > Metazoa > Chordata > Mammalia > Primates > Hominidae > Homo > Homo sapiens. The sequence goes on from NC_000008.11 coordinate 39,014,991, forward strand.
TAACGCATTCATCCAGTCATGCATCCAATGATTACCAAGGCAGAAGGCCAAACACCACATAATTTGTGTCACTTGACAAAAGCAGTAATGTTAAAAGGCATTTTTTTCCTCATAGAGGTTTCTTGGCATACTTTCTTCAGACATACACTGTTTGGGCTTGAGTTTTGACTCATTATTTGCTGATGAAGCTACTTTAATCTGTTTGTGCCTTGGTATCTTCGCTTTAAAATGTAATAATAGTTACCACTTTATGGATATACTGGGAAACTTAACTGAGTTAATACTTACAAGATGCTTAGAACAGTCTGACAATTTTTAACTCAACGAATGTTATTATTTGTTGCTATTATTGACAGCGTATGTTCTTAAAACTGCCAAAAATTGATTTAATTATATAGAAACTTATGTAACTATTATCTTATATAATACTTAAGTATCATAAGTATGATAGAGTTATGCTTTTCTGGGTGTTTGAAAAATGTCAACTAAGACAGATGGTGTCTCACTTATTTCTTGGTTATTTAATATTGTTCAGTTAGATGAAAGTGTGATTGTAGATTTGAAATACAAAATAAAACTTGGATACTGTGATTTTTTTAACATGGCCAGACTGTCATGTATTATAATGACATATACTTTTGTCCATAAAATGAAATTAAGTTTCACTGAAAAATTTACATACTTTCCCCTGGGGATTCTATTGCTTCAGATTAAAGTTTATAAAGTATCATTAGTGTCTTCCACAGGGTCATTTTACACAAACACAGTTTTAGTGAGATGTCAACTGGCTTTTGTTGGTTGTTGGATTGACTGTGATTTAAAATGTTAAAGATGATATAATGCATCTTGTTCTGCTTCTAGGCTGAAAGGTCACTGAGGCAGAGCTGTTTGTACCTTGTATCCCCTGGAATTTTGCCTAAACATTTGTGTACTCATAGGGTGGTAGGAGATAGTCCGCAGATGGTCTAAAGAATGCCATGTGATACTGTGAGATGCCAATAATATAAATAAAACTTTGTTATTATTAAACTTGACTGGCCTAAAGTAATTTTGTTAGCTCTGCAATTTCTGTGATGATTTTCAGCAATGTAGCAATATTTGAAGATAATACAGTATTTTTCATTTAGAATCATTGTCATTATCGGGGCTATGTGGAGGGAGTTCATAATTCATCCATTGCTCTTAGCGACTGTTTTGGACTCAGGTAAGCAATTTCCTTTATCTTCTTTTTTTTTGTTTCCCCTATGTCTTACCCTCTTTCCTGTTTCTGTCTCCAAATTAAATCATTTTGGGCACTTAGCAAAATTGGAATTTACTTTGATGTTACTGAACATTTTTACAGCTGTGTTTCAGATATCCTTGGCATGTTTATTTAAGAAAGTATTATAGTTGATGAGTTTTAATATGTAAAGAGGAAATTTTTTTTGAGACCACTAAATCATTTTTGCTATTTAAAATGAAATATACTTTAAATTTCTGTAGCACTTTATATTTATAAAATTTTCACTTGTATTATTTAAGACTTGTATTTAAGTCTTATTATGACTGTGAATAAGAGCTCATTATCTCTGTATTTAGGTGAGCAAACTGAAGTTCAGATAAATTATATTACAATTCAAATTAAGTTATTATAGTATTAACATTACATTCCTTGAGGTCATGGCAACATGGCACTGTGCTGGTTGGTTGACTGCATGATTGCTTGAACTAAAACATATTAGTTCTATATAAGATGAATATGATTATATTCACTTAGGCACTAACACTTATTTGGTAGTTACTGTGTGCCAGGCAATATGTTCCGTGTGTTTTCTGCTTATTAAGTAATTTTGTTTTCAGAACAATCCTGTGCAGAGTGCAAACCAAGGCAGAGGTTAAATACCTCGCTGAGAGTCCTGCAGCTAGTAGAAGACATTTGGAATTCAGACTCTTGTCCTCTGGTCCGGATGCCACATTCTTAGCCACTATTTTGTAGTGCCTTCCATTTCCCGTAGATCACTCAGGGAGGTTAAGTGACTTACAGGCAGTGACGCTGCTAAGTAGCTATTTGAGCTTTCAATTTAGGTCCGTCCCAGCCCTATCTGTCTGATTCTAAAGCCTCTATTTTCTTCTCTATGTAATGCTATGCCTACTTACACATTTAAGAATTAGGACTTGAACTTAGGTTTTCTGATTCCTTGTGTATTTTCTTTTTCTTAAAATTTGTATACGTGTAATGCAACATTCAGAGGATTGCTGCATTTAGAGAATGCGAGTTATGGGATTGAACCCCTGCAGAACAGCTCTCATTTTGAGCACATCATTTATCGAATGGATGATGTCTACAAAGAGCCTCTGAAATGTGGAGTTTCCAACAAGGATATAGAGAAAGAAACTGCAAAGGATGAAGAGGAAGAGCCTCCCAGCATGACTCAGCTACTTCGAGTAAGGAAATAACATAATTCTTCATGGCTCAGACTACCATTTTAGAAAAATCATGTATTTATTCATGAAATCAATACTATGAGTAGTGTTTTTTTTTCTTTTCTTAATTTTGCCAAATATATGCCAGACATTGTGATAGGTACTAGGGGATGAAAAGATGAGCGATATATAGTTCCTGCTACCAAGTTGAGTACAGTTTAGATCCTGTGGGTTTTGGAAACTAGGACTTAAATCTGCAACAATGTTCACTGTGGCCTTGACCTCTTGAGCTCAAGCAATCCTCCTGCCTCAGCATCCCAGTAGCTACTGCTACAGGTCTGTGCCACCCACCGTGCCTGGCTAATTTAAAACAACTTTTTGTAGAGATGAGGTCTCATTACATTACCCAGGCTGGTCTTGAACCCCTGGTATCAAGCAATCCTCCTGCCTCAGCTTCCCAAAGTGCTGGGATTATAGGCATAAGCCACTGCACCCAGTGCAATAGAGTTTTTATTTAGGTACCTCTTAGACAACTCAAATGGTGATTCTTGAACCCTAGATTGGAAAAAGAGAGAGATACGGCTTTAGGAACTTAATGACTTCAGATGTGTTTCAAGGACACTCTGCTAATGACTTTAAGTGATGATAAACTATGTCTGAGTCCCTCTTTGGAGACTGCTATAGCACTTCATGATTTACTCTTGACATGGGTGTCTCTTAGACTGAAATGGTTCTAGGACTAGATCAACTTCAGCTGCAGGGATTGTACCTTTCTACATATGAGATTCTGTTGCTGCCTTGAAAGAGGCATATTTTTAATTAAGTTATACTAGTTTATGGCATTATTTTTATTGCCTCTGCTGCTATCCACTCTTTTGACTTGGGCTATTCTTTTTAACTTTAAACATTGGAAAACATTAAAATTTTTGCTTATTCTACTTCGCATGAATTTCTGTAAAATGACAAAACTAGTCATTTTTTAAAATGGCAACCTTATTCTAACTTCTGCTCTGGGATATTAGTGGATATGTTTTCTTTATCTCTCAGCATAGTAATGGGCTTTTTCATTAAAATATGTGTGTGTTTGCATGTGTGTGTGTGTGTAGTTTTGATTTTAGAAAATTGGTAATTCTGCTTTGTAAACTTAAACCCATTTTATCTGTAACTAACATTTTTCTCATATTAGTGCAGATAGCAGATAACACTTCAAAAACATTTTTTTCCCCTCAGACATAGTTTATCATCACTTAAAGTCATTAGCAGAACTGGACAAAGTTTTCATCACTAAGAAGCAGATAACACTTCAAAAAACATATTTTTCACTTTCTTGATATAGGATATGTTAAGTAAAATAATTTTATGATGTTCTTAGCAGACATGAAATAAGTGATGAGAGATTAGGATGTGATCATAGCCTTATAACTTCCTTTTGCCTTTATGATGTTTGTGTTTTTGACAGAGAAGAAGAGCTGTCTTGCCACAGACCCGGTATGTGGAGCTGTTCATTGTCGTAGACAAGGAAAGGGTAAGATTGGTGACAATTTTTCTTCTTTTCCATGAAAAGGATATGAGAAGTGAGCATTTAATGAAGGAAATCTAAACTACACATTGTTTGTATTGATTTTACTTAAATAATGATTTTAAAACTAAAATGGTTTTTTTCCCTTAAACTTTATACCACCAGAATACCAACAGAAGCTAAATGTAGCAAATGTGACTGCCTTTAACTTTATCTTTTATTAATGATTTTTTTTTCTTTTTCTTGCTGATGACTTGCTTATGCTGAATTTTTTGAGTGAATCTGTACTGCCTATCAGGCTCTTGAGAACTTTTCAGATTACTTTAATGGGCTGTGGCTCTAAAAGGTTTGGCTTTGTTGGCTAATAAAATTGCTTTGCTTTCTAGAATTTGAGATAACCTATATTGCACTTTGAGAGATGGAAAACCTCCAGGTCCTGGCATGCTTTAGAAGGGAATAGTATTAATTTCCGTGTATAGGATCACATGAGGGCATTTTCCTTATTTATACTTAAGAAACTGAACTAAGTGCTTTGCTTTAACTAAGAGAAGTAATGTGTCCCTATTTTGGCATTTACAGGATTATCAGTTTTAGAGATAATGGCTGTATAATTTATTTTCATGTTGCTTTTTTTATTGATATATAATACTTCACATGTTTAGGGGGTACAGGTGAGTATTTGTTACAACAGCTGTGTAATTTAAAAAAGAGAGTATTTTTAGTGTTTTGTTTGACTTTTACTTCCAACTTTGTTGTCAGTGTGAAAAAGTTATTTGTGGAAACTTACTATGATTGGCAGTTCCTTTCTTGTAAGCTGTAGAGACAGTTTTGAGGTTTTTTTTGGTTTTAAAAAAATTCCTTGTTGTATGTAGGTTGGAAAATAACAAGCCACCCCAAATAACTAATTTGGAGAAAATATTAAGAGATAGACTTGGATTTGTACATTATAGGTTCATTGCCCTCAAGTGGCAGAAGGAAAAGCACATGGAATATGAACAAGTGTGAACTCTGCCCCAAACAGTGGGCAAAAAGCTTCTGTAGAAGAATGTTTTGGACAAGTCACAAAAGTCAAGATTCAAAATGTTTTCCTTGGCTGGGCGCAGTGGCTCACGCCTGTAATCCCAGCACTTTGGGAGGCCGAGGCGGGCGGATCACGAGATCAGGAGATTGATACCATCCTGGCTAACACGGTGAAATCCCATCTCTCCTAAAAATACAAAAAATTAGCCGGGCGTGGTGGCGGGCGCCTGTGATCCCAGAACCCGGGAGGCGGAGCTTGCAGTGAGCTGAGATGGCGCCACTGCACTGCAGCCTGGGTGACAGAGGGAGACTTCATCTCAAAAAAACAAAACAAAACAAAACACACACAAAATGTTCTTCTTCATTGCTGTCTCCAGATGTATTTGTTATATACAGATAGAAAATGGTTAAAAAAAAGGTTCAATTTCAATCAAGCCCTATCAAATATATTAAATTAATTTTTTTTCTTGTTTAGGAGGATCATGATTAGATCCCTAACTGATAAAATCTGATATATTCTGATACTAATGCTTTTAGCATAGAGCAAAATCATAAATCCTTTTAAAATTTTTCTTCTGCTAAATTGGTTATATAAATTAATGTTAAAAATAGACATTTCAGTTTAGCCAGGTGTCAAAGAAAAATTAGTCATATTTATTTGGCTTAAGATGGTTAAACTTTTATATATTTTCATCTACATATGATTTTTTAACTAGTGATTATTGGTTAATCTCTCATTTTTAATTCAGCCCAGCATTTAGAAATGGTTTATTGGTGCTGATCTGTAACCAATCTGGCTGTTTCTGTCTCAGTTCTATTTTCTGTATGTCACTTCGTTTTTCTGTCCATAAATCTTCTTCCACTATGTGGCTGCACAGAGTCTCTCTGAACCTGTTCTGGTTTGGAAGCCACACAATTCTTGAATCAGTCATTCTTTGCTCAACTAAATTCTGTTAAATTAAAAAAAAAAAAAGTTTATTGATTACATCATTAGCTTAAGAGGTGAAAGGGTCAGGAAGTTCTTTAGATTGTCTTTTATTCTTTTATCTATGCATTTTGATTGCTTAAAACTCTACCTTTGTGAAATGCTTGAAAATATTTTTGCATTAAAATAAAAGGAACATTAAGAAGATAATTCGTTTTAAAGTTCTACTAATTTGGATAAAATGAAGTCTTCAGTGCTCTTTCATTATTATTCACTTTACCCTTTTACCTGTTTTTCTTTTATTCCTGTCACTACAATGTAACCTTTAAATTTCTTAATTTGAAATGTTGATAAATGTCTAAATGCCTCAATTTTTTGTTCAGAGGAAATATTTGGATTCTTCATAGTAACAGACACATTTTTATTTTATTTTTATTTTTTTTGAGATGGAGTTTTGCTCTTTCTCCCAGACTGGAGTGAAATGGCGGGATCTTGGCTCACTGCAACTTCCACCCCCACGGGTTCAAGCGATTCTCCTGCCTCAGTCTCCTGAGTAGCTGGGATTATAGGCACCTGCCACCACGCCTGGCTAATTTTTGTATTTTTAGTAGAGAGAAGGTTTCGCCATGTTGGCTAGGCTGGTCTCGAACTCCTGACCTCAGGTGATCTACCCGCCTGGGCCTCTCAAAATGCTAGAATTACAGGCATGAGGTACTGCACCCGGCCTTACATTTCTATTCTTAAAGTACTTTGGTGATAATGATTCTCCTTCTTTGCTTTTCCAGTATGACATGATGGGAAGAAATCAGACTGCTGTGAGAGAAGAGATGATTCTCCTGGCAAACTACTTGGATAGTGTAAGTTGTATTTTCTATCAACCAGGATGATTCTGTCCTATTCTTTCAGTCCCAGAACAGAACTTAAAAATGTCTCATTTTGAGTTCTGATTTTCATAGGGCCTCAATGACTTAGTCTTTCAGAGGTCTGCTTTCTGGTTTGTTTTGTAACTCTTTTTAATGTTTAAAGGAAAGTACCAGTGTAGAAAGACTGAGAAGAGCAAGAGATTTCATATTAGCATCTACTTTATCTTCAGAGTTGCTAGGCTTAGGTGCTTTGGCATTTATGGAAAGATCTTTGAATTTTTGTCGAATGCATCTTATTTTGAATAAGGCTGCCTTCTACCCTGAAAACATGATATGACAATATTTGTGTGTGTGTGTGTGTGTGTGTGTGTGTGTGTGAGAGAGAGAGAGAGAGAGAGAGAAAGAGAGTGTTTGGTTTGAGATTTTGGAGTTCATCCGGTGGGAGATATTAAAGAATTAGATATATGTTCTTATAATTTTATCTACAAAGCTGATATGAACATTAAACGTGATGATGACGATGATGATGATAGCATTCACTTGAGTACTTACAGTGTGCTAGACACTGAGCTAAGTGCTTTACATTTATTAACCCATTTACTCCTTACAGTACCCCTATGAAATTATGAGTTCCACAGTCCTTTATCTGAAACCTCTGATGTACCTGTGATTAAAATTTTAGATAAGTTTAGAAAAACAGTGTGATTAACTCTGTATTATATAACACCTTCGACAGGATCTTGGGGTAGCACCTCATAATCAGACTCATTGATATTTCTGCAGTGAAATATAGGAATATTTACATTAAATAGGTTAAATGTGGACTATGAATGGGCTTGCATTATATCAGGGCAAATTTTGGAGCCAGTTTTACCAAAAACTTAATTTCCAGAGTTTGTCAGATTTTAGAATAGAAGATAATAAGGATTTCGAATCTCTGTTACTATTATTTTATGGTTGAGGAAACTGAGACTATTGAGAGGTTAAAGTTTTATTGTATTTTTTTTTTTATGAGATGAGTCTCGCTCTGTTGCCCAGGCTGGAGTCCAGTGGCGCAATCTCGGCTCACTGCAGACTCTGCCTCCCAGGTTCAAGCGATTCTCCTGCCTCAGCCTCCCAAGTAGCTGGGTTTACAGGTGTGCACCACCACGCCCAGCTAATTTTTGTATTTTAGTAGAGACGGGATTTCACCATATTGGCCAGGTTGGTCTCCAACTCCTGATCTCCGGTGATCCAACTGCCTCGGCCTCCCAAAGTGTTAAGATTACAGGCGTGAGCCACTGCGCCCCGCCCAAAGTCTCATTGTATTAAAGGAAAGATAGTTTTTTTTAGGCAGGGGAGTTTTAATTTAAGTAGCCGTGTTACTTCATGTGGTTAAAAGATTTTTCTCACGTTCTTTACTATATTTTATATACTTTTATTTCTTTCTTCCCAGATGTATATTATGTTAAATATTCGAATTGTGCTAGTTGGACTGGAGATTTGGACCAATGGAAACCTGATCAACATAGTTGGGGGTGCTGGTGATGTGCTGGGGAACTTCGTGCAGTGGCGGGAAAAGTTTCTTATCACACGTCGGAGACATGACAGTGCACAGCTAGTTCTGTAAGTATTTTTTTTTTAAGTACTATTAATGAAATAATCAAAATAATAATTTTTGCTTATTTTCTTGTATTAGAATTATATTCTCTTGAGGTTTTGGGGTATTCATTTAAATGAGGAAAACTTAGCTTGATGTGGCATTATCATGAGACCTCTTCTGTTTTGGATTCCTGTGACCTTTCTCCCATATCCTCCTTTTTTCTTGAGTTTACATCCTCATTTGGGTATAGTGTGCTTTGTACTAGTTTTTTGTGAACGGATATATAGAAAGAAAACATTTTGACCTCCTGTGTGTCTGAAAATATGGTTTCCCAGTTTCGGAACAGAATTGAAAAATTATCTCAATTTGAGTTCTGATTACTCTAGGCCTAAGTAACTCAGTATTTCCTAGGCATGCTTTGAGTTTCTTTTGCGTTTGTTTTTTTTTTTTTTTTTTTTTTTGGAGACAGAGTCTCACTCTGTTGCCCAGACCAGAGTGCAGTGGCACGATCTTGGCTCACTGCAGCCTCTGCCTCCCAGGTCGAAGCAATTCTCCTGCCTCAGCCTCCCGACTAGCTGGGATTACAGGTGCCTGCCCCCACACCTGGCTAATTTTTGTAGTGTAGCAGAGATGGGGTCTCACCATGTTGGCCAGGCTGGTCTCGAACTCCTGACCTCAGGTGATCCACCTGTTTTGGCCTCCCACAGTGCTGGGATTATAGGCGTGACACTGGGTATAAAATTGTATCCGTGAAATCCTTTTTCTTCACGACTTTGAAGGCGTTGCTCTTTTGTCTTTTTTGTCCCAGCATTACTATTGGGAAGTCTGAAACATTCTGATTCCTGACCTTTTGTATGTGGCCTGTTTTTCCCCGTCACTGGAAACTTGTAGGATCTTCTCTTGGTTCCCAGGCTTCTGAATTTTCCTGATGATGTGTTTTGGTGTGGGTCTTAATTTTTAGTAAAATCGTACGCTCACACATCCTCGTACCAGTGAGAATGCCATCTAGTTCACAAAATACCATAAGGAGCAGGTGTCAAGCATACTCACTATGCCTTGCCCAACCACACCCACCAAACTATCTTAACCCCCTCTCTTTGTGTGGTCTCCATCTGTCCTGTTAGAGACATTTCCCAGATGCTTGATGATTTTTAGTTGTTTGTTTACAGTTGAGAATGGGGTCCCGAAAACCTTTTTGGAAGCCTTGAGTCCATGAGTGCATTTTGGGGCCTATGAGTTCCTTATAGGGTGGTTTGGCTGGAATGTCCTTGTCAATCTCCTTATGTCAGTACCTCTGGTCATCTTCTCCTGGCTGGTCAGATGGCCCAGAGAAGGATTTATCCATTCATTTAAAATATATTTATTGGGTGTATACCCCAGACACTGGGACATAGCAGTGAACAAAACTGGCAAAAATTCCTGCTCTCATGGAGTCCATGTTCTGGTGGAGGAGATTGGCTATACATGTGATAAATAAGTACATGTAGTATGTTAACCAATGATAAGTGGTAAGGAGAAAAATAAAACGGGAGGGTAGATATAAAAGCATTGGAGGTTGTGATTAAAATTTTAGATAAAAGTTTAGAAAAACAGTGTTATTCACTGTTGAATTTTGAGGTGACATGGTCTAGCCAGGGAGATGCCTTCTGAGTAAAGACCTGAAGGAGGTGAGGGAATGAGTCTGGGTTATATTAATATTAGGGAAGAGAGGTCCAGGCGGAGGGAACAGGTGCTGAGGTACAGGTGTGTGGGGTGTGACTGGGGAGGCACACAGGGCCCATCCTGAATTCTTTTTTTTTTATTTTGGAGACAGAGTCTCATTCTATCACCCAGGCTGGAGTGCAGCGGTGCAGTCTTGGCTCACTGTGGCCTCCGCCTCCCAGGTTCAAATGATTCTTCTGCCTCAGCCTCCCGAGTTGCTAGGATTACAGATGTGCGCCACCATGGCTGGCTAATTTTCGTATTTGTTTTTTTAGTAGAGATGGGGTTTCATGATGTTGGCCAGGCTTGTCTCAAACTCCTGACCTCAGGTGATCTGCCCACCTCGGCCTCCCAAAGTACTGGGATTACAGGCATGAGCCACCACGTCTGGCCCATCCTTACTCCTCATGTTCACCCTGCTCACTGCCCTGCAGCTGCCCGTGTAAACATATTCATTTCATTCGTTATCTGTCTCTCCTCACTAAAATGTGTATTTTAATATATAGTTAAATATAATAAGTGTATAAATAAACCTAATGTATTTTAGGAGAGGTTTCACCTAGAAGGTAAAAAGAAACAAACTTGTCTCGGTATCCAGAAAGTGTCTTCATTTGTCTGAAAAAATTAATAAGAAGGAGATAAGGCATAAGTATATTCTGATTTTAGAATTTTTTTTTTTTGCCATTTTCCTGCCATGTTTTGTAGGTTCTCCCAATCCAGTTGAGATTATTCATAAAATAAAAGCAATGTGTTCCTTTTTTCCCCAAGAACATTTTTTAACTTTTACATTTTCATTTAGAAAGAAAGGTTTTGGTGGAACTGCAGGAATGGCATTTGTGGGAACAGTGTGTTCAAGGAGCCACGCAGGCGGGATTAATGTGGTACGTTGTTCTTGATGTTTAACTTTGGATGTTTGCACTGGGACAATATCAAGCATTTATTGACTGTATACTTCCTCCCCTGGTCCTTAAAACAATATTTTGGGTGTTATGAGGAACACAGTAGAAGTCGCAGATGGGTTCTTTCCCCAGAGACTGGGTCAAGTTTTTAAATATGTGCTATGTGTTTATTAGCTCTTTTCTTTTTTATTCATTTTATTTTACTTTAAGTTCTGGGACACATGTGCAGAATGTCCAGGTTTGTTACATAGGTATACATGTGCCATGGTGGTTTGCTGCACCTATCAACCCGTCATCTAGGTTTTAAGCCCCGCATATGTTAGGTATTTGTCCTAATGCTCTCCCTCCCCTTGCTCCCCACCTCCCGACAGGCCCCGGTGTGTGATGTTCCCCTCCCTGTGTCCATGTGTTCTCATTGTTCAACTCCCACTTATGAGTGTAGCTCTTTACTTTTTATGGGTGAGGAAACATGTACTCCATTTTAGAGAATTAAATTAGAACCATTAACTTGTTTTCCTATAAACTACCATAAGTAATCTGTTGGTGCTAAAGTGGTTGACCTCTTGCTTGAAGGATCCATGTCCATCACGTGTGTGATTCATGTTACTTTCTTACTAGACTGAAATGTATAAAGACTGTTGTTGGATGCTTGATTTATCACGTAGGCTGTCAACAGTGTAGTGAATAAATTTCCTTTTGTGAAAAAATAATCTGAGCAGCAAAACATTTTCTTTGCGTTCAGAAACCTAATTACTACCTTCCTGTTCTGAACAGTTTGGACAAATCACTGTGGAGACATTTGCTTCCATTGTTGCTCATGAATTGGGTCATAATCTTGGAATGAATCACGATGATGGGAGAGATTGTTCCTGTGGAGCAAAGAGCTGCATCATGAATTCAGGAGCATCGTGAGTACCTGGGTTCTTCTTCTCCTTTATTTGGTATTGTAGATCCATGTTTCTTACACTGTGAGGGATATTCATGTCTACATTGGGAAAACAGGAAATGTTATTTCCGGTTTGCTGAAATTAATTGCATGACATACCAATGAGAAGTCTTTTTTTTTTTTTTTCCAGCCTTTTAGATTTAGGGGGTACATGTGGAGTTTGTTACCTGATGTATTGCTGAAGTCTATTTTTTAATTAAATGATTCCAGAGAGCTTTAAGAAGGCAATACTTATGTAGGCACAAGTATGTAACTACACTCTTCTGTAAACCAGTTATAGACTGAAAGTATAAGAACATGGCAAAGTTTATTATCTGAATTAGAAATTAAGAGGGAGTTTCTGCTAGGTTCAGTGTGGATTGGATTACACTGAAGGACTGCATAAGAAGTTTCTTCACAAACCTCTTTTTGAGAAAGTGCTGCATTGTCACTGTAGGTAGAAGAGATCCTGATATATTTCTATTAACAAACCCTGTTTTATAGAGATAAAGGTGGGAGGCAAGACAGAGAAGAGGAGAGAGAATGGTTAACATTTGTTAAGCTCTTTTTATGTACAGGCACTATTGTAGCCATTTAAAACGTATCCACTCACTTACTACTCATCAGTGAAATGAGGTGCACATACTTTATCTCCATTTGCAGATGAGGAAACTGAGGTCACACATCCAAATTGCTGACTGGGATTCAAAGTCAGGAAGTCAAAGCCTGTGATCTGAGAACCCTTTCCTGTCCCAGAGCTAAAAAATAATTATAATAGAAGATCCCATGGTGGTTGGGCATCAGAAATATAGATTTCTAATGCAGATTCGTTGTAATGCCAACGAGGTTCCTTCCTAATTTAGAAGGCAGGAGTCCTAAGCAGAGAGCTGAATGTAACTGTAGTTCGTACGTGTGTAGATGTTGAGCCTGAGTGAAAATTAGATATGAGAGGTGATATCTTTAACAAATACAGGACGGACCTGGTGGCTCATGCCTATAATCTCAGCAATTAGGGAGGATTGCTTGAGACCAGGAGTTCAAGACCAACCTGGGCAACACGGTGAGACCCTGTCTCTAAAAAAAAATAAATAAATAAATAAAAAATAAAATATTAACTGGGTGTGTTGGTGCGTGCCTGTAGTCCCAGCTACTCAGGAGGTTGAGGCAGGAGGATCACTTGAGCCCAGGAGTTCAAGGCTGCAGTGAGCTATGATTGTGCCACTGCACTCCAGCCTGGGCAACAGAGCAAGACCCTGTTTCAAAACAAACACAGATGAAGATTTCACATGGGGAATATCCGTGGCCCCAAGTGTTCATGCCACTTCCCACCTCCCTCAGGCTCCTGAAGCACTGACAGAGTAATAAAAACTTCTGTCAACCAGCCTTTCAGCTGAAGTTCTGAGTGGACAAGACAATTTCAATCACATGCTAGTATAAAGGGAAGCACTCAAGCAGAATTTACAGTTTTTGAACAAATACTAGGCTCAAAAATAGATATGGAAGAGTTAAAATAGTACTTACAAAAAGCCATGCTTCATAAAAAAAAAATTAGGTATGTAAGGAACGTCATATGTTTGTAAAAGATTTCCTGTAGGAGAGGGAAGTAAATTTAGGATTTGCTTTGGCCAGCAGTGAAGTTGAGAAAGACGTGAGTTCAGGGAAACAAGAAATGTGTAATGAGCAATGAGATAAGTCATAGATTAAAATAAAAAAGAAGCATTCAGAGGTAAGGAGGGAATGTTATGAAACAGTGCCATAGTGGAATTTAATATGGTATAGGAAGCAATGAAGAGTGGACCCATACTTTATTCACCAACTTGTCAAACATTTATTGAGCACTGACCACCTGCCAGACTTTGTTCTCAGCACTTGGAATACCTCAGTGAGTTAGATCGACTCACCCTTCAAGGAGTTTACATCTGGGGGGAAGACAATCTATAAACATAAGAAAATCAATAATATAGAGTGTTAGAAGGCGATAAGTGCTATGGGAAATAAAATAGAGCAGAATGTGGAGGATTGGGAGGACGGAGGGTGGTGAAACAACAGAACAGGCTTCAGTATGACAAAACTGGATGTTAATAACAGAAACCTGAGTGAGTTGGTATTTAAAACCACTCCCCTAAAGTCAACCCTGTGTCAAGCAGACTTACAGTATACTTAAAATATTTTGAGGAGAATGGTATTTTTGAATATTATATTTAAAACAGTGCATATTGACGTTTAAATATGAAGATAACATGATTTCAAATTTAAGGTATCCATCATTTTCCCAAGGGAAGAGCCAAAAAAGTGTTGTTGTTGTTTTTTTTTTTTTTTGGTTGACTTGAATGTGTATAAACTTGCTAGGGATACAGTAGATAGAAAGGGAGTGAACTGTTCATTACTGGATCTTGGAGAGTCTCTGTAGCCACAGGGGAGACTGACCCCATAGGAGTTGAGGTAGAGGGACACTGATAACATGAGGATACTGATAACATGAGGTAGAGGGACACTGATAACACTGATAACATGAGGTAGAGGGACACTGATAACACTGATAATAGAGAGGGTTCCAGGTGAATTATTCAGCCTTATTCTCCCAGTGACTTCTTATCTCTTGAATAGAAGTGGCCAAAGTGAGTACCTATGTCTTGTCCAGCTTAGTGGGAAAGCTTTTGATTTTTCACTGTGGAGTATGATGTTGTCTGTGGGCTTTTCATATATGGCCTTTATTATATTGAAGTGATTTCCCTCTTCCTAGTTTGTTGAGATCTTTTGTTGTGAAAGAATGTTGAATTTTATCAAATGCCTTTTTGGCACCTGTTGAGATGATTATGTGACTTTGATCCTTGATTCTGTTAACGTGGTGTTAATACATTTTTGTGTGTTGAACCGTCCTTGTGTCCCAGGTACAAATCTCATTTGGTCGGAGGGCCTGATGTTTCTGGTGTGTTGTTGAGTTCTGTTTGCTAGTATTTGTTTTGAGGATTTTTACATTTATGTTGCTAGGGATATTGACTTACAATTTTCTTTTCTGGTTGTCCCTTGTCTGACTTTGATATTAGGGTGATGCTGGGCTCATAAAATGAGTTTGGAAGTGTTCCTTCCTCTTCAATATTTTGAGAAGACTTTTTTTTCTTTTAAGCAGTTTTAGGTTCACAGAATAATCAAGAGGAAAGTAGAAAGACTCCTCCCATATACTTTCTGTCCCCACACTTGCATAGTCTCTCCATTTCAATATCCCTCAACAGAGTGGTATGGTTGTTAAAACTGACAAACCTATATTGACACATCATGATTTCTCAAAGTCCATACTTTATGGTTCAGTCTTGGTGTTGTGCATTCTATGGGTATGAACAAGTGTATGATGACAAGTATCCCTCATTATGGTATCATGCAGAGTATTTCCATTGCCTTAAAAAATCCTCTGTGCTCCACCTAGTCATCTCTCCCCACCCCTCCAACCCTTGGCAACCACTAATCTTTTTACTGTCTCCATAGTTTCGTGTTTTCCAGAATATCATATATTTAGAATCATGCAGTATGTTGCCTTTTCATATTGGCTTCTTTCACTTAGCAATATGCATTTAAGGCTCCTCATGTCTTTTCATGTCTTGATAGCTCATTTATTTGTAGTGCTGAATAATAACCCATTGTTTGGATGTACCACAGTTTAACCATTTACCTACTGAAGGACATATTGGTTGCTTCTAAGCTTTGGCAATTATGAAAAAAGCTGCCATAAGTGTCCGTGTGCAGGGTTTTGTGTGATCATGTTTTCAGCTCCTTTGGGTGAATACCAAGGGATGCGATTGCTGGATCATATGTTAAGAGAGT
Organism: Homo sapiens; assembly: GCF_000001405.40. Taxonomy (NCBI): domain Eukaryota; kingdom Metazoa; phylum Chordata; class Mammalia; order Primates; family Hominidae; genus Homo; species Homo sapiens. The sequence continues at coordinate 39,030,647 of NC_000008.11, forward strand.
ATGTTTAGTTTTGTAAGAAACTGCCAAATTGTCTTCCAAAGTAGCTATACCATTTTGTATTCCCACCAACAGTGAATGAGAATTGCTGTTGCTCTACATCTTTGTCAGAATTTGGTGTTGTCAGTGTTCTGGATTTTGGCCATTCCTATAGGCATGTAGTGGTATCTCATTGTTTCAATTTACATTTCCCTGATGACATAGGATGTAGATGATCTTTTTCCTTCTTTATGTCTTCTTTGTGGCATCTGTGAAGGTCTTTGGCCCATTGTTTAATCAGATTGTTTCTTTTCTTATTTTTTAGTTTTAAGAGTTGCTTGCATACTTTGGATAAGAGTCTTTTATCAAATATGTCTTTTGCAAATATTTTCTACTAGTCTGCAGCTTATCTTCTCATTCTTTTAATATTGTCTTTCACAGAGCATACATTTAATATTTTAATTCTTTCATGGACGATGCCTTTTGTGTTGTATCTAAAAAATAATTGCCATATCCAAGATGATCTAGGTTTTCTCCCATGTTATCTCCCAGGAGTTTTAGAGTTTTGAATTTTACACTTAGACCTTTGATCCACATGGAGTTAATTGTGGAGGATGTAAGATCTGTGTCTAGATTTATTTATTTATTTTTTGCATATGAATATCTAATTGTAGCAGCACCATTTGTTGAAAAGATTATCTTTTATTGTATTGCCTTTGCTCCTTTGTCAGAGATCAGTTAGCTGTATTTATGTAGGACTCTTTTTGGGCTCTCTATCTTGTTCTCTTTATCTATCTGTCACCTTTTGCTAATAACACAGTCTTGAAGCTTGTGCATGCGTCACATAGTTCTCGTGCCATGGTTTTCAGCTCCATCAGGCCATTTAAGGTCCTTTCTACCCTGTTTATTCTAGTTAGCCATTTGTCTAATCTTTTTTCAAAGTTTTTAGCTTCCTTGCGATGGGTTCGAATATCCTCCTTTAGCTTGGAGAAGTTTGTTATTACCAACCTTCTAAAGCCTATTTCTGTCAGCCTGTCAAAGTCATTCTCTGTCCAGCTTTGTTCCGTTGCTGGCGAGGAGCTGTGATCCTTTGGAGGAGAAGGGGCGCTCTGATTTTTAGAATTTTCAGCTTTTCTGCTCTGGTTTCTCCCCATCTTTGTGGTTTTATCTACCTTTGGTCTTTGATGCTGATGACCTACAGATGGGGTTTTGGTGTGGATGTCCTTTTTGTTGATGTTGATGCTATTCCTTTCTGTTTGTTGGTTTTCCTTCTGACAGTCAGGTCCCTCAGCTGCAGATCTGTTGGAGTTTGCTGGAGGTCCACTCCAGACCCTTTTTGCCTGGGTATTACCAGTGGAGGCTGCAGAACAGCAAATATTGCAGAACAGCAAATATTGCTGCCTGATCCTTCCTCTGGAAGCCTCATCCCAGAGGGGCACCCGCCTGTGTGAGGTGTCATTGGCCCCTACTGGGAAGTGTCTCCCAGTTAGGCTACATGGGTGTCAGGGACCCACTTGAGGAGGCAGTCTGTCTGTTCTCAGAGCTCAAACACTGTGCTAGGAGAACCACTGCTCTCTTCAGAGCTGTCAGACAGGGACGTTTAAATCTGCAGAAGATTCTCTTGCCTTTTGTTTAGCTATGCCCTGCCCCAAGAGGTGGGATCTACAGAGGCAGCAGGCCTTGCAGAGCTGTGGTGGGCTCCGCCCAGTTGAGCTTCCCTGGCTGCTTTGTTTACCTACTCAAGCCTCAGCAATGGCAGACGCCCCTCCCCCTGCCAGGCTGCTGCCTCACAGGTCAATCTGCCTGCTGCCCTAGCAGTGAGCAAAGCTCTGTGGGCGTAGGACCCGCCGAGCCAGGCGTGGGATGTAATCTCCTGGTGTGCTGTTTGCTAAGACCATTGGAAAAGCACAGTATTTGGGTGGGGTTGTCCCAATTTTCCAGGTACAGTCTGTCACGGCTTCCCTTGGCTAGGAGAGGGAAATCCCCTGACCTCTTGTGCTTCCTGGGTGAGGCGATGCCCCGCCCTGCTTTGGCTCACCCTCTGTGGACTACACCCACTGTCCAACCAGTCCCAATGAGATGAACCAGGTACCTCAGTTGGAAATGCAGAAATCACCATCTTCTGCGTCTGTTACACTGGGAGCTGCAGACCGGAGCTGTTCCTATTCGGCCATCTTGGAATGGCCACACGGTCTTGATTACTGCAGCTTTAGAGTAAGTCTTGAAGTCAGGTAGCACCAGTCCTCCAACTTTGTTCTTCTTCTTTACTATTATATTGGCTATTCTGGGTCTTTTGCCACCCCATGTAAACTTTAAAATCAGTTTTATCTATATCCACAAACTAATTTGCTGGGATTTTGATTAGGATCGCATTGAATGTATAGATCAAGTTGGGGAACTGACATCTTAATATTGAGTCTGCCTGTATGTGAGCATGAAATATCTCTCCATTTATTTAGTTCTTTGATTCTTTCATCAGATAGTGTTATAGTTTCCCCATAGAGATCTTATACATATTTTGTTAGATTTATACCTAACTCTCATTTTTGGGGGTCCTAATGTACATGATATTATGTTTTTAATTTCAAATTCTACTTGTTCATTGCTGGCATATAGGAAAGTAATTGACTTTTGTATATTAACCCTGTATCCTATAACCTTACTGTAATTGCTTTTTAGTTCCAGGAGTCTTTTTCAATTCTTTTTGATTTTCTACATAGATGATCATATTATCTCTGTACAAAGACAGTTTTTCTTTCTTTCCAGTCAGTATACCTTTTACTTTGTTTTCTTTTCTCACTGCAGTAGCTAGGACTACCAATCTGATATTGCTTTACCTTCCTCACATTTTTTTTTTAGCATTGACAGTGTGTTTTTTTTTATTTTTAATAGTTATGCTTCTAAAACATATTTAAATTTTATTTTTAATCCAAATTGAAAATATATGTCTTATAATTATATCACTTAATATATTTATATTTACTGTAATTACTGATCCATTTAATCAAATCTAAATGCCATTGATTATAAGATACACCACTTTTTCCATACCACTGAGAAAGAAATATGGTGTCAATGAAATTAATACGTCAATTGTAATCTGAAATGAATCTCAGTTTCAAAGTTATTTAAATATGGAAAGAATGTGTTTTAGAATCAATTAAATACAGCATTTGGGTTTAAATCTACCATCTTATATCTCCTTTATTTGTCTTCTTTTATGGTTTTTTTCTTAAAAGTTTTCGGTCTTAAATATTTAAGTTGATGGATGTTCCAATTACCCTGATTTGGTCTTTACACATTGTATGAATGGATCAAGTGATCACATGTATCCTGAGAATATATACATCTATTGTGTATCAGTTAAAAATGGGACGACAACAACAACAACAAAATCTTCTGTGTTATTTCTTTTGGGTTGGTAGAGTGTTTTTATATTTATTTTCACTTTGTAGAAATGGGTTCTTGTTATGTTGCCCAGGCTGGTTTTGAACTCCTAGGCCTAAGCAATCCTCCCACCTTAGCCTCCTGATGTGCTGGGATTACAGGTGTGAGCCACTGTGCACTGCCAGATAGAGTGTTTTTAGTAGATACTGTTTTTCTTCTAGACATATTTCTAGAATGGAAATTATGCAGTCTTTTATTTTTTTTAAAGTTACCCTAGAAATTATTACACATGTTCTTATTTATCATGTCTACTATTAAATCTTATCCTTCCCCACACAGTTCAAAGGCTATATCGTGCCTTAACTCCATTCATCACTTTCTTGACTCATATAGCTGTGTGCCAGGAAGATATTAGTGATTGTTTATCATTATTCATTTAGATTTTGACCACTGCCCTTGCTCTTTGGTCCTCTTGCATCTCTGACCTTCCATTTGGTATCCATTTTTCAGTCTGATCAAAGAACCAGTTTTGACTTTCCTTTAATGTGTTTTTAGTAGTAGTGTATCTCTTAGTTTTTGTTTTTGTTTTTCTCCTGAGGGTGTCTTTGTTTCTGTTTTTTGAGGATATTTTTGTTGAATATAGAATCGTAGATCATCAGTTATTTTTCATCATATTGGGATTTTTCCATTGTCTTTTGCTTTCCATGTTGTTGTTGAGATGTCAAGGTGTCAGACCATTATTCCATTGAAATGAATCTGTCTATTTACCTATGGCTGTTTTCACAATTTTGTCTTTAAACTTTTTTTTTTGACGTTTCATTATCATGTTCCTGTTGTAGAAAGAAAAAAATATACAACATGCATACATACGTATGTTATGTATATATAACACATTTACACATATATGTCTTCATATCCTGCTTAGAAATTTTTTAGTGTTTTAAAGTTTGTGGCTTGATATTTTTCATCAGTCGGAAAATTCTCAGTCATGTCTTTACATATTGCCTGTGTACACAGGGTGTCTGCACATTTGCTGTCTCTCTTACGCCTCTGTGATTCTAGTGAACTGTGTGTTAGACCTCACTATGTCTCCTTTGTCTCTTAGTTTTTTAAATATGTTTCCTATCTTTTTGTGTTTTTTTCTTCTGTGTAATTTCTTCTGATATCTTTCAGCTCACTGATTCTGTCTTCATATGTATTTTGTCTGTTGTTAAACTTATCCATTGAATTATTAATTTTGCTTATTTCATTTGTCAAATTTATGTCTGGTTCTTTTTCAAATCTGATATATTAGTTTTGTAGATTTTAGTTTCCTGCCCAAATTTTCATGCTTGTCACTTTTGTCTCTGATCATAGTAAGCATAAATGTCTTATGGCTATCATTTGATAATCCTAGAACTAGTATTAGGAGTCTTTATTGGACTTTATCTGCTCGTTTTTTTCTTTCTTGTAGTGTATTGTGGCTTCATGTGGTATTTTATATTGTGTAGCTGTTATATTTAAAATTTTTTTTAAGAATAATTTCTAGACCGGGTGCGGTGGCTCACGCCTGTAATCCTAGCACTTTGGGAGGCTGAGGCAGGTGGATCACGAGGTCAGGAGATCGAGACCATCCTGGCTAATACGTGAAACCCCGTCTCTGCTAAAAATACAAAACATTAGCCGGGCATGGTGGCGGGCGCCTGTAGTCCCAGCTACTGAGGAGGCTGAGGCAGGCGAATGGCATGAACCCGGGAGGCAGAGCTTGCAGTGAGCTGAGATCGTGCCACTGCATTCCAGCCTGGGTGACAGAGCGAGACTCTGTCTCAAAACAAAACAAAACAAAACAAAACAAAAAAAAGAATAATTTCTGAACTAGGATGAGGTTATCCTAGGTAATACATATTTTTTTCTCTTATTTTTCCTCAGATTCCTTTTTACTACCAAGCTGATATTAAACTTTCTTTTTTTGAGGGCATATTTCCTACCCTCTACTTCATAGGCTGTTTAATAAATGTTAATTTTCTATCATTTTGTTTGGCTTTTTTTTTTAGATGCTAGTGATGTACATGTTTCATTTTTTCCCCCTCAGATAACTCAGTCATTGGGAGCCAGTTCCATTTAATAAAATGGATAATCTACCCTCGTAATAAGATTTTTTTGTTATTGTTTATGATATTTTGGGGGCACAGTGGTATTCTTATGCATTGCTGTTAGATTCTGGAAAGTGTGAGTTGCTCTTCCTGGGAGGTGCCTTTCTAGAAAAATGGCTTTCTTAACTCTGCCCCTCAATGTCAGCAAGCTTCCATCAGCAAGCTTCCATAATCAGGTGTTTTTTTCTTAATCTAATTCAGTACCAGCACTTAGAATCTTCTCTTAAGACTTCCTAATCCTAGGCTGTGGGAATCAGCATAGTAATGGTGAAAATTGTGTTCTGGGAATTTTCAGAGGACTCAAATAAATATGTTTTGAATGATAGTTGAAATTTTTTTTTTTGTCATTTCCATGTAAAACATTTTCATTATTGTCGATCTCCTTTTGAAGCCATTTTGGGAAAATCACCTAGATGTGAGAAAAGAGAGGAGGAGAGGCTATAAATCATTAATATTGTAGAGTCTAGAGGTGATAGAGAGTAGAAATACTTGAGTTGCTCTTCAAGCCCCGTATCAGGAGAAAGATCATTCTTTTTGTTGCCATAGGTGCCAGCCAGTGATGGCTAGTGGAAGGGTATTTTCACTGTAGCCTCTAAAGCATTTTAAAGTCTCACTGAAGGCCAACACAGGGGATGTTGTTACTATCTCCCATCTGTTAAAAAGCACCACAAGTGTCTATGATTTTGTTATGCTTTTTAGTTCTATAGTCAATTCATGTGGGTGAATTTTTTTTTTTTTTTGGTAGATTGCTGAAGGATCAAGCATTTGAAACATTGTTTATAAGAAAATATCCTTCAACTACCAGATAATGAGCTTATTTAAAAAATAACTTGTTTAGAGGTGGTAGACTTTATGTAGGTTGAAATTAGGGACTAAAATATAGGACTATACATATGCCTGCGCAAGTTCTTTTTTTTTTTTTTTTTTTTTTTTGAGACGGAGTCTCGCTCTGTCACCCAGGCTGGAGTGCAGTGGCGCAGTCTCGGCTCACTGCAAGCTCTGCCTCCCGGGTTCACGCCATTCTCCTGCCTCAGCCTCTCTGAGTAGCTGGGACTACAGGCGCCCGCCACTGCGCCCGGCTAATTTTTTTTTTTTATTTTTAGTAGAGACGGGGTTTCACCGTGGTCTCGATCTCCTGACCTCGTGATCCACCCGCCTCGGCCTCCCAAAGTGCTGGGATTACAAGCGTAAGCCACCACGCCCGGCCTGCCTGCGCAAGTTCTATGGCCATTGTCTAATTAAATATATGTAATTTATAAATATATATTTATGTAGTATATATATTTAAATATATATTTAAGTGTGTGTGTGTGTGTGTTTTTTTTTTTTTTTTGGAGACAGGGTCTCTGGAGAGCAGTGGCTTGATCATAGCTCACTGCAGCCTTAAACTCCTCCCACCCCAGCCTCCTGAGTAGCTGGGACTACAGGTGTGCACCACCATGCCCAGCTTATTTTTTGTAGAGACAGGGTCTCATTATGTTGCCCAGGTGGCCTTGAATTCCTGGGCTCAAGTGATCCTCTTGCCTTAGCTTCCCAAAGCATTGGGATTACATTATTAAATATATTCCTACAGAAAACATTATTGCATGTATACCATGTAGCAGGCGCTGTGCTTACCACATAAAGATCAACAGTACAAAATAAAAAACAATTACAAGCCTCTGTTTAAACTGCAGTCTTCTTTGTTTATCAAATAATTATTTTATACTGCTTTGACATTTTTACTTGATGTCTAATAGGCTCAAACTCCTGTGATCCCTCCTAAAGTTGTCCTAAAATGTGATCTACCCATAGTCTTCCCCATGTGAATTAATGGTAACTCCTTCCTTCTAGTATCCCAGGACAACAACCTGGGAGTCATTCTTGATTTCTCTTTTTTCTCACTCTTCATCTTAATGGCTGTTCCTTTAAAACAAAAGCAATCCAACCACTTCTTACAGCTCCCACTGTTTCATTTTGGTCCATCATCATCTGTTTGGTGGATTTCTCTAAGAGCCTTCTTTGTAGTCTTCCTCTTAATAGAACAAGTATGGTGATCCTATTAAAACATTAGTCAAATCACATTACTCCTGCACTTTTCATGGTCTTCCCCTTCCAACTTCCCCATTCCACTTAGAGTAGAAAGCCACATTCCTACAATGGCCTATTCCTGTCTTTGCTGACTGTATCTCTCATGACTCATTTCCTCACTGACTCAGTCTGCCAGGAAAGCTTCTACCCCAGAGTTTTTGCATTTGCTATTCCTTCTTTCTATAGTGTTTTCCTCCCAGATACACAGTTTTGATTGAACTGTCACATATTTGAGGTGCCTGTCCTGACTGCCCTTTTAAAATCACAAGCATCCCTTCCTCTGCAGAGCTCATCACACCCACACCCCGTCGCCTTTTTTCCCCATAGCACTTATTACCTTATAATATGCTATCTAATTTATTATATAAGTAAATCACTGAATCATAATCATAACCTTTACATGGGCAGGGATTTTTGTCTGCTATGTTCACAGTTTCATCCCTTGCACCAAGAAGAATGCCTTGTACATAATAGATATTCAGTAAATATTTGTTGAGTGAGTGGTTGATTGATATTGCACAAAAGGACTCCTCCCCACAATATTCTTAGTAGCAAGAAAAAGAATAAGGAAGACAAGTCTTTCTGTTATTGACAAAAGCCTTGTGCTAAATGTTTTCTTTCCGTGAGTCAGAATTTTGTCTTTGCCTATTCTTTTGTCTCAAACCATTGATAGTTTATGTTCTTTCTTTTTTCTTTCTCTGCCAGTCTTTTAAAATCCTTCCACGTCCTACATCTAGATACTTTTTTTGTTTTTTTTGGTCAAACAGCAGTTAACAGTACCAAAATGTTCTAGGCAGACTGCATTCCAATCCAAGAGGCAGGAGTCAGTACTATCAACTTTTCTAGAGACCAGTTAGCAAAGAAGAGTTTAACATGACTACTCAGGGCAAAAAATATGTTTCTTAGAGTTCCTTGGATATACAAAAGACCAAGCTATAGATAGGGCTGCTTCTTCATTAACTAGAATGCAACATAGCTTTCACTCCTGCTGCTACTTCTGGTACCATTGCTCAAACTGATGAAAAGAGATTCAGGGTACCAAATTCCCTTGAAAAAATACAAATATATGTAAGATATAAATTTTATTGTATTTAAGATGTACAACATGTTTTGATGTAAATATAGGTGGTGAAATGGTTAGTCAAGCAGATTAACACATCCATCATTCCACATTGTTGCCCATTTTTTGTGTGTGTGGCAAAGAGCACCTATAATCTCTTTTAGCAAAAATCTTGAATGTAATACAATATTATTATCTATAGTCCTCATGCTGTACCTGAGATCTCTAGACTTGTTTGTCTTACATATCTGCTACTTTGTATCAGACCTACATGTCCCATTTCCTCCACCTCCACCATAATCAGTGTTTTATTTTCTGTCTCTGGATTTTCCACTTCTTTTTTTAGATTCCAAAATAAGTGAGATCATGCAACATTTTTCTTTTTCTGTCTGGCTTGCTTCACGCAGCATAACATCCTCCAGGTTCCTCCATGTTGTGGTAAATGTCAGGATCTCCTTTTATAAGGATGAATAATTACCAGTCTTATATGTGCCACAGTTTTGTCCATTCAACTGTTGACACTTTGTTTGTTTCCATATCTTGGCTAATGCTGCACTGAAAATGGGATAATACAGACGTCTTTATGAGGTGGTGTTTTCATTTTCTTTGGGTGTATACCCAAAAGTGAGATTGCTGGGTCATATGATAGTTCTGTTTTTAATTTCTTTAGGGAACTCCTATTGTTTTCCACAGTGGCTGCACCAATCTACATTCCCACCAACAGTGCTCAAGATTCCTTTTTTTCTATACTCTCACTAGCACTTGTCATCTCTTTTATTTATTTATTTATTTATTTGAGACAGAGTCTCTCTCTGTTGCCCAAGCTGGAGTGCAGTGGTGCAATCTCGGCTCACTACAACCTCTGCCTCCCAGGTTCAAGCGATTCTCCTACCTCAGCCTCCCAAGTAGCTGAGATTACAGACGTGCACCACCACACCTGGCTAATTTTTGTATTTTAGTAGAGACGGGGTTTTACCATGTTGGCCAGGCTGGTCTGGAACTCCTGACCTCAAGCGATCCGCCCGCCTCAGCCTCCCAAAGTGCTGGGATTACAGCGGTGAGCCACCATACCTGGCCGTTATCTCTTTTTGATGGTAGTCATCCTAACAAGGGTGAGGTGGTATTTCATTGTGGTTTTGATTTGCACTTCCTTGATGATTAATGATATTGAGCATCTTTTCATGCACCTGTTGGCCATTTTTATGTCATCTTTGGAGAAATGTCTATTTAAGTCTTTTGTTCATTTTAAAAATCGAGTTATTTGTTTTTCTACTATGGAGTTGTGTGAGTTTTAAAAAATATATTTTGGATATAAGATACATGGTTATAAGATACACCTTATAAGATATGTGGTTTGCAGATATTTTCTCCCAATCTGCAGACTTTTCATTTTGTTGGTTGTTATCTTTGCTGTGCAGAGCTTTTTAGTTTGATAGCTATAGTAATCAAAACAGCATGGTAGTGGTATAAAAACAGACACGTAGACCGATGGAACGGAATAGAGAGCCCAGAAACAAATCCAAACATGTGTAGTCAATTAATTTTTGACAAGGGCACCAGGAGGATACAATGGGGAAAGGATAGTTCTCTTCAATAAATGGTTCTGGGGTAACTGGATTTCTACATGCAAAAGAATGAAATTGGACCCTTATCATACACCATACACAAAAATCAACTCAAAATGGATAAAATACCTAAATGTCAGACTTGAAACTGTAAAACTTTCTAAGAAGAAAACGTTGAGGAAAAGCTCCTTGACATTGGCCTTAACAATGATTTTTGGATATCACACCAAAAACTCAGTCTACAAAAGCAAAAATAAAATAGAATTTTAATGTGACATGGATTCCTCAAAGATATAGGTGATGTATAGGTGTAATTTCCACTAGTTTTCAAAGGTAAAAATAGCCAGTGGGACTACCTGAAAGTATTTTATAGTTATTGAGTAAAGTAGTAGCTAAAAAAAAAATCCCAGGTAGAACATATCAAAATTGCATTTATATAAATCTCACATAGCTCAAGTTGGACATTTCTTAAAGGCCAACTAACTTTCAAAGTACTAACCACGGTTCCCAGGAATTATCATAAAATTTATTATATGTAAAGCTCAAGTTGAAAACTTGTCATATAGGAGTAGCTGAAATTCTACACTGTGCAGTCTGCCTTTTGATGGCTAGTGTGCATCTGAACTGGAGTTGCCCATTTGCATTATTTTTGCAGAGCTCCTAATAAGTGGTAATGGGCATGGGTGAACATAAAAATGTTATCCTTCAGAGTAGAAAAAAGATTGGAGACAACGTACAGCTACCTTCCAATATTTGAAGAACCTTTACTGTGTTAGATAAATAAAACTTTATTCTCATAGGACTAAATAATTTTTAAAGTCTCTTCTGATGCTGAGAATTATCATTTTGTATTTCAATGTAAGTGATATGTTTTAAAGATATTTTATTGGAAGTACAATATATTGTAAGAAAAGTGAATTATTATATAGTAGCTGAAGTAATGTTCAATATTTATCACAAGTAGATATGAATTCTCATTTCTGTCCACTTTTATTAGCTTCTTTTCTGTCATTTAAAATATTCACATTTTGTGGGTTAAAGTCATGACTTAACATTTTCAAAGTGAGTAATCACTGTGACATAGATCTTTTTCTTAATGTTTATTATAGGGGTTCCAGAAACTTTAGCAGTTGCAGTGCAGAGGACTTTGAGAAGTTAACTTTAAATAAAGGAGGAAACTGCCTTCTTAATATTCCAAAGCCTGATGAAGCCTATAGTGCTCCCTCCTGTGGTAATAAGTTGGTGGACGCTGGGGAAGAGTGTGACTGTGGTACTCCAAAGGTCAGTTTAATTTTTGACTTTTGCCTTGTAAAATTGCCATGATATTTGCAAGAAATAAAATGGCTTGCTTTGGGCAACTCTGACATAGGAGCTAAAGTAAAATTTAGTGGCACAGTGAGGATTGTTATTTTGTTTGTATGGCTGTGTTCCAGGGATTGGTCATCTCCTTCTTCTCAGAGTATGACTAACGGTGCCATCTGTTTTGAAGTCAGGGAATGTGCCATGTTTATTCTCTACTTTTTTAATGCTATTTTCTATGATTTATGGTTATTAGCTTATTTGCTTTAAAGAATGAATTTCACCTGGCTCTTTATTTGTAAGCTTTCACCATTCTGGCACTGCCATTGCAGGAATATTTATTTAGCTGGACTCATTTTAAAAATGAATTGGAGCTGGCCTGTCCTCCAGCGTCCTTCAGTATTCAAAGTTCTTGCTACTCAAAGTAGCACTCTAAAAAAAAAAAAATTCAAGTAGTAAGTAAAAGCAACCTTACACACGTTTATTTCCCCCATAAATCTTTTACTTCCTTTTTTTATGTTTGATGTTTTTCTTTTTAGACTATTCTGTTCATTTATATACAGTATACAGTAGGTACATTTATAAATATTGGGCTTGTTTTAGGATTTATTTTTACTTTAATGTGGTAAGAATACTTAGCATGAAATTGATCCTTCTAAGAGATTTTTAAATGTCCAGTACAGTATTGTTAACTCTGGGTACTGTGTTGTACAGCACATCTCTAGAACTTTTTCACTGTGTGTAACTGAAACTTTGTATCTGTTGATCGGCAGCTCCCCATTTTCCATTCCACAAGCCCCTGACCACCACTATTCTGTTCACTGCTTTTATGAACTTGACTATTTTAGATACCTAATATAAGTGGAATCAAATGGTATTATGTCCTTTGTGGCTGCCTTATTTCTCTTAGCATGGTATTGTATACTCAAGTTTCATCTACGTTATTGCAATGACAAGATTTCCTTCTTTTTTGGGAAATAGTATTCCATTGTATGTGTGTATATGTATGTATGTATGTACATTTTCTTTATCCATTCAACTGTTGACAGACATTTAGGTGGTTTCTACATCTTGGCTACTGTGAATAATGCTGCAGTGAACATAGGAATGCTAATATCTCTTCAAGATCTTGATTTTATTTTAGATAAGTACCCAGAAGTGGGATTGCTAGATCACATGGTAGTTATATTTTTAATTTTTAAAAGAACCTTCGTACTATTTTCCATAGTGGCTGCACCATTTTGCATTCTTCCCAACAGTGCACAAGGGTTCCAGTTTCTCCACATTCTTGCCGACACTTGTTGTCTTTTGTTTTTTTCCGTGATAGCAATCCTAACAGGTATGAAATTATATTTCATTGTGATTTTGATTTGCATTTCCATGATGATGAGTGACATTGAGCATCTTTTCATATACCTGTTGGCTATTTGTGTGTCTTCATGGAGCAATGTCTATTAAGTCTCAGGCCTGTTTTAATTATTTTTTTGTTTCTTTTAACATTTTTATATATTTAGGGGATGTAAATGCAGATTTCTTGCATGTATATATTGCATATTGGTAAAGTGAGGGCTTTTCATGTACCTGTCATTCAAATAGTGAACATTGTACCCAAAAGGTAATTTTTCAGCCCTCACACCCCTCCCATGCTCCCACTTTTTGGGGTCTCCAGTGTCTGTTATTCCACTCTGTACATCCATGAATACTGATTGCTTAGCTCCCACTTATAAGTGAGAACATGCAGTATTTGACTTTCTGCTTCTGAGTTACTTCAATTAGGAAAATTAACCCATTTTAAATCAGGTTATTAGTTTTTCATTTTTTGCTATTGAGCTGTAGCTCTTCCTGTATATTTTGAAAGTTTACCCCTTATGGTTTGCAGATATTTCCCCCTATTCCATAACTTGGCTTTTCACTCTGTTGATTGCTTCCTATGCTGTGTAGAAGGTTTTTAGTTTGATATAGCCCCACTTGTCTATTTTTGGCTTCTGTTGCCTGTAATTTTGGCATCATATCCATGAAATCATTGCCAAGACCAATGTCATGAAGCTTTTCCTCTATGTTTTCTTCTAAGAGTTTTACTGTTTCAGGCCTTATGTTTAAGTCTTTAATCCATTTTAAGTTGATTTTTGTGTATGGCGTAAGATAAGGTTCCAATTTCATTCTTTTGCATGTTGATATCCAGTTTTCCACGGGGGAAGGGACTACCTTTTCACCATTCTTTTTCTTAGCATCCTTGTTGAAGATCAGGTGATCTCATATGTGTGGGTTTTTATTTCTGCATTCTTTATTCTGTTCCATTGGTCTATATGTCTGAATTTTATTTTATTTTAGATTCAGGGGGTACATATGTATGTTTGTTACATGGGTATATTGTATCCTGGTGGGGATTGGGCTTCTGGTGTACCCATTACCCAAACAATGAACATTGTACCTTATAAATAATTTGTCAGCCCTCACTCTCCTCCTACCCTCTCCAGCCCTCACTCTCCTCCTACCCTCTCCTCTTTTGGAGTTACCCAGTGTCCATCACCTCCATCTTTATGTCCATGTGCGCGCATTGTTTAGCCCATGCTTATAAGTGAGAATATGCAGTGTTTGATTTTGTGTTTCTGAGTTAGTTCACTTAGGATAATGGCCTCCAGCTCCATCCATGTTGCTGCAGAGGACATGATTTCATTCTTTTTTATGGCTACATATAGTATTCCGTGGGGTGTGTGTATGTGTGTGTGTGTATACATACATATATATGTATATATATGTGTGTGCACACATACATATGTATGTATATATGTGTGTGCACACATACCTATGTATGTGTATATGTGTGTGCACACATACCTATGTATGTGTATATGTGTGTGCACACATACCTATGTATGTGTATGTGTGTGTGCATACATACATATGTATGTGTATGTGTGTGTGCATACATACATATGTGTGTGTGCATACATACATATGTGTGTGTGCATACATACATATGTGTGTGTGCATACATACATATATGTGTATATATGTGTATACATACATATATGTGTATATATGTGTATACATACATATATGTGTATATATGTGTATACATACATATATGTGTATATATGTGTATACATACATATATGTGTATATATGTGTATACATACATATGTATATGTGTGTGTACACCTATACATGTGTGTGTACACCTATACATGTGTGTGTACACCTATACATGTGTGTACATACATATAGGTGTGTGTACATACACCTATAGGTGTGTGTACACACACCTATATGTGCGCGTGTGTACACACACCTATATGTGCGCGTGTGTACACACACCTATATGTGCGTGTGTGTACACACACCTATATGTGCGTGTGTATACATATGTGTGTGTACATACATATATATGTGCATATGTGTGTATATATGTGTGTGTGTATATGTGTGTGTGTGTATATATATATATATATAAAAGATTTTTCTCATCCAGTCGACTGTTGATGGACACTTACATTAGTTTCATGACTTTGGTATTGTGAATAGTGCTGCAATGAGCATATGAGTGCAGATACCTTTTTTACATAACGATTTATTTTCCTCTGGGTAGATACCCAGTAGTGGAATTGCTGGGTCAAATGGTAGTTCTAGTTTTAGTTCTTTGAAAAATCTTTATACTGTTTTCCATAGAGGTTGAACTAATTTACATTCTCACCAACAATGTATAAGCATTCCCTTTTTTCTGCATCTGCACCAAGATCAGCCTTTTTTTTTTTGACTTTTTAATGATAGCCATTCTGACTATTGTAAGATGATATCTCATTGTGGTTTTAATATGCATTCTCTGATTTTCAATGATGTTGAGCATTTTTTCCTGTGTTTGGCAGCTGCTTGTATTTCTTCTTCTGAGGAATGGATTTTATTGAATCTGCAGATCACTTTGGGTAATATGGACAATTTACCAATTTTAATTATTCCAATCCATGAACATAGGATGTCTTTCCATTTATTTGTATCATCTTTTATTTCTTTTAGCAATGTTTTGTAAGTTTTTAGTGTGTGATCTTTTTCCTCACTTGTTAAGCTTATTCACAAATGTTTTGTTTTCAATGCTATTGTAAATAGCTTTGTTTCCTTAATTTCCTTTTTGTAGTTCATTGTTAGTATGTGAAAATGACCTTATTTTTGTGTGTCAGTTTTGTTTCCTGCAACTTTACTGAATTTATTTATTAGTTATAACAAGTTTTTTGATGGACTCTTTGGGATTTTCTATATGTATGATCATGTCATCTTAAAAGAGGGACAGTTTTGCTTCATTTCCGATTTAGATGCCTTTTAGTTTTTCTTGCTAATTGTTCTGGCTAGGACTTCCAATACTAAGTTGAATAGAAGTGGCGAGATTGGGCATCCTTGCTTCATTTCTGATCTCAGAGGAAAAGCTTTTTGTTTTTCACAACTAGGTATGATTTTAGCTATGGGAATTTCATATATGGCCTAATTATGTTGAAGTTATTTTCCTTTATTTCTAGTTTGTTGAGAGCTTTTTGCATGAAAGGGTGTAGAATTTTATCAAGTGCTTTTTCTGTATCTATTGAGATGATCATGCTATTTTTATCCTTCATTTTGTTAATGTGGTATATCTCATTATTTAATTAATTAAATTTTTTTTTTTTTGAGACAGGGTCTTACTGTTGCCCAGGCTGGACTGCAGTGCTGTGAACACAGCTCACTGCAGCTTTGACCTAATGGGCCCAAGTGATCCTCGTGCCTCAGCCTCTTGAGTAGTCGGGACTACAGGCATATGCCACCATGCCTCACACATTTTTGTATGTTTTGTAGAGAAGGGGTTTTGCTACATTGCCTAGACTGGTCTCGAACTCCTGGACTCAAGCAGTCTGCCTGCGTAAGACGCCCAGAGTGCTGGGATTACAGGTGTGCACCACTGCACC
The DNA here is from genome assembly GCF_000001405.40 of Homo sapiens. Lineage (NCBI taxonomy): Eukaryota > Metazoa > Chordata > Mammalia > Primates > Hominidae > Homo > Homo sapiens. The sequence goes on from NC_000008.11 coordinate 39,047,064, forward strand.
TGATCTCATTAATTGATTTTTGTATATTGAGCCTTAATTGATTTTTGTATATTGAGCCATCCCAATTTATACCCAAGGATAAATTCTACTAGGTCATGTTGTATTTTACTTTTAATGTGCTGCTGAATTTGGTTTGCTAGTATTTTGTTGAGGATTTTGCATCTGTATTTGTTTGGCACATTGGCCTGTAGTTTTCTATATTTGGCATATTGGCCTTGGTGATACAGTCTGCATCAGGATAATGCTGGCCTCATAAAATGAGTGGAATTTTCTCCTCCTCCTCTATTTTTTGGGTGAATTTTTAGAATGATTGGCATTAGTTCTTTAAATGTTTGGTAGATTTCACCAGTAAAGCCATTGGTCCTGTGCTTTTCTTTGCTAGGAGGTTTTTGATTACTGATTCATATCCTTACTACTTATAGGTCTGTTCAGACTTATTTCTTTATGATTCAGTCTTGGTGGGATGTGTGTTTCTAGGAATTTATCCGTTTCTTTTAGGTGATCCAGTTTGTTGATGTGTAAATGTTTATAGTAGTCTTTTATAATTCTTTTTATTTATGGCATCAGTTGAAATGTCTCCTTTCTCATTTCTGATTTTGAGTCTTCTCTTTCTTTTTCTTAGTGTAGCTAAGATTGGTTAATATTGCTTATCTTTTGAAAAATACTAACTCTTGGTTTTGCTGATTTTTCAATTCTTTTTCTAGTCTCAATTTTGTTTATTTCTGATCTGAAGTTCATTATTTCCCTTATGATAATTTTGGGTTTAAATTTTCTGTTGCTTTTCAGATTTCTTGGGTTGTAAAGTTAGGTTGTTTATTTGAGTTTTTTTTTTTAATATAGGTTATCACAGCAAGCTTTCCTTGTATTTTTTTTTTTTGACAGAGTCTCACTGTGTTGTCCAGGCTGGAGTGTAGTGGGGCAATCTTGGCTCATTGCAACCTCCACCTCCTGGTTTCTAGTGATTCTTGTGCCTCAGCCTCCTCAGTAGCTAGGATTACAGGCGCGCACCACCATGCCTAGCTAATTTTTGTATTTTTAGTAGAGATGGGGTTTCGCCATGTTGGCCAGGCTGGTCTCGATCTCCTGATCTCAGGTGATCTACCCGCCTTGGTCTGGGATTACAGGCGTGAGCCACCACATCTGTCCTCCTTTTAGTATTATTTTTGTTTTATTTCATAAGTTTTTACATATTGTGTTTTTTGTTTGTCCAAAAGTATTTTTTAATCTTGTGTTTGATTTCCTTTTTGACCCAATGGTTGTTCCACAGTGTGTTGTTTAATTTCCACATATTGGTGAATTTTCCATTTTCCTTTCTGCTTTTATTGTTGTCTTTTTCTATTCTAATTGCTAGTTTCATCCATTTTGGTCAGAAAATATATTTGGTATGATTTCAGTCTTCTTAAATTTCTGAAGACCTGTTTTGTGACCTAAAATGTGAGCCTGGAGAGAGTTCCATGTGTGCCTGAGAATAGTATGTATTCTGCCACTGTTGGGTAGAATGTTCTGTATATGTCTATTAGTTTGATTTGGTCTGTAGTGTTGTTCAAGTCCTGTGTTTCCGTATTGATCTTCTATCTAGATGTTTTATCCATAATTAAAATGCAGTCTTGAAGTTTCTTACTATTATTGTGTTGCTGTCTCTTTCTTTCTTCAGTTTTGTCAGTGCTTGCATTACATATTTAGGTGCTCTAATGCTGGGTGCATATATATTTATTATTGTTATATCTTCCTAGTGAATTGTTACTTTTATCATTATAAAATGTTTTTCTTTGTGTTTTGTGACAATTCTGACATAGAGTCTCTTTTCTTTGATACAAATATAGGTACCCCTGCTCTCTGTGGTTACCATTTGCATGGAATATCTTTATCCATTCTTCACTTTCAGCCTATATATGTCCTTAGAACTATAGTGAGTCTCTTGTAGATAGCATATAGTTTTTTTTTTTTTTTTTTTATCCATTCAGTATGCTATGTGTTTTTGTTGGGGAGTTTAACATATTTACATTTAAAGTAATTCTTGATAGGGAAGGATTTACTGTGATTGTTTTAAATGTTTTTTGTTTGTCTTGTAGCTCTTTTGCCTGCCCTTTCTTGCTGTTTTCCTTTGTAATTTTTTGATTTTGTGTGTGTGTTGATAATTCTTTTATCCCTATTCCTTTTTCTTTTGTGTAACTTCCTTCTATAGGTATTTGTTTATGGTTACCTTAGAGCGTGCATAAAATATCTTGTAGTAATAACAGTATTTTTAAGCTGATAACAACTTAACCTCAATTACATACAAAAACTCTTCACTTTAAGTTCTCCCATTACACAGTTTATGTTGTTGTTACAGTTTACAATCTATTAATATTGTGTATCTTCCAACATATTTTTTATAGTTTTTTTTTTTTTTTTTGAGATGGAGTTTTGTTCTTGTTGTCCAGGCTGGAGTGCAGTGGTGCGATGGCTCACTGTATCCTCCGCCTCCTGGGTTCAAGTGATTCTCCTGCCTCAGCCTCCCAAGTAGCTGGGACTACAGGTGCCTGCCACCACGCTTGGCTAATTTTTGTATTTTTAGTGGAGATGGGGTTTTACCATGTTGTCCAGGCTGGTCTCGAACTCCTGACCTCAAGTGATCTGCCTGCCTCGGCCTCCCAAAGTGCTGGGATTACAGGCGTGAGCCACTGCGCCCGGCCTATAGTTACATTTTATACTTTTTCTTCTAAATTTACACTAGAAGTGAAAGTGATTTACCCAGTACCATTAACAGCAACACAGTATTTTGCATTTGTCTATATATTTATTCTTACTAATTAATTTTATACTTTCTTATGCTCCTGTGTTGCTGTCTAGCAGTCTTTCATTTCAAGGTGCAGAACTCCATTTCACATTTCTTAGAAGAAAGGTCTAATCATGATGAACTTCCCTGCTTTTGTTTTTCTAGAAAAGTCTTAATGTCTTCTTCATTTTTAAAGGATAGTTTTGCCAGATATAGGATTCTTTCTTGGCAGTTTTTTTCTTTCATTACTTTAATATGTCACCTCATTAACCTTCTGGCCTGCAAGATTTCTGCTGAAAAATCCACTAATGGCCTGATGGGGGTTCCCTTGTATGTGATGAATTGCTTTCTTTCTTACTGCTTTCAAAATTCTCTTTGTCTTTTGATAATTTGATTGTAATGTTTCTTGGTGTTGATTTCTTTAGATTCTTCTTACTTAAGGTTCTTTGGGCTTCCTGCATCTGGACGTCCATTTCCTTCCCCAGATTTGGGAAAATTTCAACCACTACCTCTTTGAAATAAGCTTTTTGGTACTTTTTCTTAGTCTGCTCCTTGTGGGATTGCCACAGTGTGTATATTAGTCTCTTGATGGTGTCTCATAAGTCCCTTAAGCTTTCTTCACTTATATTTCTTTTTTTTTTTTTGCTCCTCTGACTTGATAAGGTAACCCGACTTTGAGTTTGTTGAATCTTTATTCTGTTTGCTCTGATCTGCTGTTGAACTCCTCTGTTGCATTTTTCCATTAAGTTGGTGTATTCTTCAGCCCCGAAATTAGTGAGAAGACCTTCACTAGTTAACCTGGCCAGAGCTTTTTTGGGCCTCTCAAACTTTCATGTTTGTTATACTGCCTTTTCTATTGTTGTTAGCGCTCAGTGTCTACAATATGCTGGAGCCTATCAGTGTTCTGAGAGGGGAGAAAGAAGTGAATTTGTTGGGCAATCCCTAGAAAAGTTGGAACATGTGACATGTGGTCCAACAGTTTCTCTTTCCAGGGAAAAGCTTGGAAGTGTTTTTTTTTTTTTTTTTTTTTTTTTAATCACTATGTTAAACTGGGTAGAGGAACTGTGGCGAGTGTCTGAGTGATAGTTTGAACAACCACCTTCATTCTTTGTAGCCTTCAGGGGTCTAGCACATACCAGCTCCATCTGTGCTCTGAGAGAGGAGAGGGAAAAGCCAATTTCTTGGGTAGCTCCTAGAAAAATTGTAGCGTTGGATGTGTGGTCCTCCTTTGGGAGAAGCTAGGAGCTGTGGCAAGTGCCCACATGCTAGTTTAACCTACTACCTTTGTTCTCTGAAAACCCCAGGGATCTAATATATTCCAGGTCCTATATGTTGTCAGAGGCAGATGAGATAGAAGGTAGTCCCTCAGGAAGCACTCTAAAAAACTGTAATATTGGATGTGTGGCCCAACTCTTTCTCTCCTCAGGGAGATGCTGAGAGCTGTTTCCTCCTGATCTTATATGACGCGTCATGAGTTGGGATTGCGGCGAGAAAGGATCTCCAGTTTTCCTACTGGTTTCAGTGTGGCTGGTTTTACAATTGCCTGGGATGTAGTAGCCTCTCAACTAGTTTCTGGATTTCTCACAAAGGGAATTGATTAGTGTGTTACTGTTGAATTGCTGACTTTTTATAGGAGATTTGTTAGCCTCCAATAAAAGTTAAAATGTACATGCTTTTAGATCTAGTAATTCTACCTTTATGTAACTATCTTAGAGAAATATTTGTGTATATACACATGGGGAGTGTACAGGGATGTTTATTGCAGCACTGCCTGTTGGAGGAAGGAGAATCCAGAGCTTTCTATTCTCCCATTTTGGTGATGCCACTCTGGCTTTTATTTTTGTGCATAAATAAAATCAGACTTAATATTGTTTAAAATTGACTTAAAATCTCTTGTGTGCAGATTTTTTTCTATTACGATATCCTGGACATTTTTCTGTATCATTTTATTATGTAGACATAGCCCTTTAATTTGCTGAATAGTATTCCAATACAAGGATTTACTATGATTTATTTAACCATACTCTCATTAATTACTGTAATTAGTGTTTTCTATTGTAAACAGTGCTGCCGTATACATCCTTGTACACACCTCATGTGTATATATACAAACATACACACCTCATGTGTATATATACAGATATACACACGTCGTGTATATATACAAATATTTTTCTATGATAGTTATTGTACATAAAGGTAGAATTATTGTATCTAAAAGCATGTACATTTTAACTTATATCAGAAGCTAATGAATTTCCTATAAATAGTGTGGGTCAGTTTGCATTTCTGACAACAGTATATTATGCCATTGTGTACCCATAGTCTTACCAGCACAGGATAATATGTTTTCTTAATTTTGGCAAGCTGATGGGTAAAAAATAAGAAGATACTGTTTTAGTTTACAGTTTTTCATGTGATTGTAGATTATAGGCATCATTTTCTTCTATGAATTATTATTTTATGTATTCCTTATCAGTTCTGTTGGTTCATTAAATCTTCTTTTAAATTGATTTTTAGACCTCTTTCTATAAGATGGACATAACTCCTTTGTTATATATGTTCTAATATTCTTTATTTATAGCTTATTTAACTTTTCATAGGTTACATTTTATGTTGAAATTTAAAATTTAAATGAAGGCAAACTTACTAATTTTTTTCCTGTAATGGTTTCAGAAATTTGTATCTTGACCTGGTTTTTAGTATTCCTATATATAGATCATCATCATAGCCCCTCTACAAATTATTTTAGTTTTTTTTAAATTTAAAATTTTTATGTTAACTCTTTTAATTGAGGAGGGGGCATGTGGAGTAAGCTTGGAAATTAAACTTATCCACTAATGATCAGTTGTTGTGGAACCATTTAAAATGGTTCTTTTACGATAACCTAAGTTCCTATATACATTATCTATTTCCTGATTCCCTATTCTTTCATGAAGCCAACTGTCCTGCAGTGTTTTTGAACTGGCCAGCATTCACCTTCAAATCTTTATGTGAACTTATGTTTTTAATACTGTTGGGTAAATGTCCCGGAGTAGAATGACTTGGTTAGATGGTAGAGGTATTTAACTTTTCAAGAAACTCTCAAACTGTTTTCTAAAGTGATTGTTCCATTTTTCATTTCCATCCTTAGTGTATGGGAGTTCTAATTGTTTCATATCCTGACCAATACTTCGTGTGGTCAGTGTTTTTAATTTTAGCCATTCTATTGAGTGTGAGGTGGTGCCTCATTGAGGTTTTAATTTGCATTTCCTTAGTAACTAATGATGCATTGAGCATGTTTTCATGTGCTTTTTTGCCATCAGGCTATCTTATGGTGATATGACTGTTCAACTCTTTTCCCTCATTTAAAAATTTTGATTACTTATTGTTGAGTTTTGAGAATACTTTGTGTATTCTGTATACAAGTTCTCTATCAGATTGTCAATATTTTTTCCAAGTTGTAGCTTGCCTTTAATTAACTTAGCAGTATATTTTGAAGAGCAGAACTTTTTCATGTTGATGAAGTTTATTTTATAAACTTGTAATTTTATCGGTTGTTCTTTTGGTGTCCTATCTAAGGACTTCTTGCCTGCTCCACAGTTGCAAAGGTTTTCTCCTAGAAGTTTTATAGTTTTAGGTTTTACATTTAGTTCCATGATGCATTTTGACTTTTTTTGGGTATATTTCAAGATGTACATTAAAGTTCATTTATTTTAAAATGTTTATTATGAAATAATTATAATCTGAAAAGAAGTTGCAAAATAATATAGAGTCCTGTGTACTTTTCACCCAGTTTTCCTTAGTGGTGACATCTTATAAAGCTGTACCACAGAATACAAAACAGAACATTGACATTGCTATTTTAACAGAGAAGATGTCTCTGTGGGTGGGAGTTTGGGGGTAAGAAGGAGCCATGGTGGCCCAGAGTATAGTGAGAGAAGCCAAGCAAGGTAAAAAAGAGTGTTCAGCTAGGGTGAAGAGCCATCCAACAGAGAAGTTAGACCCTGAGCATGAAGATAAATGCCTTTATGGACACTGACCTCTCTGTGATCATCAAACATACTGTTATGAACTGAATGTTTGTGCTTCCCCAAAACTCATGTGTTGGAGCCAGCCACCAGCATGGCTACATTTGGAGATGGGGCCTTTAAGGAAGTAATTAAGGTTAAACGAGGTCATAAGGATGGGGCCCTGATCCACTAGGATCAGTGTCCTTGTAAGAAGAGACACCAAACATCTCACTTGCCGTCTCTCTGCACACATGCACTGAGGAAGGGCTATGTCAGCACACAGCAAGAAGGCAGCCCTCTGCAAGCCAGGAAGAGAATCCTCACTAGAAACTGAACTAGTAGGAACCTTGATCTTGGATTTCTAGCCTCAAGAACTGTGAGAAAATAAATTTCTGCAGTTTAAACCTGTGGTATTTTGTTATGGCATTCTGAGCAGACTAAGTAAGGCACATACTATATGATTTCTGTCCTTTGAAATATGTTGAGACTTATACTTGCAGCTGAAGAGACATTGTTAAATCCAGAAACAGTAAGCAACTGTTTCTGGAGGGTAACTGCTACAATCATGTTAGAATGAAGTAGATTTTAGGTGTAAGATGAGAATTTTATTAATGAGTATTCATGTCAATTACTAATTTCTTTATTGACAGTCATTTTATGTTCACAGGAATGTGAATTGGACCCTTGCTGCGAAGGAAGTACCTGTAAGCTTAAATCATTTGCTGAGTGTGCATATGGTGACTGTTGTAAAGACTGTCGGGTAAGGAATTCCTCCCTTTTGGAAACAGGAAAAAAAAAAAAAAAAAAAAGAAAACCTGTGTATATCAAAATTTGTTTTTTGAGATTTCTGAGTCAGCACTATTTTTATTTTATGGTCATGGGAAAAATTTTATGCCACTTGTGTATAATTTTAAAGCACACTCTTTTACGTTAAGTGGTCTGTTGATATTGTTTTCTAAGTAGAAACATTTTTTTTCTGATTTTTAGAGTAACATATGCCTGTTAGAAATAATTAAATAACATGAAACCATAGAAAGTAGAGAATGAAAGATCCTCTATTATTTTATACTCTTCAGGTAACCACTGTTGATAATTTGTTAATATAATCACGTTTTTTCTATACAAATGTGAGTGTATGTGTGTATGTGTGTTTTTAAGTGGGTAAGCACAGATACATATATTTTTACTACCTGCTTTTTTCAATATGACACCATGGACTTTTTTCCCATTCATGTAGTTCTATAATACATGGTTATTTAAGTAATATTACTTGTATAGTTGTACCATAATTTCTTTAGTCAACTAATGATGGACATTTTGATTACTTCCAGTTACTGCTTATAAGAGAAATCACTGGTGCAGAATATTCATACTAAGTTTTTGATATACATTTTATATATCTTTCACACATATGCCAATCTATACTTCTACCAACAGTATTATCAAATACTTGTTTCCTTATGCCAATATTGGGTACTAGCAGGCACTATACTCCTAGTTAATTCAATAGGTGTAAAGGGTTCTTGTATTTTTATTTAGTTTGCATTTCTTTTGGTTACAAATGAGGTCATGTTTCTTTACTTTCCATAGTTAGGACTTACATGAATTACCTGTTGTTAGCCATTGTTCATTTTTCTGTTGGGTTATTTAATCTTTTGCTATTGTTAGAATGCTTTATAGATGTAAATGCTGTGGTTTCACATTTGATTAATTTGTGGACATTATCCTGATATTTCTGTTTAATTTGAATTCTATTTCACTAGTTCCTTCCAGGAGGTACTTTATGCCGAGGAAAAACCAGTGAGTGTGATGTTCCAGAGTACTGCAATGGTTCTTCTCAGTTCTGTCAGCCAGATGTTTTTATTCAGAATGGATATCCTTGCCAGAATAACAAAGCCTATTGCTACAACGGCATGTGCCAGTATTATGATGCTCAATGTCAAGTCATCTTTGGCTCAAGTAAGATATCATCATTTATAATTGATTGCTTCGATATTATTTATTTTTGATTTAGATATTTTAAAAAAGGTAATGAAACATTATTGATAAAGTTGAGGCTCTCTTGTTTCTCATCGTATTTCCTTTCTTCTTTGGAGGCAGTCATGATCATGAATTTAATATGCACAGATTCAGTTGATGTTTTCTTATTTTTACTGTCTATATCTTTTTATATTTTGTGTATCACGCACACACACAGATACATATATAGTATCTAGTTTTAATAATGTTGAATTGTGCACAAGGATCTGCTATTTGCATTGTTCACTCAGAATTTTCTTGAAATTCATCTATATTGATATATTTATATTATAGTACATTAAAGTATTCCATTAGATGAATGGATCATGATTTAGTTATTCTCTTACTGATAGATATTTGGGATTTTTAAAAAATTTATGTATTTTTTCTTTTAAAAGTTCTTATTTTTATCAAGGGCATACATATAAAGAGCCAAATTATTGTGTAATGCATAGTATGAACAAATAAGGACTGTTCCCACCCACTATTCCCATCACTTGAGGCAGTTTTACCTTTTTTGGCTAAGATTTTTGTTAACTTGTGCTAGGTTTTTAGATAATCTCTTGGCAATGCGACGTTTTGATTTTTTTGTTCTAGGCATTAGTTATTAATTTCTCACTATAGAAGATGAGTTAGTTTTCTTTCCTTCTCTTCCTTCAACCCTTAACAACTCCCATCATACCTATGCTGATTTTCCATTCTTCATCCTCCCAATAGTTAGGGCAGTGATGACTGTGTATTGTATAATGGCCACATTAATGCTCTTCACAACTAAACTGTATAGTAAGTTATAATTACTTGCCTGATTTCTCTAGAGTTACTAATTCTGTCTTTCTGTTTCTCTCTCTCTCTTTTGGTTTGGTTAATTTCCTATGTACTTTCCATTAATTGACCTGTATATTGTTAACCATTGGCCTGATTGTGCCTTGAGTTGATTAGTGGCATCAAGTATTCTATTTATTTCAATTTGTTCAAATAAGTCTGAACAGAAGGCCTCTGTTCCTCTTCAGTCTTGACTGGTTTCCCTCTGTATAGTTAGTTAGGGTTCTCTAGAGAAATGGAACCATTGTGTTGTGCGTTTATGTATACAGTCATATACCGCATAACAACATTTTGGTCAGTGAGAGATTGCATATACAACAGTGGTCTCATAAAATTATAATGCTGTATTTTTACTGTAACTTTTCTATGTTTAGATATGTTTAGATACCTTTTCTATGTTTAGATACGTTTAGATGCCATTGTGTTACCATTGCCTACAGTATTTAGTACAGTGACATGGTGTACAGATTTGTAGCTTAGGAGCAATAGGCTGTACCACATAGCCTAGATGTGTAGTAGGCTATACCACCTAGGTTTGTTTAAGTGCACTCTGTGATGTTTGCACAATGACAAAATCACCTAACAACTCATTTCTCAGATCATATCCCTGTTGTTAAGTGACACATTACTGTAGATATTACTGTATATATAATCTGGAGGAATTATTACGTGAATCTAATATTTATATATAATATATAATTTACATATAATATATTAAATATATAATATCTTATATATGTATTACATGAAAATCAAATATATTCTCCTGGAGGAATCTGATATATTAGATTCATGTAATAAATCCTGCGTAATAGCATGAGCCCATATATGAATTGGCTTGTGTGATTGTGGAAGCTGCTAAGTGTCAGATCTGCAGGGAGAGTCAGCAATCTGGAGACCCTGTAGAGCTGATGGTATAGTTCCAGTTAGAAGTCTGGCAGGCTCATGACCATGGAAGAGCTAGTGTTTCAGTTCAATTCCAAAGGCAGGAAAAAAGCTGATGTCTCATTCCAAAGGCCTTCAGGAAGACTTTTCTCTTACTTGAGGGAGGACTGGCCTTTTCGTTCAAGTTTAAAATTGATTGGATGGGGCCCACCTCCAATAGGGAGGGCAGTCTGCTTTACTCATCCTACTGATTTCAATGTTAATCTCATCCAAAATCACCCTTACAGAGACATCCGTAATTATGTTTGATTAAATATCTGGGGATTCTGTGGCTCAGTCAAATTAACTCTACTAAAAAGGGTAAAATTAACCCTCATCAAAAATCCACTCCTTGTCAGCTTGAAACCCATAGACACCTTAAACCATACCAAATCTCCAAATGTGGACCTTGTTAAGGGCATAATTCCACCTAGCATGATATAATAACACTATCCTGCATGCAACTAAAACCTCACTAACCTCTTTTCCAGAAAAGGAGGTAAAGTGATGTTTATTCTTCTTCTTGATATCCCATAACTTAAATACTGGGATATAAAATTAACAATACTTAAATGCTATAATATCAAGTCAATATGTCTTATGCTGCATGATAAAGGTATAAGGAATGAGAACATATTTGCTCAGTACGTGTGTGTGAATGCACACACACATACACACATGCAGCTATTCTTAATGAAACAGTCTTCGTTTCTGCAACTGGTCATGTGGTTGTAGCTGGTATTTATAACTAACTTCCACCCATTCTGTATTCCCTTTGCCTTCAGCAAGCACGTTAGCTGTTTGTGGTTCTTTACCTGTTAGGGTGACCCAAACTGTCGTTCTTGAAGGGTCTGGGCCATTTGTAGTCCTTCCTAGATTGGGTTGTTAAAGTTTTCCATTGAACTTAAACTTAATCATGAAGCATGGTAATACTAAGAGATGCCCTAAGGGATCTCCGGCATTCTAGACATACTCTTCCTTGCCTCCATTTTGGAGTAGTAGGCCAGTTTCCCTTTGGTGGTTCGGATCAGTAATTCTACCTGGCATAGAAACTGCCTTCTTTGCCTGTTGACTTGGAGGTATGAGGAGCCAATGTGGCTGGGCCTCTGGCTTAATTTCTAGTTCAGTAGAATCATTATTGTGGCTCCTGGTGGCAGCATTCCTCCTTTTGGAACTAAGGCCTCTAGTCCAGTAGAGCATAAGGTCGTGGGAACAGGAAACAAAATTTTGCTAGTGGGTCACTATGGATAATGGTGAGTGGTGTTTCTCCCATTTCCACCCCTTGATACCTGGACACGTGAATCCTGGTTATGGGAAAATCAGCATTGGATGTTGGCTGCTGATTGAGAGCATATACAGCCTTTTGGAGAACCTTGCCCCAGCACTGTAAGGTATTGCTACCTAGTGGCACTGTAACTGAGTCTCCAAAAGGCATTTCCACCATGCTGTCAGCCAGCTGCTTCAGGATGGTGGGGAAGGAACATGGTAAGGCCAGTGAATTCCATGTGCATGGGCCCATTGCCTCATTTCATTTGCTATCAAGTGAATTCTTTGGTTTGAAGCAGTGCTGTGTAGAATATTATGATGGTGGGGGAGGAATTCTGTATGTCCACAGAAGGTAGTTTTGGTAGTTCACAGGAGTGTTGCTACAGAGATGGCAAATCTATATCAAGAGTACGTGTGTCTGTCCCAGTAAGAACAAAGCACTGCTTCTTTCATCATGGAAAGGGAAAAATGTAATCAACCTGCCACCAGGCAGCTGACTGACTAACCTAGGGAATGGTGTCATACTGGGGACTCAGGATTGGACTTTGCTACTGGAGAATTTGGGCACTTAGCAGCAACAATGCCAGGTCAGTTGTTGAGAGGAAGTCCATGATGCTGAGCCCACGCATCGCCTCCAACCCTGCCACTGTGAGTACGTGGTTCCTGAGCCCATGGATGAGAATAGTTGGCTGGGGAAAGAATGAGTCATCCTATCTACTTGATTATTAAAATTCTCCTCTACTGAGGCCACCCTTTGGTGAACATTCACATGGGACACAAATATCTTTGCCCTACAACCCAGTCATGGGCCATAGCCCATAAATTGGTGTATAATCACGTCTGGCTGTTTCTTCTCCCAAGGAAAGTGAACAACCAGGTGCACTTCAGGGATGTCCCAGAAAGGGGCTGCAGTGCTACAGTCATCCACTTTTGGTTCTTCATATCATATCATGTGTAGAACCATCTGCAAACCAGGTCTCCGTCTTCTTTTCTACTGTCACCTGATGGGTAGGAAGTTCCCCGTGAGGTCATAGTTGCTGGCTAGGAGAGAAAATGTAGTGTAGCAGGAGTGGGGAGCAGGGGCATGTGGGGCACTTCTTTATGTAACTTGTGCCTTCCAGGCCTTGGTTTGGCTCAATTACATACGTAGCACTTCCATTTCATGATGGGGTGCTGCTGCATATGCCCAGCTTTATAGCTTGGTGAGTCAGATGACATCCAGTTTATCATGGGCAACTCAGGTTGAATGGTAACTTGGTGGGTGGCCCATGGTTAAATGTTCAATTTCTACTTTAAGGCCCAGTAGCAGGCCAATAGTTTTTTCTCAAAAGGAGAGTAGTTATTCGCAGAGGATCACAAGGCTTTGCTCCAAAATCCTAAATGCCTGCACTGCACCTGACCTATAGGGAACTGTCGGAGGCGCTAAACAGCATTTCTGTCTGTAACTGCTGCTTCAAGCACTGTTTGATCTGCTTGATCAAGTGGGCTAAGCAGCAGAGCATCTTGCCTGACAGCCTGGACCTATTGCAGAGTTTCTCTTTGTTCTGGGCCCAGCTCAAAACTAGCAGCTCTTTGGGTCAGTGGGTAAATGGGCCAGAGTTATGCAACCAAATGAGGAATATTTTGCCTTCAGAAATCCAAATGGACCTCTAAACATTGTGCCATTCTGTTGGTTGTGGGAGTGGCCAGATGCAACTTCTTCTTCCCCTTAGAAAGGATATCTTGACATGTCCCACACCACTGGACATGTAGAAATTTCACTGAGGTAGAAGGCACCTGAATTTTTGTCAGATTTATTTTCTACTTTTTGTCGTGCAAATATCTTGCCAGTGACAAGAATAGTTGCTGTTTCTTGCTCACTAGGTCTAATGAGCATAATGTTTTCAATGACTAGTGTGATATTTTGTGGAAGGAAAAGGTAATCAAGATCCCCAAAACTAAATTATGACATGGGGCTCCAGAGTTGATATTCTTCCTAAGTAGGACAGTGAAGGTGTATTGCTGGCCTTGCCAGCTGAAAGCAGCTGCTTCTGGTAGGCTGTGTGGATGGGTATAGGTAAAGGTTTTTTCAGATCACAGCTGCATACCATGTATTAGGGGATGTGTTAATTTGCTCAAACAATGAAATACATTTGGTATAGCAGCTTCAGTTGGAGTCACCACTTAGCTAAGCTTATAATAATCCACTATCATTCTCCAAGATCTGTCTGTCTTCTGCACAGGGCAAATAGGTGAATTGAATGGAGATGTGATGAGAGTCCCTGCCCCTGCATCTTTCAAGTCCTTGATGTTGACACGAATCTCTGCAATCCCTCCAGAGATGTGGTATTGCTTTTGGCTTACTATTTTCCTAGGTAGAGGCAGTTCTAGTGGGTTCCACCTGGCCTTTCTTACCATAATAACCATCACTCCACAGGTCAGGGAACCAGTGTGGCAATTCTGCCAGCTGTTGAGTGTGTCTGTTTCAATTATGCATTCTGGAATTGTGGGAAAAAACCCACAAGGTGGGTTCAGGGACCCACTAGGCCTGCTGTGAGATGGACCTGAGGTAAAACTTCATCTATCACCTGACCTTCATAAGCCCCTACTCTGACTTCTTGACCACAGTGACATTTTGGGTTTGCTCAATTATTTCAGATATAGGGTTCTGTGTTCCTGAAAGGTCGAATTTTTTTCTCAGTGCACAGTGTCTTAGTCTGATCAATTCTGTCTCAGTCTATTTTGTGCTATTATAACAAAATGCCACAGACCGGGTAATTAATAGTGAACAGAAATTTATTGGCTTCTGGAGGCTGGGAAGTCCAAGATAAAGGTGCTGCCATCTGATGAGGGTCGTTTTGCTGAGCCATCACATGACGGAAGGTGGATGGGCAAGAGACGAAGTGGGGCCAAACGCACCCTTTTATAACAATATTAATCTTATCCCAGAGGGCAGAGCCATCATGGACTAATCACCTCTTAAAGGTCCCACCTCTTAATGCTGTCACAATGGTAATTAAATTTCAACATGAATTTTAGAGGGGACAGACATTTAAACCATATCTGGCTGCTCTAACAAGATATACTGTAGACTGTGTGGCTTAAATGGCAGACACTTATTTCTCAGAGTTCTGGAGGCTGGGAGTCTAAGATCAAAGTGCCAGTCAATTTGGTTCTTGGTGAGGGATCTCTCTTTTCTTCTTATAAGATCGCCAATCCCATCATAAGGGTCCCATCCTCATGATCCCACCTAACTCTGATTACCTCCCAAATGGCCCATCTCCAAATACCATCACTTTGGGGTTAGGGCTTCAACAGATGAATTATGGGATACACAAACATTGAAGGGGTACACAAACGTTCAGTATATAACCATTGCCCTGGTAAAAGCCATAGGTCCCTTGGAAATGTCTGGGATAATGATTAATAGTATAAATTTTTGGCATTGTATGGGAGGGTTCTTCCTTAAAGAAACTTACCCTGCCTTTAGTTGAGAGTTTCTGTTTCTGTAAACTGGCTCAACTCAAGGAATTGATTAAGAGGCTGTGACTTTCTGTTTTTATGATTCAAATTAGACTTTTGTTTACTTGGCCTAGAGTTTTCTTATTTGGTACAGGTCAAGTAAGACTATGGGAAGCTGCCTATCTTGCTTCTACTTAGACAGAAACAGTGTGATCAACTAGCCAATGCCGTAAGTTTTTACATGGGTCAGGTTATTCTGATTGCTGCTTTGACTCTGCTCTCCATTATGGTAACCTTGGCTCTCCATTATGCCAACCTTGGCTCTCCATTATGCCCACCTTGCCTTTGGTGGTTGAATGTTGACACTTTCCTATCACCTAGAATCTGATACTTTCATTGCATTTAAGTTTCCCAACTCAGTGGCCATAGCTCCTACTATAAGGTCTGCCCTTTAGATAAGAGTGATCACAGAGCTTTTCAAGGATGCTAGGCCTCCCCTTACAAATTTATTTCTTACAGTCTTGGTGAAAGGTGTGTTTTCTGGATTCTTCCAGGGTGGGTAAATACATCTTAAGTGACAAATCGACTCAAACATTTTAGTCTCCCTCAGACTTTGAATCCCTTTCTCTGCATTAAACTGAGATAGGCCCTGCATTCCTGACTTGCTCACTGTGAGCTGCCTTTTGATTCACATTTCAGCCAACCAACCGAACAAACTGTTAGAGACCTTTCTAACTCCCTGAATGGCAACATTCAATGCAGACTGTCTGCTTCGTGAGTCCTCACCAATGAATTCATCCCAATCCAACTTTATGTTCCTCCCACCATTATCTCACGCCCTTAATATCCATTCCCACACATGTTCCCTGGATTTCTGTCTGTGTAAATTAGAAAACTCAAGTAGTCTTGGAGTGTGGTGAACCTCCTCATGGGTTGTATTTAGTATTTCACCTTTAGGGGCATTTTCTATGACTTGAGTCTAGTTATAGGTTTAGAACCAATGAGATATTTTGGAGGTGGATCCTGAGGGAAATTGGCATTATCTTGCATGGCAGCTGCCTCCAGGGAGGCTATTACAGTTTCCTCAGGCAATGCAGGGTTAGTCCCCTCAGATGTTGGAGACGCTGTTTCCACTGGCAAAGACGACTCATCAGAATTTAGAGGCTCAGCCAGGCGCCTGTAATCCCAGCACTTTGGGAGGTGAGGCAGGCAGATCACTTGAGGTCAGGAGTTTGAGACCAGCCTGGCCAACATGGCGAAACCCTGTCTCCATTAAAAACACAAAAATTAGCCAGGCATAGTGGTGCACTCCTGTAGTCCCAGCTACTTGGGAGGCTGAGGCAGGAGAATCGCTTGAACTTGGGAGGTGGAGGTTGCAGTTAGCTGAGATTGTGCCACTGCACTCCAGCCTGGGCAACAGAGCAAGACTCTGTCTCAAAACAAACAAACAAGAAAAGAAAGAGTTTAGAGCTCAGTGTACCCAGCTTTATCAAAGTCTCCCCACATGTCCTCATTTCAACTTTCAAGATCCAGTTCCTTATTGATCAATAACCTCAATTTAACAGTAGATACCCTACAAGGCTAGGAGTTCAATTTGCTTTCAGCCAGTCACAGGATAAGATTCTAGGTTTGATTTTCAACAATCTCAGCTCTGCAACTACCGGCGATATGGCTGTCCTTTAGGGCACACACAGAAAATTTCAGGTCACTTATATGGTGCTTGAACTAGGAATCCCTGCGCTTATCATCTTCTTTCCCTACTTTGTCCAGTAAAATAAGGAGCAACCAGGCAATCTCATACTGTTAGTATGAGAAAAATGTTTGAAGGCATCATATACATAGTTACCCAGATCCTTGCTTCTTGTAAATGTCTGATTAGGAGTCTCTAGTGTTGATATGTTTTTGGACTGCAATTACCATATCATGCCGTGAACTATCAGTGCTACGTTAACTTTTGGAAATAGAGTCATAAGTGTCTTTAAAAATCTAATCAGATTAGATAGCCCATTCTAGAAACCTTGGAATCAATTCAGAAAACTCATTCTCAAAGTTCTGTTCCTCTGGAACCACTGTTGGTCCAAAATCTGAATTAGTTAGACTGCAGAGAAACAATATCAATTGGATATATACATATTATATATATGTTTATTCATTTATTATAAGCAATTGGCTCATGCGATTATGGTAAGCAACTGAAAATCCCAGATTTGTAGGATGATTTGGCAAGATGGAGACACAGGAGAGATGATGGTTTAGTTCCAGTCCAGATTTGAAGGCCTGAGAACCAGGATTGCCAATAGTGTAATCAGTATTTATCCTGAGATCTTTCACCATAATCTGAAGGCGAATCATTGGCTCTCTCCCTTTTGAATCTCCTGTTTGCATTTCCCATATTACCTTCTTTCTTTGTTTATTTCCTCCTTTCATGGAGCTTTCCTTTCGGTAGTTTCCTTAGATAAGGTGAATTAGAGGTAAATTTTTTGAGATCCTGCAAGTGTGAAAATGGTTTTATTTGGACTAAATACTTGATTGATGGGGATGGAAATCATTTTCTGTCACAGTTTTGAAGGCATTGCTTTATTGTCTTCCAGTTTACAGAGTTGCTGTTGGAAAGTCTGAAGCCATTCTGATTTTTATACCTAGCTTTTCCCTCACCCCCTCTGAAAAAGCTTGGAGAATGACCTCTTCAAGGTGATATGCCTTGATGTGGGTTTGTTTTTATTCACCGTGCTATGTAATTGGTGGGTACATTCAATCTGGGAACTCATTTTTTTTAGTTCTGGAAATTTCTTCCCTTTCATTTTTTTGGTGTGATTTCTTTTCCTGGATCACATATTATTTGGATATTGGATTTACTAGATTTCCTTGGATTTTGGATTTCCTGGATTTTCTTATCTTTCCTGTCTTTTTATCTGTGTTTTTTTTTGTTTTTTTTTTTTGACCTACTTTCTGAGCAACTTCTTCAACTTTATCTTCTAACTCTTTTATTGCGGTTTTCATTTCAGGCACTATGATTTTAGTTTTCAGAAACTCTTTTATATTCTCTGAGTTTTTTTCCCACTTATTTTTAAGAAATAATCTATTCTTGGCCAGGCGCGGTGGCTCACGCCTGTAATCCCAGCTCTTTGGGAGGCTGAGGTGGGCGGATCACAAGGTCAGGAGATTGAGACCATCCTGGCTAACGTGGTAAAACCCTGTCTCTACTAAAAATACCAAATAAAAAAATTAGCCTGGTGTGGTGGCAGGCGCCTGTATTCCCAGCTACTCGGGAGGCTGAGGCAGGAGAATGGCGTGAACCCGGGAGGCGGAGCTTGCAGTGAGCCGAGATCGCACCATTGCACTCGAGTCTGGGCGACAGTGCGAGGCTACATCTCAAAAAAAAAAAAAAAAAAAAAAAGGACATAATCTGTTCTTATTTCATGCACGAAACATCTCTCATGTTTGTCAGTATGTTAATGATAATTTTTTTCTTTTTTTTAAATATATTTTAAGTTCTAGGGTACATGTGCACAACGTGCAGGTTTGTCACATATGTATACATGTGCCATGTTGATATGCTGCAGCCATTAACTCGTCATTTACATTAGGTGTATATCCTAATGCTATCCCTTCCCACTCCCCCCACCCCATGACAGGCCCCGGTGTGTGATGTTCCCTTTCCTGTGTCCAAGTGTTCTCATTCTTCAATTCCAACCTATGAGTGAGAACATGCGGTGTTTGGTTTTTTGTCCTTGGGATAGTTTGCTGAGAATGACGGTTTCCAGCTTCATCCATGTCCCTACGAAGGACATGAACTCATCCTTTTTCATGGCTGCATAATATTCCATGGTGTCTATGTGCCACGTTTTCTTAATCCAGTCTATCATTGATGGACATTTGGGTTGGTTCCAAGTCTTTGCTGTTGTGAATAGTGCTGCAATAAACATACGTGTGCATATGTCTTTATAGCAGCATGATTTATAATCCTTTGGGTATATACCCAGTAATGGGATGGCTGGGTCAAATGGTATTTCTAGTTCTAGATCCTTGAGGAATCGCCACACTGTCTTCCACAATGGTTGAACTAGTTTACAGTCCAACCAACAGTGTAAAAGTGTTCCTATTTCTCCACATCCTCTCCAGCACCTGTTGTTTCCTGACTTTTTAATGATCGCCATTCTAAATGGCGTGAGATGGTATCTCATTGTGGTTTTGATTTGCGTTTGTCTGATGGCCAGTGATGATGAGCATTTTTTCATGTGTCTGTTGGCTTCATAAATGTCTTCTTTTGAGAAATGTCTGTTCATCTCCTTTGCCCACTTTTTGATGGGGTTGTTTGATTTTTGTTGTAAATTTGTTTGAGTTCTTTGTAGATTCTGGATATTAGCCCTTTGTTAGATGAGTAGATTGCAAAAATTTTCTCTCATTTTGTAGGTTGCCTGTTCACTCTGATGGTAGTTTCTTTTGCTGTGCAGAAGCTCTTTAGTTTAATTAGATCCTATTTGTCAATTTTGGCTTTTGTTGCCATTGCTTTTGGTGTTTTAGACATGAAGTCCTTGCCCATGCCTATGTCCTGAATGGTATTGCCTAGGTTTTCTTCTAGGGTTTGTATGATTTTGGGTCTAACATTTCAGTCTTTAATCCATCTTGAATTAATTTTTGTATAAGGTGTAAGGAAGGGATCCAGTTTCAGTTTTCTACATATGGCTAGCCAGTTTTCCCAGCACTATTTATTAAATAGGGAATCCTTTCCCCATTTCTTGTTTTTGTCAGGTTTTTCAAAGATCAGATGGTTGTAGATGTGTGGTATTATTTCTGAGGGCTCTGTTCTGTTCCATTGGTCTATATCTCTGTTTTGGTACCAGTACCATGCTATTTTGGTTACTGTGGCCTTGTAGTATAGTTTGAAGTCAGGTAGTGTGATGCCTCCAGCTTTGTTCTTTTGGCTTAGGATTGACTTGGCAATGTGGGCTCTTTTTTGGTTCCATATGAACTTTAAAGTATTTTTTTCCAATTCTGTGAAGAAAGTCATTGGTAGCTTGATGGGGATGGCATTGAATGTATAAATTACCTTGGGCAGTATGGCCATTTTCACGATATTGATTATTCCTATCCATGAGCATGGAATGTTCTTCCATTTGTTTGTGTCCTCTTTTATTTCATTGAGCAGTGGTTTGTAGTTCTCCTTGAAGAGGTCCTTCACATCCCTTGTAAGTTGGATTCCTAGGTATTTTATTCTCTTTTTAGCAATTGTGAATGGGAGTTCACTTATGATTTGGCTCTCTGTTATTGGTGTATAAGAATGCTTGTGATTTTTGCACATTGATTTTGTATCCTCAGACTTTGCTGAAGTTGCTTATCAGCTTAAGGAGATTTTGGGCTGAGACGGTGGGGTTTTCTAGATGTACAATCATGTCATCTGCAAACAGGGACAATTTGACTTCCTCTTTTCCTAATTGAATACCCTTTATTTCTTTCTCCTGCCTGATTGCCCTGGCCAGAACTTCCAACAGTATGTTGAATAGGAGTGGTGAGAGAGGGCATCCCTGTCTTGTGCCAGTTTTCAGAGGGGATGCTTCCAGTTTTTGCCCATTCAGTATGATATTGGCTGTGGGTTTGTCATAAATGGCTCTTATTATTTTGAGATATGTCCCATCAATACCTAATGTATTGAGAGTTTTTAGCATGAAGGGCTGTTGAATTTTGTCAAAGGCCTTTTCTGCATCTGTTGAGATAACCATGTGGTTTTTGTCTTTGGTTCCGTTTATATGCTGGATTATGTTTATTGATTTGCATATGTTGTTTAAAAAGTTTTCTTTCTTCTGCGTAACCTCTGTTTCATATTACCTTTTTTCTTTGTTTGAGTTTCCATCTTTCACATTAGCCATGTTCCTCAGCTCTCCCATAGTCCCTGGTCCAAAGGAGGGGAATAAGAAGCAGAGAGGTCACTCTAGGCTCATGGGGGAGGCTTGTTAACTGAAAGCTTTCCTATAGGATGATACAGCTGAACTTTTTAATTAGGGAAATGGAAAATCCACATCTTTAGGTTTTTTTCCTCTTGGGCTTGTTAAGATTCCCTTGTGAAGACCTTATCTATCTGCATCCTGGAGGGCCAAGTCCTAGCTGTCAGTCGGGCACGGTGGCTCACACCTCTAATCCTAGCACTTTGGGAGGCCGAGGCATGTGGATTGCCTGAGGTCAGGAGTTCGAGACCAGCCTGGCCAACATGGTGAAGCCCTGTCTCTACTAAAAATACAAAAATTAGCTTGGCATGATGGCGGGCACCTGTAATCCCAGCTACTCAGGAGGCTGAGGCAGGAGAATCGCTTGAACCAGGGAGGTGGAGGTTGCATTGAGCCGAGATCATGCCATTGCACTCCAGCCCGAGTGACAAGAGTGAAACTTCTCCTCAAAAAAAAAAAAAAAAAAAAAAAAAAAAAAAAAAAAAAAGACCTGACTGTCAGCATTCTGGGAGGGAAACAGGAGGTGAGGGAAAATAAGGCTGGGACCTCAGTATGAGGTAGGTAAATGCTCAGTTCATCCCCTTGTTTTTAGAAGAGTTTCTGTGCCTGTTACTGTGCCTGGTATCTCTTGAGTCCTGGAACCTTGTGTTCTACTCTCTCCAGAAAATAAACCTCCAGTGTTTTGCCAGGGTAGAGAAGAGACAGTCACTTGGCTTCACAAAGATGGTAGGTGACTTGTGGGCCAAACTGCTTCTTAAGCAGATTTAAAATTTTTCCTCTTTATTCCTGCCACCTGCCCCTCCTTATTCTCTATAGCCAGAGGTACCTATTACTACCAGTTTCTTATCTCCGAGGAATTCTACGGTGTAAAAAGGGTTGATCTCAGTTTTTTCTGTTGCCACTTTAAGATTCAGTTTTCTGAGATACATTGAGTCATTTATTACTTCACCAATTTCTTTTCGGCTTCTAAGTTTTGTGCAGTCTCCTTTCCCAGTTCCATTGTCTGTGGGTTTATGAATTAAAAAAAAAAAACTACTTTCTGTGGGATTTTAGGAGGGAGGGAAAATACGTGCATGTATTCAGACTTCTTACCTGAAGTTTGTTGATGGCTTCTGATTTTAAAGATAAGTCAATTCTGGTGTTATAGGTCTAGTTTTCATTCCTTTGAACATTTGAACATGTGGAGAATAAGGATTTAAAAGTCCTTCACTAGCTCATGCATTCTCAAATTCCTTATATTTTTAGTAAACACCAAATAAATATTTATCAAATAAGTGAAGAACTTGAGAGCTAACATAAGAGAAGGTATTGACGCTTACTATCAAATTTGGCCCTTAAAAAACCTTATGAGGAAGGCAGGGCTCAGAGAGCTAAATGGTTTGCCTGAGGTCACACAACAGAAAGCAGCAAAACCATGATCTCATCCACCGTGAGCATGGTGAGCTGATGAAGACTTACTGCTAGAATTTATCAAAGACATTGTTAAAGGAAAATAACTTACATTGGTTTACTTCTTAAATGGAAATAGGACATATTGAAATATTGAATATACAAATAAGCAAAAGGTAGAAAATAAATATTTCCTCTACTGTCAATATTCTGGATAAGTAACTGTTGAAAATTTCATGAATATCTTTCACTTATTTTTTGTGCATATGAGTGTATAATATACAAAAATGGTATCATATTGACATACTGCTTTAAAACCTGCTGCCTTTCAGCCTGGGCTGCATAGCAAGACCTTGTCTCACTAAAAAAAAAAAAAAAAAAAAAAAATTAGTCAAGTGTGGTGGTGCATGCCTGCATTTCCATCTACTTAGGAGGCTAAGGCAGGAGGATCACTTTAGCCTGTGAGGTAAAGGCTGCAGTGAGCTATGACCTTGCCACTGCATTCTAGCCTGGGCAACAGAATGAGACTCTGTCTCAAAAAAAAAAAAAAAAAAAAAGCTAAAATGTAACTGCCCGTTTTCAATACTAACAATAAATTGTGAATACTTTTCCATGTTAACCATTTTTCTACAACATTGTGTTAATGATATACTATAATTTATTTAAACAGTCAACAGTGTTAGCAGTAAACATCTGTATGGTTTAGTTGTGGCCTCCATTTATCCTTCTGGATAAATTTCCAGAAGCAGGATTCCTGTATTAAAGGCTTCTAAGACATTTCCACATAATCTCCAGAAATATATACCACTTTTTACCTTCATTTGCTATACGTGACTGTTCATTCCTTCATATGTTTCCAACATCAAGTATTTCCATTTTTAAAACTTTGCCAATTGAATAGCCACAAAACATATTTTTATTATTTAAAAATATGCATTTTGCAACATAGGCAACATAGCAAGACCCCATCTCTACAAAAATAAAAACAAAAATTAGCCAAGCATGGTGGCGTGTACCTGTAGTTCTAGCTGTTTGGGAGGCTGAGGTGGGAGGATTGCTTGAGACCAAGAGTTCAAGGTTACAGTAAGCTATGAACGTGCCACTGCACTCCAGCCTGGGTGACAGAGTGAGATCCTGTCTCTTAAAAAAAAAAAAAAAAGGGAAAGCAAGAATAGATTGTTACTTTGTCATCTGTCGTCAGTGTTTGTCAATGTATTTAATTAGTAGGGACATCTAAACCAAGCATCCATATATGATAAATGAAAAAAACAAAAGTATTAGCTGGCAGTGTTTTCTCCAACCCTTCCTAGCTGATCTAACCAGTGGTGCAGTTGGTTTATATGTGAGAGCAATGAGAATGAATATGCTGCAAATGGTACTATACTGTGCATGGTTTTTAATTTACTTATAATCTATTATTTAATAGTGTTTCTTTTAGGGCTTGAGTTTGAATTCAGGCTAACTTTTAAGTACAACTTAAGATTTATTTTTACATTTTGTCATTACATATGAAATGTGGAACAAAAATGTATCATGTGTGAGGCAGGAAAGGTTTTCCACGGTGTTGAGGGGTATTGAGGCTGTTCATCCAGGTGTTTAGACTGTTGTAGGGAATACTTTTATTTCAAAAGCTAAATTGCCATAACTTTTTTTTTCTTTTTTTAAATGTTTAATGTTACAGAAGCCAAGGCTGCCCCCAAAGATTGTTTCATTGAAGTGAATTCTAAAGGTGACAGATTTGGCAATTGTGGTTTCTCTGGCAATGAATACAAGAAGTGTGCCACTGGGTAAGTGGAGGTGCGGTCATAATGGAATATGAAAGATTATAAGATCCGTCATCTCTAGTATCTTTTTTTTTTTTTTTTTTTTGAGACGGAGTCTTGCTCTGTTGCCAGGCTGGAGTGCAGTGGCGCGATCTCGGCTCGCTGCACCCTCCGCCTCCCAGGTTCAAGTGATTCCCCTGCCTCAGCCTCCTGAGTAGCTGGGACTACAGGCATGTGCCACCACGCCCAGCTAATTTTTTGTATTTTAGTAGAGATGGGGTTTCACCATGTTGGCCAGGATGGTCTTGATCTCCTGACTTCGTGATCCGCTCGCCTCAGCCTCCCAAAGTGCTGGGATTAGAGGCGTGAGCCACTGTGCCCGGCCGTCTCTAGTATCTTTTACAACTGCTCTCTGTGACCGCTGATTTTCTCCCCCTTAAATACCTAACTTTTCAAACATTTTACAATGCAAAGCTTCAGAGAGACTCTGGTGTTAGGAAAAGAACTGGTAACATAATTTGTCCCTTTAGACATCAACTACAATCTAGTGGTTTTTAGACTCTTATTTTGTTTATCCTTGATTTATAATAAGAACCCCAACTAAACACCATTTTCATTTTCCTTTCCATAAAAGATTATGTTACTAAGTCCCTAGATAAAGGTACCTGCAGAAGAAACTCTGAACTTCATTATTTTCTTCTAGCTTTGTATAATTTCAAGATGATGAATTTAAAATATTTTATATTTCTACAATTAACATTTGCTTTTTGTAAAACATTAATAATGAAACATTACAAAGGAGGAAAAAGTCATGTATAATCTCAATCCATATATGTTCACTAATATCAGTGAAATTATTTTCTTCTTCACACTAACATTTTACATAGTTGGAATTATTCTGTAATATTATCATTGCTTCTACCCATTCTACCTCCTATGCTATCAGTTAAGCTAAGCAACTACAGTAAAACAGTGCTTGCTAAGAAGAAATAGCAACAAAGACCCCCATGTCACTCAATCTGACAGTCGTTTTTAGGTCTTCATACAATAGTACTTGACCTGTCAGTAGCATTCAATTATGCTGGCCATTTTCTCCTTCTTGAAGAAACCTCTTTTTTTTTGGTGATTGTGTAGGGTGTTCTTCTTCTCCCCTGACCCCATGTGATTTCGTTTACTTCCGTGGCTTCATTTGCCTCCTCTCTGAGAAGCTCCAGCCCTGCTGGCCTGCATGTGGCCTGCGGCCACAGGGCTCTGCACCTGCTGTTCCCTCTGTTCAGCATGCTGTCTTTCCCCCTCTCAGCCTGCTCAGTTCTTCGTCCTCCAGATCTCAGGTGAAGTGTGGTTTCCTTACAGAAGACTTCTTCCACTTCCTCAACAGGACCAGCTCTCCCTCTGACAGGTGTTCTTGATGCTGTTTGCTTCTTTTTCATAGAATTTGATATGTTTTCATTATTTTTTAGTTCATAGTATTTTCTAATTTACACTGATTTTTTTCCTTTGACTCGTGTTATTGAAAGCCTATTGCTTAATTCCCGAGTAGTTGGGAATATACTGGTTATCTGTTTGGTTTTGATGTCTAGTTCAATTCCATTGAGAACACATTCTATATGATTTCACTTTTTTGGAATTTGAGATGTGCATTATTCAGTTACACTTGGAACATTCATCCATACAGACTAATATGTGGGCCAGCCTCTTAATACCAGACCAATATATGGTCTGTATGGGTAAATGTTCCATGTATAATTGAAAGAAAAAGTATATTCTGCAGTTGTTAGAGATGTTATTCTATAAATGTCAAGTTAATAGTCTTATTCAAATATTTCATATCTATGGTGTACGTGTGTTATATCTGTTCCTTCAATTTCTGAGAGAGGTGTGTTGAAGTCTCCAGTTATGATTGTGGATTTGTCTATTTATCTTTTTAGGTATGTAAATTTTTGCTGTGTATGTTTTAAATTTGTTACTAGGTGCATACACAATTAGGATTGTTATGCCCTCCTGATGACTTGGAGGGCATTAGCAAATTTATCATTAGCAAATTCTTTTCATTTCTGGAATATTCTTTTGAAGTATTTGTCAGTTTCATTAATTATGTAGCTCTTTTGTTATCGCTGTTCCTCACTAAACTGTAAGGTTCAGTGACACATTTTATCTTGCATTTAGCATAATGCTTGGAGGAAACATAATAAATGACTATTAAACATTGAATGAATGAAGGTACAGATGATATGGATGAAGAATGAATGGGTGGAGAATTAATATAACCGATTGAATGAACTGATTTAAAATCTAGGGATAAGTGGATTAATGCAGACTTGGAAAGAATTTGCTGGACATATACCATATTCTTGTCTTTAGCCTTGTCTTGTTTCATATTTTTATGAATATCTTATTGAAAATAGCAACTATACTTATCAAACTTTAAAATTACTGAGTCATTTAGGAAGCATTTTATGTAATAGTAGTATACAAACAATATAGTCATTAAGAATATACATTTGAAGTTAGACTCTTTGGATTTGAATCCTTGTTCAATCACTTAACATCTCTGAGTCTTTGGACAAATTACTTCACATACATACCTCATTTTTCTGTTCTGTAAAATGGGGATAATAATGGCACCTGTTTCCAAGTGTTGTTTTGAACTGAATGAGTTAATGGGTGTTAGTACTAAGAGGAATATCTGGTTCATTGTCACATTCATCATCATCATCACTATTTTTGTTGTCATCCTCCTTGGAGAATGTGTAAAATCTGGAAAAGTCTTTTCTACCCATTGAAACTACCAAAAACATCTAGAAACATTTAAAGAAAGGATTCACATATGGTCCTACCATCCAGAGATATTTCCTTAAGTTTTTGTTGTATTTCTTTTTTATGTGTATATACATTTATAAACATAAGCCAAATGTTTCCTTTCACTAAAAGGGTTATCTTTTAGTACATAGACAATGTCATTTTTTCAAGCATTATAAAAAAGAAATTCCAAATATACAGAGGAGTAGAAAGAATAGTGTGATGAACACCAATATATCCCAGACCAAGACATTATTAATGCCTTATCATTATTTGCTTCATCAAGATTTTGCTGAACCATTTTAAGTAAATTATAGACATGATACTTTACTCCTAAATTCCTCAGCATCCGTCTTCAACAAATAAGGCCATTCACATGATCACATCACACCTAACAAAATGAATGATTTCCTAATATCATCTAGTATCTGATCAATATTAGTATTTCCATAAGTGTCCTCAAACTGTCTTTTATAGCCGGCATTTTCCAACATCCGGACTCAATCAAGGATCACACATTGCATTTAGTTGTTATGTCACTTAAGTCACTTTTAATCCAGAATACCTTTTAGACTGATTTTTTTTCTTTTCAGTGACATTGATTTATGGAAATGGCTGGGCCAGTGGGCTCATGTTCTGGATTTGTTTTAGTTTCCTTTTGGTGTTGCTTAACTTATGTCTCTATCATCCGAATTTTATTTAAATCAGAAGTTAAGCCCAAAATCTTTTTTTTTTTTTTTTTTTTTTGAGTAGAGCCTCACTCTCTCGCTCAGGCTGGAGTGCAGTGGCATGATCTCAGCTCACTGCAACCTCCACCTCCCAGATTCAAGTGATTCTTGTGCCTCAGCCTCTGGAGTAGCTAGGACTACAGGTGTGCACCATCATGCCTGGCTAAGTTTTGTATTTTTAGTAGAGATGGGGTTTCCCTATGTTGGCCAGGCTGGTCTCAAATTCCTGACCTCAAATGATCCGCTTACCTTAGCCTCCCAAAGTGCTGGGATTACAGGCGTGAGCCACCGCGCCTGGCCCTAAGCCCAAAATCTTAATTGAATTCAGGTTAAATATTTTTGGCGAGAATGTTCATAAGCAATGCATTATATCAAGGAGTCACTTAGTGCTGGGTAGTCTTATTAATATTAGTGATACTAAGTGGCAATGACCAGATCTTGCTATTGTGGAGTTATGCTTTTTAAAATTGCAGCTGTCAGGTAATATGTGGAGTGATGAGTTTGTGCCATATGAATATCCAGTTCCTGACCAGTGTTTCACTTTATGGATGATCCTTGCCTGAAGCAATTATTTTACTGAGGGTTGTAACTGAATTTTGTTTCTGTTAGTATTATTCAACAGTGAATGAGCATCTCAGTTTTGTTGGCTGTTTACATTTCTTATTTTATGAGCTGCCTGTTTACATCTTTGCTAATTTTTCTGTTGAAGTGATTTTCTTTGTCTTAATGATTTGTAACAGCTTTTTATATTCTAAGAGTATTTTCCTTTACTTTTTAATGTATCACCAAGCCTATGTATGAAATACTGAGTATATCATAGCAATGTGAATTTTGGTAGGCCCCAACAGATCTTAACTGAGGTCTACTTTATGCTACACTTTGTTTTTGAGGTTTTCATATCTAATTTCAGCTAATTATGTGAGATAGGCATCATTTATCTCATTTTTTTCAGCTGAAGAAACTGAAGCTCAGAAAATGTAAGCACTTCTCTCAGGTCAGCTAGCAAATAAATGGTGACATAAGAATAAATGTAAAGTTGGGACAAAATTATTAACTCTTAAATGCAGGATGAAGGGAAGATGAAGACTTAATAGCAGCACAACAAAAATTAGGAGTTTTAGTGATATATTCAAGGACATCAATAATATAATGTAGTTATAAAAGCTATTGTAATCTTGAACTTAATAGAAGTACAGTATCTAGAATAAACAAGAGCTCCATTTTTTTCTTTGCTCACCAGGCTGTCACTGAAATTTCATGCTCCATTCTGAGCACTATGCTTCAAGAGGCAGTGAGGCAAACTGGAACATATTTAGGAGGGAGCGTCCTTGTTGCATGAAAAGTGATTGTAGGATAGTGACCTGGTGAAGTAAGTATTTAGGAGCTGCATAATAATTGTCCTAAAATAGCTGCTGTGTGAAAGAAGGAAAAGATATCTGTGTAGTCTCATGGGGAAGATCTGGGACCAATGAGGATAAATGCTTTACAGATGTAGATTTTTACCTAATAAGCAGAAAGAAGAACGTGATGGGAGCTAGAATGGGCAGTTTCAGGAGGGTGTAAATTAGAGATATTGGGAAAATATATCCTATGATGACTGGGCAGTGATATCATAGAGAAGATTCAGATATAGAGTAGGTGCTTGGATCAGATGACAATCAGTTAAACAGGAAATCTCAGTACAGCATCATAAGAGTTATTGTTGGAAATACCTAGAGTGTTATGAAAGGATATAGGAAGGGCATTTAATTCACACAGCCTTGGCAATAAGAATTATGGTCAGGGAAGCCTTCATAGAGTTCTGATATTTAATTAATGAATTAACGAGTTAATGAATTGATTCTTTAAATAAGTAACCAAGAGTTAGCCAGGAAAAGAGGGGTGGAATCCTTTCTTAGTTATTTTGCATTATAGAATCTAATTTCTTCTTTATCATAACTCTGTAAGAAGACATAATTGAATTTTGATATTGCTATATTATTTTCTGTATAATAGAATTTATAAAATTATACTTAGAAACAACTTTATTAGTTAGGCTGTTGAGCTCTAGACAGACAGTGAAGAAGATTAAGTGTGGTAAAAGAAGAAGCATCAGCACCAGCTGGTGCCCTAATTTGCATCTTAGCATCCACTTAACTCTTTTTTCGCCTTTTCTGCCGTATTTAAAGAGAGCTACTTTGACCTCTCTTGCTCTCATACACTTTCTCTGTTGAGATTCCCTCCATAGCAGCAAACTCTGTCCATATGCAAATATATAAATTTTTTCTTTTGTTATGTATACTGGATGCATTTTATGTTGCATTATTTCTCTCTCTTTATAGGAATGCTTTGTGTGGAAAGCTTCAGTGTGAGAATGTACAAGAGATACCTGTATTTGGAATTGTGCCTGCTATTATTCAAACGCCTAGTCGAGGCACCAAATGTTGGGGTGTGGATTTCCAGCTAGGATCAGATGTTCCAGATCCTGGGATGGTTAACGAAGGCACAAAATGTGGTGCTGGAAAGGTAATCAAAATATTTTTTATTTACAAAGTAAAATGAAAAAAATTAAAAAAATTATTATACATAGTAAGTGGTTGCTCTTTTCTGATTGTAAAAGTAATCTAAATTCATTATAGAAATTTTAGAAAATACAAAGCCACCAAAAGAAAATTAAGAACTATAATTCTGTTATCCACATTTCCTTACTGGGGTCAGATAACCAGTGTTTTCCACTTTGCAATATACTGTGCATGGTTCCCTCCCCTACTGATATGCTACAATTTATTAGCCAGTTTGCTATTACTGGGACACTTTGGCGATGTCCTGAATTTCAGGGTGTGTGTCTGTGTACTAGAAATGTCATGGAGCTTGTCCTGCCCATGTTCCTGACCACCTGAGCTCTGCTGTTTGGATTAGATAGAAGGCCAGAGTCAGTCAGCCCATGACTTATTACTAGTGGTTTCATATGAGAAGATGCCCTGGGCCAAATTCCTTTTTTTGGAGAATATAAAATTAAGGAGGGTAATTAAGAGTGCGGGCAGAAACTGTAAGAATTCGTTGGGAGATGCTGTGAAGTAGGAGCTGGGGTAGAAGGGATGTGGCAGCCTTAAGCCATATACAAGAGATATGAGGGAGCAGGATTGTTGAGTAAGTTGAAGAAACCAACTCAGAGGAGAGAGAGAAGGAGAATATATGATTGACTGATTAGCCCATGAAAAAGACAGGTGGGTGGGCCTTCAAGTTACTTCACTTTCTCCCAAGTTTTCAGTTCCAATTCTGTTTCTCACTTCTCTTTACAAGAAGATCCATATATTTTTGGTCCTGTCCTTGCAACTAAATAAACTTGATCGTTGCAGCTGTTATAAACAATGATAAGAGATATATACATTTAAGTTTTTGATAGTGCAATTTCCCTTTCAATAAGGTGGTAACAATCTATATCCCAGCCTAGGCAGCAGAGGAAGACTCTGTCTCAAAAAAAAAAAAAAAAATTGTGCTGAAAGGCTCATGACAAAAACAACTCTCTGACATGCTCTTATCTAATCTGCCAGTCTAGACGCCTAGAAGCAACTGTGGTTACTTCTGTTAATTACCTCCCTATTTTAAATTAGGGCTGGGCACGGTGGCTCATGCCTGTAATCCCAGCACTTTGGGAGGCTGAGGTGGGCGGATCACTTGAAGTCAGGAGTTCGAGACTAGCCTGACCAACATGGTGAAACCTCGTCTCTACAGAAAATACAAAAACTAGCCAGTGTGGTGGTGCATGCCTGTAGTCCTAACTACTCAGGAGGCTGAGACAGGAGAATCGCTTGAACCTGGGAGGCACAGGTTGCAGTGAGCCGAGATTATGCCACTGTACTCCAGCCTGGGCAACAAAGTGAGACTCCCATCTAAAAATAAAGTAAAATAAAATAAAATAAAATAGTATGCTATTTCTAGATTTATCTATTTTAGACATTATCCACTAGTTTTATTTTTGATAGATAAGAATTCAATTTTCTTATGCAAATCCCAGTTTCCCTGCTGTACCTTTTCAAAATAAGTGCTTAATATTTACATAATTAATATTGGGGTGTTATTGAATGAGTCCACAACATCTCACTGTTCACTGGGCATATTCCAGACGAGGTGAGAGAAAACAGGGGAGGCTAAACAATTGGAGATCAAAGGATCATTTTTATTAGGAAGAAAGCATGTAACATGACTTAAGTAGATAGCAAAAATGGGCTTCCTAATGCTGCCCTACACAGTTAAACTTACCTGTCCAGCCTTACCTGCGAAGTTTAACTGCATGGTTGAAAGGGCAGACCAGAATGCACCCTTTCTGCCACCTCAGCTTACTACTAGCTGGCACCACAGGTGTAACCAGCATGCCTGGCTAATTTTTTTTAATTTTTCTGTAGAGACAGGATCTTGCTATGTTGCCTAGGCTGGTCTTCAGCTCCTGGGCTCAAGCGATTCTCCCTCCTCAGCCTCCCAAAGTGCTGGGATTACAGGTGTGAGCCACTGCACCTAGCTGGGCATCTTTCCATGTCTTTATTAGATCCATGTATTTTTTTCTGAGAAGTTCATATTGATATCTCTTTTTCTATTAGCTTGCCATTTTTTGAGGCTTCTCATATGAGAAGAATATTAACTGTCAGTCAGTTATATCTATGTAAATATGATCAACAATTTGACATAAGCCTATTTTAAAATATCATGAATTTTTTTTTTTTTTTTTTGGAGCCTCACTCTGTCACCCAGGCTGGAGTGCAGTGGTGCAATCTCAGTGCAACCTCCGCCTCCCAGGCTCAAGTGATTCTTGTGCCTCAGCCTCCCCAGTAGCTGGGATTACAGGCATCTGCCACCATGTCTGGCTAATTTGTGTGTTTTTAGTAGAGACGGGGTTTCGCCATATTGGCCAGACTGGTCTCGAATTCCTAACCTCAAGTGATCTGCCTGCCTTGGCCTCCAAAAGTGTTGGGATTACAGGCGTGAGCCATGGCATCCGGCCTTAAAATATCATGAAATTATATCAGTCTTATCTGTTTTGTCTTGGTTTCATGTCATGTTTAGAAAAGCTTTTTGTATCTCAGTATAATATGAATATCTGGCTTTTATTGGCACAATTTATTAACATTTCATCCTATTTCTCTGATCTTATTGCTGCTGTTAAATATTTTCTTGATATTTTCTACTTTATCTTCCTCTTGCAGTATTACACAAATTATTTATTTGTGTGTGGGGTGTGTGTGTGTGTGCACATACACTTTGGTAGTTGTATGTCTTTCTATTCTGCTTGTTTACTTAATAACAAAAAAATGAATATATTTTTCTCAAAGTTGTCGTGATTAAAAATAGTATCTACTGATTGTTGCAGTGTAAGCTATACCACTATTACTTCCAAACCCCCATGTCCCAGTTTTTACTTGGTAGGAAAAATATTGGCTTTAGATTCCAGGTTGTTATTAACATATATCAATGTATTTTTAAGACCTTTTGTCTTTCTGGATTTTATTGCTAACTGCATAGTTTTCTAGCTATGACAATAATATTTATGTACAAGAAAGGATAGCAAGTGGTTGGTGTGTGTACCTGGACTGATACACCTTGACCCAAACTGACATGCCGTTGAGACCATATACCACACGTTCTGTACAGCTGTAACTTTGTAACTGTTGGTTTAATCTATGAGTCTAACACCCAAGTTTTCACACGGCAGATAGGATCCTGTCCCTTCTGGTATGTACCAAAGCCTAGACTGGACAGTTTGAGCAGACTGACAACTTGGTACTTCTTCAGATCTGTATTCTTTATATATTTATTCAACATTTATTTCCAGGACAAGCTAAACGTGGGGTAGGGGGAAAAGTGGAAAATAAGAACTCCTCACCTTCATTTTTATTGTCCCAGGTAGTTCAATTTTGCTCCCCACTTGCATCCTGAAATCAGTAAACCAGAAGTCCTATAGTCAAGTTTGCTCTACTTGCTGCGTGGTGGTTGTTGGTGGTGGCCATGGGTGGTAGGGGGAGTGGTAGTAGTATGTGAGAGGATGGTCTTACCTTCCCACTGTGAGAGTTTTTTTTTTTTTTTTTTTTGAGGCAGGGTCTCGCTCTTTGACCCAGGCTGGAGTGCAGTAGAGTGCAGATCTTGGCTCACTGCAGCCTCTGCCTCCTGGGTTCAAACGATTCTGCTGCCTCCCAGGTAGCTGGAATTACAGGCTTGCACCACCATGCCCGGCTAATTTTTGTGATTTTAGTGGAGATGGGGGTTTCACCATGTTGGCCAGGCTGGTCTTGAACTCCTGGCCTCAAGTGATTCACCCACCTCGGCCTCCCAAAGTGCTGGGATTACAGGCGTGAGCCACTGCACCCGGTCCCCACTGTGAGAGTTTTTGGGTGTATTCCTTTCAGTTTGATTTTTCCCATTCCACAAGGTAAACACTGCCAATCAGAACACCCTTTCTCTGGAGGACTTGGAATTTTCCTGCCCCTTAAAGTAAATCTGCCAGTTATTAACACATTTCATCTTATTTAACACTTCAGGTGTCCGCTATGAATCAATTATTGACAGGAAAATCTTCTTTTAACTGGTAGGGAAACTCTTGGTAAATATCTCCTCTAAAGACTTGCGGATGTAAGAAAAAAGTATTTTGAAATCTTTATTCAGGAGTAGTGCATGGCTAGAGGACACATGAGGAGTGACTTACTGTAGAATCTTCTGTAATTTTGGAATTTTAAATCATATATGTCCTATTTAAAAATTAATGGAAAATTGGAGGAAACAGTGTTTGGAGATCTTTTGACTTTAAAAGTACAATTCTGTTTAAACCTGTGTATTTTTTAGAGTGGTAAGGCTATCGATATTTCGTTGTAGGTTTGTTCTCTAATTGTTCTTTATTTCATTTGAGCATTTAAATATTCTGATCTTGTACACAAGATCAGTTGGTTAGTTACCTAATAAAATTTTAAAATAGCACTCAACAGTCTTTTAAAACGTTAGTCTTCTTTTTTTCCTCTAACATCACAACAGAGCAGTTTTCACAAAGATGTCAACTAAAAAATTTCTAAAATGTGTTGAGCTGATTTCTTTAGATCTTAGGTTTAATATTTTTTTCTGAGGTAATGGTTTTTATCTCTCAGTAGCTAGGATTCATTTCTGTTTCATATCTCATCATATGAACTAGAATTTCTTGAACCATGTAAGATTATAACTTATTTTCAACAGTGCTTTTAATAGAAATATCTAATCATGGTACTAGAAAACAGATTTTATCTTGTCAACAAAGTACCCTTTTATTTTTGAAAGAATTTTAAAAATTAAAATGAGTTTTAAATATTATCCTTTTGATATCTGTCATAGTAACAACACTTTATGAGAGGTGTAATAGAAATAGACCTTCTATCCTTGAAACTTTCTTGTAGTCCTGGGGTTAACTCTATCTAGTTACTTTTGATTTGAAAAAGTCTATTTGTGAATATTTTATTTAGGATCTTCACATCAATATTCACATGGAAGGATAGATAATAGTTTTATCTTTGTTTTTGGTCTTTATGTCATCTTTGTGTTTTTTGATAATTAATTTTGTATCAATTAATTAATGCCACTTATTTTTCTGCATTTTTAAAAATATAATATGGGAATTAATGGTTCCTTGAAAGTTTGAAAGAATTCTGCAATGAAATAATCTGTACCCAGGTCTTTTTTCTGGGTACTTTTTAATGACTGTGCTCAATCTTTCTTTACTTAGTTCATTTTTTTTTTTTTCAGATCTGTAGAAACTTCCAGTGTGTAGATGCTTCTGTTCTGAATTATGACTGTGATGTTCAGAAAAAGTGTCATGGACATGGGGTAGGTAATGTTTTCTTTTGGCTTGTTCCTGAAAGTAGTGCTAAATAATGAGAAATCTCAGGACTAGATGAGAGTTCCCAGGATTTTCAGATGTTGGGGAATTTAGATTCCTGATAAAATTTTCATTCTTAAACAGTGTCAGTAAGCTTGTATGAATTTAGTCCTTTCTCTTGGTTTCCATTCTTGAGTTGATGATATAGAGCAACATTCACAATTAACAAAAGTGGTATTTTGATTGTTTTGAAGGTATGTAATAGCAATAAGAATTGTCACTGTGAAAATGGCTGGGCTCCCCCAAATTGTGAGACTAAAGGATACGGAGGAAGTGTGGACAGTGGACCTACATACAATGGCAAGTAATATAGAAGAAAATTAGTGTGATCTCCCAGTGGCCCAAGGCATAAATTGGGCATCCTCGTACCTCTCCCTCACTTCCCACATCAGTTATACATTTAATTATGTTGATTCAGCCTCCTAAATTCCTTGTGACTGTTTCCATTTTTCTCATCCCCATTTATTACTTTCAATTTCTTGCCTGGACATACATCATAGCCTCTTATGTAGGCTCCCTATTTTTCATCTTGCTTCCTATAATCCATGTTTCACTCTACATTACAGTTTCAGTGTTTTCCTACAAGAATTCAGTTTTGATTTTGTCAGCGTCTTGCTTTAATTCAGTGCGTCTGCATTGCTATTAGAATGAAGTCCACAACTCCTTAACATGGGTTAAATGCCCTGCATGACTTGCCCCTAGCTTGCCTTTCAAGCCTCATTTCACTATGTTGAAGACATATTGTAACTTCTTTGATTTCCTGTACTAGGCTACTATCTTTTACCTGTGGGCTTTCATACCGTATTATTTTCACATTGTTGGCCCTTGGCTAATTGCTATTTAGGTTTCAGATTATACCTCATTTTCTAAAGAAAGTTTCCCCTGGCTGCTTAAATCTAAATTATCATTTCCTTCTATTGCTTTTCTAGTACTGTTAGCACTATCTGTTAGCACTAATTGCTATACTAATTACTGATTTGCTTTTTAAAATTCCCTGATAGACCATGAGCTCCCAGTTTATCGGTATCTTTCTAGTGACATCATATGCTTTTTTTCTCTTGGGTAACTACCAGCTAGAATGACTAGTCATATAGTAGGTGTATGTTAAGCTTTTAAAGAAACTGCCAAACTGTTTCCCAACGTGGCTATACCAGTTTACATCCTTACTAGCTGTATATGAGAGAATTCCCCCAATTTCCCCACATCCTCTCTAACAGTTGCTATTGTCAGTCTTTTTAATTTTTAGCCATTCCAGTAGGTATGTAGTGGTATTTCAGTGTGGTTTTAATTTGCATTTCTCTAATTACTAATGATGTTGAGCATCTTTTCTTGTACTTATTTGCCATCTACATATCTTCTTTGGTTATGTGTCTGTTTAAATCTTTTTTCCAGTTTTTAATGGATTGTCTTAATGAGTTTTGAAAGTTCTTTGCATGTCACTGATTCAAGTATTCAAGTTCTTTATGAAATATGTGCCTTGTATATATTTTCTCTTAGTCTGCTTACTTTGGGTTTCATTTGTTCTTTTTCTAGTTTCTTAAGGTGGAGGATGAGGTCATCTTTTTTTTTTTTTCTGATACAGACATTTTATTGCTATCAGTTTTCCTTTAATTCAGAAATTTTGACATGTTATACCTCCATGTTCATTCAGTTCTGAATACCTTCTAATATGCTTTTTTTTTCTTTGACTTACAGGTTATTTAGATATGTGCTATTTCTTTTGAAATACCTGTGGATTTTTTAGTTATCTTAATGTTACTAATTTAAATTTTACTGTAGCAAGAGAACATATTGTGTATGACTTGAATCCTTTTTTTTTTTTAAACTTGTCTTGTAGCCCAGAATGTGGTTTATCTTAGTAAAAGTTCTGTGTACACTTGAAAAGAATGCGTATTCTACTATTCTTAGGTGGAATATTCTGTAAGTTATTAGTTCATGTCAGTTAATAGGTAGTCGGATCTTTCATA
This sequence comes from Homo sapiens, assembly GCF_000001405.40. Lineage (NCBI taxonomy): Eukaryota > Metazoa > Chordata > Mammalia > Primates > Hominidae > Homo > Homo sapiens. The sequence continues at coordinate 39,084,741 of NC_000008.11, forward strand.
TCCTTACTGATTTTCTGGTCTACTTACTCTGTCAGTTATTGAGAGGAATATTGAGTTCTTTGGCTATAACTGCCAATTTGCCTATTTCTCTTAATAGTTCTATCAATTTTTGCTTTATTTATTATGATGTTCTGTTATTAGGTACATAAACACTTAGAATTATTCTATCCTCTTTGTAAATTGACTCTTTATCCTTATGAAATAGCCTTCTTTTTCCCTAGTAATATTCTCTGCCCTGCAATGAGATATTGTTAATATAGCTACTCCAGATTCCTATTAATTAGTCAGCATGGAAAATCTTTTCCCATCCTTTTACTTTTAATTTCTTTATATCATGCTATAGTAATTAGTACATATAGTTGGATCTTGCTTTTTATCTAATCTGCCATTCTCTGTCTTTCAATTAAGTTGTTTCGATAATTTATATTTAACTTGACTATTGATGTGTTTATGTTTAAATTTACTGTCTTGATATTTTCCATCAGTCTCCTTGTAGTGATATTGTAACACTTCAGTATATTTCCATTTCTCTCATTTTGTGCCATTGTTGTCACATGTTTTACTTCTACTAATGTTATAAATCCCACAATTCATTGTTACTCATTTTGCTTTGAACAGTTGATTATCTTTCAGAGACTTAATGGTAGAAAAAGTCTTTATATTTACCCATATAATTACCATTTCTGGTGTTTTTCATTTATGTAAATTTGCATTTCAATCTGATTTAATTTCTGCTTGAAGGATTTCCTTTTACATTTCTTATAATACCAGTGTGCTAGTGACAAATATTTTTAGCTTTTGTATGTCTGAAAAAGTCTTTAATTTGCCTTGCTGCTTGAATAATAATTTAACTGGGCAAGGATTTTGGGTGATAGTTTTCCTCCCGTTTTACTTCTAAGGATATTCCTTGTCTTCTGACTTGCATTGTTTTTCCTGAAAAATCTGCTATCATCCTTTTCTTTGTATATAATGTCTTCCGTATATGTCTTTTTCTAATCTCTGGTCACTTGTAATGTTTTGCTCTTTATCTCTGGTTTTTATATTGTGCCTTGGTGTAGTTGGGATTTTTTGAGCTTTTTGGATCTGTGCTTTTATAGTTTTCTTCAAATTTGGAAAATTTTTGGCCATCGTTTCTTCGAATATTTTTTTCTGTCTTCCTCTTTCTCCTCATCCAGGTCCTCCAATTTTATGTATATTTGGCTGCTTGGTGTTATTTCACATGTCACTGATTGGCTGTTGATTTTTTATTTTTGTTTTTTTTTCTTAAATTTTAATTTAACTTTACTTTTTTTGAGACAGAGTCTTGCTCTATCACCCAGGCTGGAGTGCAGTGGTATGATCTTGGCTCATGGCAATCTCTGCCTCCGGGGTTCAAGCAATTCTTATGCCTCAGCCTCCTGAGTAGCTGGGACTACAGGCGTGTGCCACCACGCCTGGCTAACTTTTGTATTTTTAGTAGAGACAGGGTTTTACGCTGTTGGCCAGGCTGGTCTCAAAGTCCTGGCCTCAAATGATTCACCCACCTCAGCCTCCCAAAGTTCTGGGATTATAAGTGTGAGCCAGCATGCCTGGCTGGCTGTTGATTTTTAAAAATTATTCCTTATTCTCCATGTTTAATTTTGAGTAACTTCTGTTACTCTTCAAGTTTACATTTCTTGTGTGAAGTCTAATTTGCCATTAACTTGATCTAGTGTGTTTTTCATTTTAGACATTGTAGTTTTTATTTCTGGAAGTTCCATTTGTTTCTTTTATATATCTTTCATGACTCTACATAAGATGCTCAATCTTTACTTTTTTGAACAAATAGAATACAGTTGTAATAACTGCTAATGTCCTTGTCTACTAATTCTGTCATATGGGTAATTTCTCAGTTTTGATATTTTTCCCTCTTTTATTTTCTGTATTTTTGTAGGCCTTATACATTTTTATTAGATGCCAGAAGTTTTAAATCCTACTTTGTGGGTTATTGGATATTTTTGGATTTCTATTGATGAGGTTTGTACTAGTATGTTTGAGTTACGTCGACATAGTTTGATCCTTCTGGGTCTTGCTTTTAAGCTTTTAAGGCAGGACCTGAATAGCATTTAGTCTAGGGCTGATTCTGCTTCATTACTGAGGCAAAACCACTTCTGTTTATCCTGCTTAGTACCACGTTAATTATGAGATTTCCCACTGAATTATAGGAGCAAGTGCTCTTCCTAGTCCTGTGTGAGCTGTGGGGCTTATTTCCACCAATCTTTTCACATGGTTCTTTCTCCAGCTTCATGTGGTCTCCTTACATGCATATATCCATCAGCACCGATGCAGATCTTTCAGCTTTTTCTCTGTAGCTCTCTTCCCTTTGGTACTTTGCCTAGGAACTGTAGCTGCCTTGCCCTCTTCAGAATACCAGCTCCATCTCTTTAACTGAGGGAGACCACTGGGTTTTGCTTTGGTGCCCACACCCGAGTGTCTGTTAACTTTCTTTAGGCACTAACCTTGGACAATTCTAAGGCTCACATTTTTTTTTTCTGCCTCTCAGGGATCATTGCTCTTTGTTGCCTGATGTCCAGTGTCTTGAAAACTGTTGTTTCATATATTATGTCTGGTTTTCTGGTTATTTTAGCTGGCAGAGTAAATCTGGTCCCTGTTATTCCACCTTGGCTATAACTGGAAGTCAGAACTATGGATTTTAATGGCTGTGTATCATTTCATCCAGTGGATGTGCTATAACTTCACTTAGCTGTTTTCTAATTATTTGACATTTAGATTGTTTCTAAGGTTTTGATAACTCACTGTTAACATTGTAGTGTACATGTTAATGTGTATGCATTTTTCCAATTGAAGAATCAATTGCCAGTAATGAGATTAGTTTGAAGAGAATAATCCTTTTTATGGTTCTTTTAGGAGTAAAAATTCCTAATAAATGATACATTTGTGTAATGCCACTAACAGTGCGAAGGTATCAGTTTCAAAATAATCTTGCCAGTGTTGAATGCTTTAATTTAAATTTTGTGTACTCATTAGTAAGTATAAAATGATATATGAAGCTTGCTTTAATTTTTTATACAGTTGACCGTTGAACAATGCAAAGGTTAGGGGCTCCAACTCCCTGCATAGTTGAAAACCCATGTGTAACTTTTGGCTTCCCCAAAACTTAACTACGAATAGTCTGCTGTTGACTGGAAGACTTACCAATAACATAAACAGTTGATTACCATAGATTTTGTCTGTTATATGTATTATATACTGTATTATTATAATAAAGCAAGCTAGAGAAAAGCAAATTTATTAAGAAAATCATAAGAGAAAATATATATACTATTCATTAAGTGGAAGTAGATTATCATAAAGACCTTCATCCTCATCATCTTCCTGTAGAGTAGGCTGAGGAGGAGGAGGAAGAGGAGAGGTTGGTCTCAGGGGTGGCAGAAACACAAGATAGCCTGCATATAAGTGGACCTGCACAGTTCAAACCCACATTGTTCCAGGGCCAACTGTATTTTGATTTTCAGTTGGGATAAATATTGTTTCATATAGTTTTATACAACTTTTTTTTTTTTTGAGATGGAGTCTCGCTCTGTTGCCCACGCTGGAGTGCAGTGGTGCAATCTCGGCTCCGCCTCCCGGGTTCATGCCATTCTCCTGCCTCAGCCTCCCGAGTGGCTGGGACTACAGGCGCCTGCCACCACGCCCAGCTAATTTTTTTTTGTATTTTTAGTAGAGACGGGGCTTCACCATGTTAGCCAGGATGGTCTCGATCTCCTGACCTTGTGATCCGCCTGCCTCGGCCTCCCAAAGCGCTGGGATTACAGGTGTGAGCCACTGCGCCCGGCCAGTTTTATACAACTTTTTACAGAAATTTCTGGTTCTTTTACAAACTTAAAATTATGAATCAGTTTACCACTCCCGTTTATATCTACTATATTGTTTCTCAAAAGAACACAGAACAGATAAAATACTTAAAGAATTTGTAAAAGTTCTAATGAAACTTAAAATCTAGAAGGCGTAAAAATAAGATTGATAAATTCAACTATACAAAAATAATAAACTTTTCCGTGGAGAAAAGCATAGTGCCATAGGTTAAAATGGGGAAAATATTTCCAACTTGTATCATGGACAAAGCTAATCTCTCTAATATATAAAGAACTTTTAGAAATTAAGAAGAAAAAAGCAAGAGTCCAGTAGAAAAACAGTCAAAGGACTGAGCAGAAAAAAATAAATAATGTTTCCTTAAGAAAAAAGTGAGGCCAGGCACGGTGGCTCACGCCTGTAATCCCAGCACTTAGGGAGGCCGAGGCGGGCAGATCATGAGGTCAGGAGTTGGAGACCATCCTGGCCAACATGGTGAAACCTGTCTCTACTAATAATACAAAAAAATTAGCTGGGCGTGGTGGCGCATACCTGTAATCCCAGCTACTCGGGAGGTGGAGGCAGCAGAATCGCTTGAACCCAGGAGGCAGAGGTTGCAGTGAGTGGAGATCGTGCCATTGCACTAGCCTGGGCAACAGGGTGAGACTCCATCTCGGGAAAAGAAAAGAAAAAAAAATTATCAACTCATAGTATAAAAAAATGTAAATTAAAATTCTATAAGAGAAAATTTTTCACCTGCCTGGTTGGCAAAAATCCGGAAATTTGGCTCTGTGGGTGAGGCTATGGGGAATTCTTATATATTGCTTGTAATATTCTTATAAATTGTAACCATTACTATTGAAAGACAATTTGACAATACCTAAAAGAAATGATGAATGCACTTATTTATTGATACAGCATTTCTGCTTTAGGGAAATTATTCTGTAGTTATTATACCTGCACTAATATGATACAACATATGTGCAAGGTTATTCATTATAGCAGTTTTTTTGGTAGTAGCAAAAGATTGGAAAAATATAAGTGTTTATCAGTAGGGTACAAGTTAAATAAACTCTAGAACATCTTCACAATGGAGTTTCATATAGCTGTATGGAAAACGAGGAGGTCCACTATGTACAGATAAGTGGAAAAAAACTGATGCACCAAATGGTATATAAATAGTATGCTACCTTTTGTGTAAGAAAGTGTTGACAGTAGAAACGTATTTTGTTCTTGATTGTTTGCTCGAAGAAATACTGTAAGGTTACAGAAGAAACTAATAAAAGTGGTTATTTTTGTGAAGGCAGAAGTAAAGCGGACAGGAATGAACTTTGTGGAAGACTTCTCAATATATTCAATTAATATCAGTTTGATTTTTGAGTAATGTGAAAATTAATGTAAAGTGTTTATAATCATCTAGTATTTTCTGCCTAGTATGAGTTTGGTGACTGTTGATGTAAAATTCTTCTCTCTAGAAATGAATACTGCATTGAGGGACGGACTTCTGGTCTTCTTCTTCCTAATTGTTCCCCTTATTGTCTGTGCTATTTTTATCTTCATCAAGAGGGATCAACTGTGGAGAAGCTACTTCAGAAAGAAGAGATCACAAACATATGAGTACTTAGATTTTTTTCTTTTAATTCCTATATTAAATATATACATACATTTTCTGAGACAGAATCTCGACTTCCCTGGGCTCAGGTGATTCCCCCTGCCTCAGCCTTCCAAGTAGTTGGGATTACAGGCACACCACCACACCCAGTTAATTTTTATATTTTTTTGTAGAGATGGGGTTTCGCCATGTTGCCCGGGCTGGTCTTGAACTTTTTGAAGCCATCCATCTGCCTCAGCCTGCCAAAGTGCAGGGATTACTGGAGTGAGCCTCCACGCTCAGCCTATATTAAATAATTTATAAAGTATTAATGCTGATAGTCATATCACCAGAGATTGGTAATCCTCTAAAATAGGGTTCTAAGTTATTTCTCTGACCTTTTGACATGATTAGCATGGGTTGAAAGGTGGTGGTGACCAAGCCACCTCTTTTAATGGGGAGGAGAAAGGCTTATGTTGGTCAGCCTTTAGGCTGCTGAAAGTGACCCTCAGGGTTCATTTTGCTTAACACCAATTTCTGATAGAGGACTAAGTAGATACTTCGTATCATACTTCCAACTGACCAGTCTATGCAAATAACTCCCCCATCTGCATTTTTGAAGTTTGAGTTCCATAACTACAGCTATCTTTCATACATCTCCACTGCACTGATTTGCTGTCACTTCAGCATGTCTAAAACTTACCTATTACCTTTCCAGCCAATCCATTCACTACCCTTGGATTTCCTAATTTTTAAAATGACTACTTGGCAACCTGAGAATATGCTTTTACTCTTCTCTGATTTTAGGAAGACTTGAGAAAAGTTAGGGAACATTGGCCTAATTGACCAAATTTCACAATTTCTTAAAATTTCAGTTTAATTATAAAATGTGGTTAGTAATGCTTTCTAATACCATAAGGATTAAAAATACGTGAAAGCTGTTAAAATGCCCTAAAAATTTAAACCGTATCATGATTATCATCCCCACCACTACCAACATCATTATTCTGTATTTGGGAAAATGCAAAATGTGTGTAATATTTCATGTAGAAATGTTTTTATCTTAATTTAGATCAAAAGTAATTGTATCTTTCAGGTCAGATGGCAAAAATCAAGCAAACCCTTCTAGACAGCCGGGGAGTGTTCCTCGACATGTTTCTCCAGTGACACCTCCCAGAGAAGTTGTAAGTATAAAATGAAAAATTATTTTTCTTTACTGTATTAAAGGATCAAATGCTTAAGGATTAAAAACACAGTTATATAGCTATAGCTAGAAACATAGATACCTTCTTAAGAATTCAAGAGTATTGTAGGTGGTCCCTGAGTTTTTTGTTTTTGTTTTCGAGACAGAGCCTTGCTCTGTTGCCCGGGGTGGAGTACTGTGGCACAATTGCGTCTCATTGCAACCTCTGCCTCCCAGTTTCAAATGATTTCGTGCCTCAGCCTCCCGAGTAGCTGGGATTACAGGTGTGTACCACCACGCCTGGCTAATTTTTGTATTTTTCATAGAGACGGGGTCTCACCGCATTGGCCAGGCTGGTCTTGAACTCCTGACCTCAAGTGATCCACCCGCCTTGGCCTCCCAAAGTGCTGGGATTACAGGTATGAGCCACTGTGCCCTGCCCCCTGAGTTCTTTAAAGGAAAACCAGCGGAGTCCTTGGCTCAGAGGACACAGAAAAAGACAGCTGGACATTAGGAATGCCTTGCCTAGCAACCAGGATTGGGAAATGACATGGGACGTATGCTATCACTGCTTTTTTCTGTGTCTGCTCTTTTCCTATTTTCAATACCTGTCTCCATCTCCCTATGGGATGTTACCAAAGACCTGGTGCTGAGCTCTTGGATCGGCCTAATTGTCTAAGCTGTAGGACTGATAGTCACTGTTCTGCAAGTGTATTAGGGAGTGTTTAGATCATGATATACTTTTATTGAGTGTTTAGATCATGATATACTTTTATTGATCTGCATGTATCCCTAAGCAATATGTAATTTTTTAATGTTTTAAAACTTTTAAGAACGTTTTATTTGATAATTTGCACATATATCTGCAACCTGTTTTTCCCCTTAATGTCACTTTGTGATTTATCTCTATCGATAGATATAGCTGTGATTCATTCATTTTCACTGTTGAAAATGATTAGAAATCCTTCATTTTTTAATATATTTATACACACACACACACACACACACACAATCTCCCTATTCCACCCCCTTTATCTTTATAAAAAGGAGACAAAAATCGTTAGGCCCTTTCTCCTCTTAACCATGTATCTTGGAGATTTTTCCATGTTGTTATGTATACAGGATGGCCACAAAGGCCATATGCATGCTAGTTCAAAATTATCTGTATACTCTTCTTCATCATTGCCATATATGTATATATTTCTTATTTGGTTTTGGCAAAATATATATAAAATTTGCCATTTTAACCATTGTTTTCAAGATTTTTTTGTAAATTTAACAGTAGTGGTAAAAAAAAAACCCACTAATATTTACCATCTTAACAATTTTTACATGTACAGTGCAGTACTCCTAAGAATATTTACCTATGTTTTCTTTTAGTAGTTTTATAGTTTCAGGTCTTATGTTTAAATCTTTAATCCAGTTTGAGTTGATTTTTGTATATGGTATGAAATACCAGTTCATTTTCATTTTTCTTCATGTGGATATGAAGTTGTCCCAACACTATTAATTGAAGTGACTGTCCCTTCTTCATTGTGTATTCTTGGCACCTTCGTTGAAGATTAGCTGACCATAAAGTTGTGGATTTGGGGTTCTCTATTCTGTTCCATTTGTCTTTATGTCTGTTTTATGCCAGTAGTATGCCATTTTAATTAGTATAGCTTTGCAGTATATTTTGAAATTTGGTAATGTGATGCTTCTAGCTTTGTTCTTTTTGCTCAAGATTGGTTTAGTGATTCTGGGTCTTTTGTGGTTCCATATGAATTTTAGTATTTTTTCTATTGTTACAAAAATTGTCATTGGAATATTAATAGATATTGCATTGAATCTGTAGTTTGCTGTGGTTATTTTAATATTAACTCTTCCAGTCAGTGAGCATGGGATATCTTTCCATTTATTTATGTCTTCAATTCCTTTCATCAATGTTTCATAGATTTCCTTGTACAGATACTTATTTTTTGTGGTTAAATTTATTCCTATATTATTTATGTATGTATTTTTGATGTCATTCTAAATGGAATTTTTTTTCTGGATTTCTTTTTCAGATAGCTTGTTGTAGTGTATAGAAATACTAGTGATTTTCATATGTTGATTTTGTATTATGCAACTTTAGTGAATTCATTAGTTCTAACAGTTTTTTGGTTGACTCTTTAGGGTTTTCTATATAAAAGACCATGTCATCTGCAAACAAGGACAGTTTTACTTCTTCCTTTCCAATTTGGATGTCTTTTATTTCTTTTTCTTGCCTAACTGCTCTGGTTAGAACTTCTAGTACTATATTGAGTAGAAGTGGTAGGAGTGGACATCCTTGTCTTATTCCTGATCTTAGAGGAAAAGCTTTCAGTTTTTCATTGTTCAGTATGAAGTTAGCTGTGGGCGTGTGATGTACAGCCTTTATTGTTCTGAGGTTCATTATTTCTTTCTTTCTTTTTCTTTGTTTTTGAGATAGAGTCTCGCTCTGTCACCCAGGCTGCAGTGCAGTGGCACGATCTCGGCTTACTGCAACCTCTTTCTCACAGGTTCAAGTGATTCTCCTGCCTCAGCCTCCTGAGTAGCTGGGATTACAGGCATGTGCCACCCTGCCCAGCTAATTTTTATATTTTTAGTAGAGAGACAGGGTTTTGCCATATTGGCCAGGCTGGTCTTGAACTCCGGACCTCAGGTGATCCACCTGCCTCGGCCTCCCAAAGTGCTGGGATTACAGGCGTGAGCCACCATGCCTGGCCCAGTTTGTTCTTTCTATACAAATTTGTTGAGAGTTTTTATCATGAAAGAATGTTGAAATTTGTCAAATGCTTTTCCCTCATTTCTTAAAATGATCACATGGTTTTTGTTAGTCTATGTTCTTCATTTCTGTTTTTTGTTTGTTAATGTTGTTATTTATTGATTTGAATATGTTAAACCATCCTCGCATCCCCAGAATAAATCCCACTTGGTCATTGGGAAATATCCTTTTATGTGCTGCTGAATTCAGTTTGCTAGTATTTTGTTGAAGATTTTTGCATCTGTGTTCATAAAGGATATTGGCCTGTAATTTTCTTTTCTTGTGGTGTCCTTGTCTGGCTTTGGTTTCAGGGTAATGCTGGCCTTGTAAAATGAGTTTGGAAATATTCCTTCCTCTTCAAGTGTTGGGAAGAGTTTGAGAAGGATTGCATTAGTTCTTCTTTAAATGTTTGGTAGAATTCATCTGTGACTTTATCAGGTCCTGAGTTTCTTTAATGGGAGACTTTTTAAAGTTACTAATTCAATCTCCTTACTTATTATTGATCTTTTCAGATTTTTTATTTTGTCTTGATTCAGTCTGGATAGGTTGTATGTTTCTAGGAATTTATTTTTTTCTAGGTTCAATTTGTTGGTGTATGATTGTTCATAGCAGTCTCTTATAAAACTTTCTATTTCTGTGGTATCAGCTGTAATGTCTTCTCTTTCATTTCTGATTTTGATTCCTCTTTCTTTTTTTCTTAGTCTACTTAATGGTGTGTTAATTTTATTTATCTTTTCAAAAAACCAACTCTTAGTTTTATTGATTCTATTAATACTATTTTTCCAGTATTTCATTCATTTTTGCTCTGAACTTCACTATTCCCTTTCTTCTACTAACTTTAGGCTCAGATTGTTCCTCTTTTTCTAGGTCTTGAGGTGTAACATTAGGTTATTTGAGATTTTTTAAAAAATGTAGGCACTTATTGGTATAGACTTGCTATAAACTTCCCCCTTAGAATTGCTTTTTCTGTGTTGCATACATTTTGTTATGTTGTGTTTCTATTTTTGTTGTCTCAAGATATAGTTGTTTCTTGGTACACATTGGGGATTGGTTCCAGGACCCCTACATATAGCCCAATCTGCCTATACTCAATTAATTCTGTTGGCCCTGTAGAACCCACATATAGGAAAAGTTGGCCCTCTGTATATGTGGGTCATGAATACTGTATTTTCAATCTGTGTTTGGTTGAAAAATATCTGCATATAGATGTACCTGTGCAGTTCAAACCCGTGTTGCTTAAGTGTCAGCTATATTTTAAAATATTTCTTTTTATCTGTCATTGACCAAGTGATTGTTTAGGAGCATGTTGTTTAATTTTCATGTATTTGTGACTTTCCTAAATTTCTTCAGTTATTGATTTTGAGTCCTAATATTGTAGTTGGAAAACATACTTGATGTCAGTCTTTTAAAATTTGTTAAGGCTTGTTTTGCAGTTTAACATATTATTTGTCCTGGAGAATGTTCTGTGTGCGTTTGAGAAGAATGTGTATTCTGCTTTTGTTGGATGGAATGTGTCTATTAGATCTGTTTTGTTTAAAGTCTAGTTTGAGCCAAATGTTTTCTTACTGATTTGTTGTCTGGATGACCTATCTGTTGTTGAAAGTGAAGTATTGAAGTTTCCTAGTAGTATTGGGTTGCTATTTAGCTCTCTCTCCAGATTAATTAATATTCGCTTTATATATTTAGGTGCTCTAAATTGGCTGCATATGTATTTACAGTTGTTATATCCTTGTGATGAATCGACACCTTTACCATTAATGCACTTTTTCATCTCTGTTTTTATTGTTTTTGATGTTACATCATTTTGTCTGATGTAAGTATTGCTATCCTTGTTCTCTTGGTTTCCATTTGCACAGAATACTTACTCATATTTAAAAGAATTACTGATAGATGGGGACTTACTATTGCTATTTTGTTTTTGACCCTTCCTTCTTCCCTTGCTGCATTCTTTTGTATTTCTTTTTAATTAAAAAAATCAATTATGGATACATAATAGTTGTACATATCACATGGGGTACATGTGATATTTTGAAACAAGCATATAGTGTGTAATGATCAAATCAGGGTAATTGGGATAGTCATCACCTCAAGGATTTATCATTTCTATGTTAGGAACATTCCAACTCTACTCTTTTAGCTATTTTGAAATATACAATAAATTAATCATTTTCTTTGTTTTTTTGTAGTAATATTTTGATTCTCATTTTCCTTTGTGCATATTCTATAGCACATATATTGTGATATCTTTGCAATTACATAAAATATTTTATAAATTTATAGCAATCTATTTTAAACTGATTACTTCAATCACAAAAACTCTACCCCTTTATATTTCTTCTTCTTCCACTTTATGTAACTGATGACACAAAATTACCTCTTTTTATATTGCTTATCATTAACACAGATTCATTACTTTTTATGCTATGCTTTTAACATTCTAACAAGATTTAAAAGTGATTTTCACACTCACATTACAGTACTACAGGATTCTCTGTCTATACACTTACCATTATTATCGAGTTTTATATTTTCATATGGTTTTGTGTTGCTATTTATTTTCCTTTCTCTTCACCTTTTTTGCTCCTCTGCCACTTTGATTTTGAATATACTAGTCTTTGAGTCCACTGATGCTTTCTTCTGCCTCATCATGTTTGTTGTTGAATCCTTTTAGTGAATCTTTCAATTTAGCATTACAGTAGTTTTCAGCTCCAGAATTGCTGTTTGGTTCTTCTTTATAGTTCCTGTCTCTTTGTTGATATTCTCATTTTGTTCATACATCATTTTCCTGATTTCTTTTAGTTGTCCATCTGCATTCTCTTTTAATTTTTTGAACATCATTATGATGGTAATTTTTGAATTCTTTGGTAATTTATATATATCTGTTTCCTTAGGGTCAGTTTCTGGAGATTGAGTTTGTTTCTTTAAATGTGCCATGTTTCTATTTCTTTGTATTATTTGTCATTTATTATTGGGATTTTGGCATTTGAAGAATTAGCTGCCTTTCTCAGATTTTGCAGCCTTGTTTTGTACAAGGAGGACTTACGCTACTCAGCCTGGCTAGAGATTCTGGTAGCCTCTCAAATCTTTTTTGGGGATGTGTCCTCTGTGAGGTTTTTTTCTGCAGTCTCCTAATTGTGGAGGTTTGCTAGTTTCTACTCAAGAGCACCCCCAGGTGTCTGTGATACTGTGGTCTCTCTGACTTTTTTTTTTTTTTTGAGACAGAGTCTTTCTCGGTTGCCCAGGCTGGAGTGCAGTGGTGCCATCTCGGCTCATTGCAACCTCCGCCTCCCAGGTTCAAGCAATTCTCCTGCCTCAGCCTCCTGAGTAGCTGGGAATACAGGCATGCGCCACTACTCCCAGCTAATTTTTGTATTTTTTAGTAGAGATGGGGTTTCACCATATTGGCCAGGCTGGTCTCGAACTCCTGACCTCGTGATCCGCCCGCCCTGGCCTCCCAAAGTGCTGGGATTACAACTTGAGCCACTGAGCTTGGCCTGTTGTCTAGTATTTTAAGTCTTTTTTTTAAAAAAATTCTACAATATAGATATGACTATTGAATTATGAAATGTTTGTTTAGGTTTGTGAGGCCATACACCAATTAAATTAATTAAGAGGATGGACTGTGAGCCAAACTGCCCAGTTTGAGTACTGCCTTTGTCACTTTATAAGCTGTGACTTTAGGCAAGATTCTCAAACTCTTTCTGTACTTGTTTCCTCATCTGTAAAATAATAATAGTACTAATCACAAATGACTTTTGTGAAAATCAGAGGGATTCGTATGTGTGGAGCACTGAGAAGTGCTTGTGGCACATGTGAAGTGCTCTGTGAGCTTTAGCTATTTTCCCATGTGTTGATTGTCTGCTTTCAACCTTATTGAATCTCAGCTTATTTTTCTGATATATCTACTTCAACTGGGTATCTTTTAGAAGTTCCCTTAGCGAAGGTATTTTGGTAGTAAATTCTGTCAGTTTTTGTCTTTTCCGGATGTTTTTGGCTGACAGCTTTTTTTTTTCCTAAGAACTTTAAATAGACTATATTTTAACATCCTTTGTTGCAATTTAAACATTGTCTGTTACTCTAATTGATGCTGTAGATGATATCTTTTCCATGTGGCTTTTTCTTCTGTATCTTTAGACTATTTGGTGTAGATGTGGACTTAAAAAAACTCCTTTGCCAGTAAATAGACTTCCGGAGTTGATTTACATTTTTCAGTTCTAGCAAATTCTTAGCAATTATTTCTTTATTGCCTCTGTCTCATTATCTAATTAACTCTTTCATGCATTTCTTGCATGTTAGACTTTTTACTATCTCTGTTTCTTAACCTCTCTTTGGTATTTCCAATATTCTTGTGTATTCCATTCTGATTATATTGGATCTACCTTCTATTCACTAAGTCTCTACTAAACTATGCCAAATCTACTTAACCAACTCATTGAATATCTCATTTCACTAGTTTTATAGTACATTTAATTCCTGTAGTTCTACTTAGTTCTATTTCGAATCTGCCTGGTTATTTGTGATTGTTTGTTATAGTTTTATTATCTGTTTTAAAGCTTTTATTTCTTAAAGCATATTCAAACACCTAATTTTTGTGCTGTATCTGATCATTTTAATATGTATGCCCTTGGTGGGTTCTCAGGTTTGTTATTTCTGCTGACTCTCGTGATGGCTCATTTCTTAGTGCCCTTGTGATGTTGATTGTAAACTCACCTTCTTTGGAACTTTATATTGGAAATAAATATATTTGAATCCTGAATTATAGTGGGTTCCTACCGAGAGTATTTTTCTTTGCCAGATGCTTGGGGGCATGGTCAATCTTTGATGTCTTTAAACTGAAATTTTTGTTGATATATATATATTTTTTTGCCACACAAATGTTAGGAACTCTGGTCCCCAAACTCTTATGAGGATGGGTGTGTGGTAAGAATTTCTCCATGGAGACTATTTTTTTAGTTCCCCATCTATCAGCACCAAGGCAGTATCACCACGGGCCTTCCTTGAGGCAGGTTTTTGTTTTTCTAGTTAACCCATGGGGATACCACCCTTCATATGTCTAGGCTTTGTATAGGGCCTTGTATTCACCATTCCATCCAGCTCAGGCCCCAGCTTTTGCCTCCTTTATCTATGGGTCACTGAAAACGCATACTGCCACCTGCCAAGGATAGGAAGATTTCCACAGGACAAAGGCAACTCCGTAGTTTGGACTCTTTCATACGTTCTTGGTTTTTTTTTGGCCTGTAAGATGTTTCTTACTTCCCACCAACCCAGCCAAGTGTTTCAAAATACCTTTTAAATATTTTAGGCAGCATTTTAGGTGTACTGTACTGGGAAGTTTCCTCTGGACATTTGGTCCACTATTTGCAAGAAGTGAACATGTACTTCATTGTTTTTAATAACCGCATGCTGTTCCCTCTTATAAATTTACCAGAAATTTAAAAACAGGTTGTTTCCAGTCTTATACCATAAAAAAATGTGGCACCAAGCATCCTTGTAAATAGATCTTTGCATACATTTAAAAGTATATGTCAGATAAATGCCAAAAAAGATTAAAATTTTTTTAAATTAATTTTAGTTTTAATTGGCAAATCATAGTTGTATACATTTATGGGGTACAGCATGATGTTTTATGTAAACAATGTGGAAGTGATTAAATCAAGCTAATTAACATATCCAGCACCTTGCTTGCTTGTAATCTTTAGCTTGTTTTCATTAATTTATATTTAATTGACAAATAATAATTGTGTATATTTTGGGGTATCGTGTTTGTTTTTTTTTTTTTTTTTTTTTTGAGATGGAGTCTCGCTGTGTTGCACAGGCTGGAGTGCAGTGGCATGATCTCGGCTCATTGCAACCACTGCCTCTCGGGTTCAAGCAATTCTTCTGCCTTAGCCTCCTGAGTAGCTGGAATTACAGGCGTGCGCCATCATGCCCGGGTGATTTTTTTGTAGAGACGGGGTTTTGCCATGTTGGCCAGGCTGGTCTTGAACTCCTGACCTCATGTGATCCACCTGCCTCAGCCTTCCAAAGTGTTGTGATTACAGGCGCCTGGCCACAATGTGATGTTTTGGTCTATGTATACCTTGTTGTAAGATTCAGTCGGCTGGGCGCGGTGGCTCATACTTGTAATCCCAACACTTTGGGAGGCTGAGGTGGGCGGATCATGAGGTCAGGAGATGGAGACCATCCTGGCTAACATGGTGAAACCCCGTCTCTACTAAAAATACGAAAAAAAAATTAGCCAGGCGTGGTGGTGGGTGCCTGTAGTCCCAGCTACTCGGGAGGCTGAGGCAGGAGAATGGTGTGAACCTGGGAGGCGGAGCTTGCAGTGAGCTGAGATCGCGCCACTGCACTCCAGCCAGGGCGACAGAGCCAGACTCCGTCTCAAAAAAAAAAAAAAAAGATTCAGTGAAGCTAATTCCCATACCCATCACCTCACCACATTGTCATTCCAAAAGTGGACTTGATCCCTTTAGAGTGCTGTTCCTATGGCTTGTGGAAAGGGATGGAGACATTTTGTTGCATTTTTCACCCATTTTCACAGTACATATAAATCATTCTGTGGGGAAAAAAATTGCAGATGATAGACCACCTGTTCTATGGTAGAAGCCAGAGGGTGCTCAAGGTCTTCACCACCACTGTGCATTCTCTGCCAGTCATAGAACTTTAGGAGTTAACAGTAGATAGTAAAGAACATCTTGGTCAAGGTCACTTCATCATTGATTTAGTAATTCCATCTGATCATTCCTAACGTCTTATAGTGTAATGTGATATGTGAAAAATATTACTTTTACTTTCTTATTTGAGGCTAAGTTATACAGTTTCACTTTGTTGTAAACTTCAACTACTTCATCAAGGAAGGATATAATGAATTCCAAAACCGAGGATTCTAGCTGAGTGGTTTTTATAGTATTAGTTAGATACTGTATAGGTTTGGCAATACATTTTGGAAGATTTTATTTAAAATACATTGACATAGGAAATATGTTACCTTCTAACTAATACAGTTGGTTTGAACCAAGATCTTAGTACTTTGGTATTACTGAATTTAAAAAAATACCTTAAAAGAATTAAGTATTCCACATTCAGTGGTAAAGATATGTCAAATAAGCAAAATATTTTTGACTGTCAGCATTATAAATAAATACAGGTTGAGCACCCCTAATCTGAAAATCCAAAGTGCTCCAAAACCCAAAACTTTCTGAGCACCAACATGATGCCACAGGTGGAAATTTCCACACCTGCCCTCATGTGATGAGTTGCAGTCAGAATGCACTGTTTAGTACTTATATGTGAATAAATCTAAGAAAATGATTGCTTACCAGTAGTATATAAATTCAGAGTCAGGAGTGATGGTGAGCCAAACAACCACAGATTGTCCACATGAGGGGCTGAGAGAGTAACACCTTTGCTTTCTGATGGTTCAGCATACACAGACATTATTTTATGCACAAAATTATTTAAAATATTGTATAAAATTACCCTGAGGTTATATGTATGAGGCCTATATGAAACATCAATGACTTTTCTGTTTAGACTTGGGTCCCGTCCCCAAAATATCTGATTATGTACGTGCAAATATTCCAAAATTGGAAAAAAAATCTGAAATTTGAAACTCTTCTGGTTCTAAGCATTTCTGATAAGGAATATTCAACTGTAGTCTGTTTATTGATTTTAAATATGTAGATTTCTTCTATTTAGAAATCATATTTATGAGCACATAGTGGTAATAACCTTATTTTTTTTTTCTTTTTAGCCTATATATGCAAACAGATTTGCAGTACCAACCTATGCAGCCAAGCAACCTCAGCAGTTCCCATCAAGGTCAGAAGAAAATTTGCTTAGATTTTTTGGCCAGAATAAAACCTAGGGGTTAATGTCTAATAATTTCCCCTGTATTTTAATGTAATTTAGTGAAAGGTATTTATTGTCAACAGTTTACAAGAATATGATTTGCAGAAAGGTTTTAAAATAACTTTATATAAATTTTATCATATTGGTACAGGGTCAAAATGAAATATTAAATAAGCTTGAGCAAGACAGATTCTGCTGCCACAGCTTTCATGTGCATACGATTTAGAAGCAAGGGCCTTTGAGATAACCAGCAGTAGGAAACCAGATGGGTTGGAACAGCCTTCCCGTCAAAAACAGCTAAAAAAGCTGGACAATATAAGAAAATATGTGTTTGAAGGCATAGAAGACTAAAGAAGTGAGGAATTGTGGGGGTAAGGTCAGGAGAGGAAGGAAATCTAGAAATGATCCCAGCTTTGGGGGCCACTTTTCCTTCCTAGATGAGTTTACCTGTTCTGACAACAGAGAGGCTAGGAAGCTGAGGAGAGCTTTCTACAAACTCACAGGGCAGAGGGGACAAAATTTAGAATCCTGCCAAAGAGGAGGCACCCTGGCAAACATCTCAGGGTCTGTGCTGGGACCCAGAAGTAAGAGTGAACTAGACCTTCAACTGATTTCTACAATTTCTTATGTTTTGCTCATGATCAAAAAAAGCCAAGTGTAAAAGAAAAGAAAATATGACTAAAACCAAGAAACAATAGACCATAGAAACAGACTGAGATGGTATCCAGTTAATAGACATGGACTTTAAAATAACTATGATGTCATGGAATTAAAAGTCAAGATTGAGAATTTCAGCACAGAACTAAAAACTAAAAGAATCAATGCAAATTCTAGAACTGAAAAACACAGGAACTGAAGTGACTCAATGGATGGGCTTAAAATCATCAGGAAGGAAGATAATTTATTACTTCATTTTGTATCACATAAAATGCAAATGCATGTGACCCTCCCATCCCCTAGAAGTCTTTCAAATTACAATTGCGTTGCAACTCTGAGGACTATCTTCATATGTAATCTTTATTATACAGTAAGAATACATTGAAATCCGACTGAGGATCAGGGAAAGAGTATATAAATTGTGAGGGAAACATTCACCAGGTAGTGTTCTAGTGTTACTGGAGTAGAGGTGTACTAGAATTGGATGATGAGGTTAGGAGCGGGTGTCCACAGGTGGAAGTATGAGGTTTGAGATGGACAGGTATAGAAGTCATAACACTTTTAATTCTCAGAGTGAATCTCATGTTGAGGGAGCTATAAACAGCTAGGTTTACACCAGCAGTAATTTGCTGCCCTCAAATTCTAACAGCACAGGCAAGTGCTTGATCACTTAGTGTACTCACTTGTCTTTTACAGTTTATCTTTACCATTTCATGTGCTTTTTTTTTTTTTGAAAAAACATGTAAACTAGAACCTTCATACAACATTGTTGATTATGGAGTAATATTATTTAAAGTAGTTATTCCATTTTAGACTCTAATTGGAGCCTTTTAGCCATTGAATATCACCCTAATACTGATCTCAGAATGTACAGTACCCTTTCCTGTTGTCAGAGATGTTGAGGATGGTGTTATGTTGAGCTTGTAATGAATATGGCATTATTTCACCCAGTCTAAACACTCTATTAACTATCTCTTTTCCCCTCGCAGGCCACCTCCACCACAACCGAAAGTATCATCTCAGGGAAACTTAATTCCTGCCCGTCCTGCTCCTGCACCTCCTTTATATAGTTCCCTCACTTGATTTTTTTAACCTTCTTTTTGCAAATGTCTTCAGGGAACTGAGCTAATACTTTTTTTTTTTCTTGATGTTTTCTTGAAAAGCCTTTCTGTTGCAACTATGAATGAAAACAAAACACCACAAAACAGACTTCACTAACACAGAAAAACAGAAACTGAGTGTGAGAGTTGTGAAATACAAGGAAATGCAGTAAAGCCAGGGAATTTACAATAACATTTCCGTTTCCATCATTGAATAAGTCTTATTCAGTCATCGGTGAGGTTAATGCACTAATCATGGATTTTTTGAACATGTTATTGCAGTGATTCTCAAATTAACTGTATTGGTGTAAGAGTTTTGTCATTAAGTGTTTAAGTGTTATTCTGAATTTTCTACCTTAGTTATCATTAATGTAGTTCCTCATTGAACATGTGATAATCTAATACCTGTGAAAACTGACTAATCAGCTGCCAATAATATCTAATATTTTTCATCATGCACGAATTAATAATCATCATACTCTAGAATCTTGTCTGTCACTCACTACATGAATAAGCAAATATTGTCTTCAAAAGAATGCACAAGAACCACAATTAAGATGTCATATTATTTTGAAAGTACAAAATATACTAAAAGAGTGTGTGTGTATTCACGCAGTTACTCGCTTCCATTTTTATGACCTTTCAACTATAGGTAATAACTCTTAGAGAAATTAATTTAATATTAGAATTTCTATTATGAATCATGTGAAAGCATGACATTCGTTCACAATAGCACTATTTTAAATAAATTATAAGCTTTAAGGTACGAAGTATTTAATAGATCTAATCAAATATGTTGATTCATGGCTATAATAAAGCAGGAGCAATTATAAAATCTTCAATCAATTGAACTTTTACAAAACCACTTGAGAATTTCATGAGCACTTTAAAATCTGAACTTTCAAAGCTTGCTATTAAATCATTTAGAATGTTTACATTTACTAAGGTGTGCTGGGTCATGTAAAATATTAGACACTAATATTTTCATAGAAATTAGGCTGGAGAAAGAAGGAAGAAATGGTTTTCTTAAATACCTACAAAAAAGTTACTGTGGTATCTATGAGTTATCATCTTAGCTGTGTTAAAAATGAATTTTTACTATGGCAGATATGGTATGGATCGTAAAATTTTAAGCACTAAAAATTTTTTCATAACCTTTCATAATAAAGTTTAATAATAGGTTTATTAACTGAATTTCATTAGTTTTTTAAAAGTGTTTTTGGTTTGTGTATATATACATATACAAATACAACATTTACAATAAATAAAATACTTGAAATTCTCTTTTGTGTCTCCTAGTAGCTTCCTACTCAACTATTTATAATCTCATTAATTAAAAAGTTATAATTTTAGATAAAAATTCTAGTCAAATTTTTACAGATATTATCTCACTAATTTTCAGACTTTTGCCAAAGTGTGCACAATGGCTTTTTGTTAATAAAGAACAGATTAGTTTTGAAGAAGGCAAAAATTTCAGTTTTCTGAAGACAGCATGTTATTTTAACAATCAAGTATACATATTAAAAATTGTGAGCAATCTCAAATGAAGGTCCATCGTTTCATTTTAAATCTCTAAATGAATTCATATAAGACTCAAACGTTTGTGCTGTTCACTCATGTAGCCTCAGTTTTTGCAATTGTGATGCATATCACTGAAATTTTACAGTTGGTAATGTATTAACTATGTAACTTAACACTTGGAATTAAATAGTTCTTTGGATATTTGACTAGTTAAGTTTTTAAAAAGACTATTGGATCTGAACTTCTTTTATATATTTTTTAATATGCTTTATGTTTTTTACTTACTTGGTCATGGATGCCACTTCAAAATTTGAAAATATTAAAGGACATCCTTTCTTTCTTCAAAAAGAATAAATAAGGGTAAATTATATGCAAGTTTGACATCTCTGTTTGACTCTGTATGTCAAACTGACCTTGTTCAGAGTATTGCATTCTCGCTTTCTCCTGTGTCTGTAACCATAGAGTTAAGCACAATTTGGGTTTTCTAAACTCAAATCAGATTTTATTAAATTTCATAAATGTTTACTAAAACCTACCATTTTTCAGGCACTGTATTAGGTACTGTGATATCTAAGTTCTGGATAGGATATGTTTCCCGACTTTTAGAAGTGCATCCTCTGTTATGAAGAGAGGCATACACACAAGAATAATACAAAATCAACCCTATTAAAGATACAAACCAGAAAGGTTGAGGAGTAAGAAAGAACAAAATAATACAAGAGCCAGAAATTCATTCAGAATACTTACCACTAATTGATGAGTTGAAGCATTTACTGTAATTGCTCTTCTGTTTGTTACAAAGCAAGGTGAAACTAGCTGTGGCTCAGCAGCTGCCTAAAAGCAGTGTTAGCTTAGCATTGGCTGTTCCTATTGAGATACAAGCTCAGTGTATTTTTTTGTTGCCTTGTTCCCCACCCCACCCCTCCACCTGCCCCAGATGGAGTTTTGCTCGTCACCCAGGCTGGAGGGCAATGGCACAATCTCGGCTCACTGCAACCTCCACTTCCTGGGCTCAAGCGATTCTCCTTCCTCAGCCTCCCCAAGTGCTGGGATTACAGGCGCCCACAACCATGCCCGGCTAATTTTTGTATTTTTTAGTAGAAACGGGGTTTCACCATGTTGACCAGGCTGGTTTCAAACTCCTGACCTCTGGTGATCCAACCACCTCGGCCTCCCTAAGTGCTGGGATTACAGGCGTGAGCCACCTCACCTGGCCTGTTGCCTTGTTTTTGTTCATGCTATTAATTTCAGGTGTAGATTGCCCTGTTGAAATTGCGTGCATCCATAAAAATCACATCTTCACTTTAAATGTCTTAGTTCCCCAAGTGAGATTTTTCTCTGTTCCCATGAGGCCTTTTAGTTTATGTGTTGGCCTATTATGTAGTATGAGAAATTAATCCATTCTTTGGGATTTGAAAAGAATGAAAAGCTAATGCATACAGATGGAGACCAGGTGTGAGGCTGGGAAGGAGGAGGCATTGCAGTTCCAGGGAGTAAAGCAGTGTTTAGGAAAAACCCAAAGTCAGAGCTGCTAAAACACGGGATAGGAGAAATTAAGTGGCAGGTTCCGGTCTGAGTTCAGAAAAATTACTATGCTGAGGCTAGAATTTTCTACTGGAATGTAATTACTGTAATTGTGGGCAAGAATCTCTAAATCTTTCACTACATGAAATAAGTATTTATTGCACTGAGAAGTTTCTGAACAATAGAATGACATCACATGAGTTTTAGCCAATGGCCTGCGGAGAACCAGATTGGAGGAAAAAGCCTGGTTGTGAAGTCCATTTGGGCAGCGTCAGTGGGGAAAAAAATGCAGCTGGCGCTCTTCAAAAATATGAAGAGCTGGCATTTCATATTGAAAAGCGGCTCACTTTTCCCTTCTTTGGAATGTTCACACATCTGGCTAAATAGTTTTGAAAAAATATTAGAAACAGGTTTGGCAAATATGAATATATA
Organism: Homo sapiens; assembly: GCF_000001405.40. NCBI lineage: Eukaryota > Metazoa > Chordata > Mammalia > Primates > Hominidae > Homo > Homo sapiens. The sequence goes on from NC_000008.11 coordinate 39,107,195, forward strand.
TTTAGGTGTGTATATAGATTTTAATTCAGAAAGTATTACACATTCGCTTTTGAAAGGACCTAGGAAGCCCCGAACGGTGGCAGATGCCTGTAATCCCAGCTACTCAGGAAGTTGAGGAGGGAGGATCACTTGAACCCAGGAGTTCGAGACCAGCCTGGGCAGAATAGTGAGCACCCCCGTCCCAAAAAGAAAAAAAAGCAACTGGGAAGTGTCTGGTGCAGGAGAGCACACGCTGACTGTGAATAAGTGTGTCAGTTCTTAAGGTCCAGCAACACAAAGCGAAAAGTTAGTGGAGGACTACGAGCGCGATCTCGACAGAGGGCGCTGGGTGGTCAGTGGCTCCAGCAACCACGCGGCTGGGGTGCGCCGGGAAGGGAGCTGGATGTTTTAGCCTCGGGGCGCACGCTGCGGGCCCTTCGTGTTCCGGACGCTAAACACCGAGAGCACCCCGTCTCCGGGGCCTCCGGAGAACGCTGTCCCATGAACGTGCGGGGAGCGGCCCCCGGCGTCCGCGCGTCCCCGCGTCCCTGGCAATTCCCGACTTCCCAACGGCTTCCCGCTGGCAGCCCCGAAGCCGCACCATGTTCCGCCTCTGGTTGCTGCTGGCCGGGCTCTGCGGCCTCCTGGCGTCAAGACCCGGTGAGCCAGCCCAGACCCTGACACTAGTCCGGGCGCTCGTCACACTGCGGCCCGACTCCCTGCAAAGCCCGGGGCCCTCCCTGTCTGGGTCCCTTTGGTCCTGTCACCCTGGCAACGGGGCCTTTTCCAGGGGATTAGGCGCCCCGTCCGGATGGAGAAGCGACTCAGGGCCCAGCACCAGGGCTCACGCCTGTAATCCCAGGGCTTTGAGAGACTGAGGCGAGCTGATTGTTTGACCTCGGAGTTGGAGACCAGCTTGGGCAACACAGCAAGACCCCATCTCTACAAAAAAATTTAAAAAAATGTTCCGAGGTGGTGGTGCGCACCTGTGATCCCAGCTACCCGGGAGGCTGAGGGAGGAGGACCACGTGAGTCCAGGAGGTGGAGGCTGCAGTGAGCCAAGATCGCCCCCACTGGACTCCAGCCTGGGCGACAGAGATCCTGTCTTTTTTATAAATTAAAAAAATTATTTTTGTGTGTGACCGAGTCCCTTCTGTCGCCCAGGCTGGAGTGCAGTGGGCAACAGTAGGCAACAGAGGGAGACTCCAGATCGTAGTTCTCCAGAACTATGAGGAAAATAAATTTCTGTTGTTTAAGCCATGCAGTCTACACTATTTTGTTATGGCAGTGGGAGCTGACTAATATAGTACTTAACAGCAAAATGATTGAAAAACTGTAAAAGTTCATTAGTAAGAGAACTGCTAAATAAACTGTGGTTATCTCCAAACAATGCAAATGGACCACTGTGGAGAGGGAGGAAGTAAGACATGCCATGTACTGACTCTGGCTGACAAGATTCAGAATAGTATGTAATAAGAGAAGGAAAAAAATACGGGCATATCCAAACATTTTACTTGCATGTAAGCCTCCCTGGTGATACTGTAAATTTTTGAGAACTCTTCCTACTCTTCTTCCTATCCTGCCATAATTACCTCTGCAGCATAGCAGAGGTGTGGTCAAGGCCAGGGTGTCAGCCTGGTTAGATTAGGGTGAGTGTTCTCTTCCTGGCTTGTAAACAGCTACCTTCTCCCTGCGTACTCACAGGACCTTTTCTTTGTGTACAGGGAAAGACAGGAGGAGGAAATTCTCTGATGTCTCATCTTATAAGGGCATGAATCTCATCATGAGGGTCCCACTCTATGCCTAAAACCCTGATTACCTCCCAAAGGCCATAACCAAATACTGTCACATTGGGGGTTAGGGATTCAACATAGAATTTTGTGGGATACATTCAGTTCATAACACATACAAAATTTTAATGCAGTGGTTGTCAAAGTTTTTGGGTTCAGAACTGCCTTATACATGAACAATTTTTGAGATTCTCAAAGAGCTTTTGTTTATGTGGATTTATATCGATGTTTAACATATTAGAAATTAAAATAGAAATGTAAGAATGTGTATTTCATTCATTAAAAATAAAAGTAACGGCCAGGCGTGGTGGCTCACGCCTGTAATCCCAGCACTTTGGGAGGCTGAGGCAGGTGGATCACCTGAGTGAGGTCAGGAGTTTGAAATCAGCCTGGCCAACATGGTGAAACCCCATTGCTACTAAAATACAAAAAAATTAGCTGGGCGTGGTGGTGCGTGCCTGTAATCCCAGCTACTCGGGAAGCTGAGGCAGGAGAATCGGTTGAACCCAGGAGGCAGGAGTTGCAGTGAGCTGAGATGGCACCATCGCACTCCAGCCTGGGTGACAAGAGCAAAACTCCATCTCAAAAAATAAAATAAAAAAAAAATATTAATGAACATTATTTTTTAGAGTACGTTTAGGTTCATAGCAAAATTGAGCTGAAAGAGTTCCCATATAGCCCCTGATCCCAAATATGAACAGCTTCTCCCACTATCAACATCTGGCACCATGGGATCCATTTGTTACAATTGAGCCTACACTGACACATTGTTATCATCCAAAGTCCACAGTTTGTTTGCATTAGGGTTCATTCTCCACATTGCCCATTCTATGGTTTTGACAAATGTACAATGACATGCATCCACCATTGTAGTATTATACAGAATAGTTTCACTGCCCTACAAATCCCATGTGTTCTGCTTATTTATCCCTCCCTCCCCACTGCCCCTGGCAACAACTCATCTCCTTAGTCTTCTTAGTTTTGCCTTTTCCAGAGTGTCATGTATTTGAAATCATATGTAGCCATTTTGGATGGACTTTTTTTTTACTTAATAATATGCATTTAAGGTTCTCCCATGCCTTTTCATGGCTTGATAGCTTATTTACTTACTTAATTGTTTTTTTGAGATGGTGTCTTACTCTGTCGCCCAGGCTGGAGTGCAGTGGCAGGATCTTGGCTCACTGCAAACTCCGCCTCCCGGTTCAAGCAATTTTCCTGCCTCAGCCTCCCAAATAGCTGGGATTACAGGTGCCTGCTACCATGCCCAGCTAATTTTTTTGTATTTTTAGTAGAGATGGGGTTTCACTGTGTTGACCAGGCTGGTTTCGAACTCCTGACTTCAAGTGATCCACCCACCTTGGCCTCCCAAAGTGCTAGGATTACAGGCATGAGCCGCTGCACCCGGCCGCTTTTTTATTTTTAGTGCTGAATAATATTCAATTGTCTGGATCTACCACAGTTTATTTATCCATTTACCTACCAAATGACATCTTGGTTGCTTCTAAGCTTTGGCAGTTATGAATAAAGCTGCTATAAACATCTATGTGCAGGTTTTTGTGTGGACATAAGTTTTCAACTCATTTGGGTAAATACCAAGAAATGCTATTGCTGAATCATATGATAAGAGTATATTTAGTTTTTAAAGAAACTGCCAAGCTGTCTTCCAAAGTGGCTGTACCATTTGCATTCACCCCAGCAATGAATGAGAACTTCTTTTATTAATGCTGTCATATTATAAATTATATGCATAACTACAAGTGCAAGAAATCCTGGCTGTCTTTTTTATTATAACTCAGAAGAGAGAATTTAAACTTTCAAATGAAAATGCCAGCTCCAAACTGCTGATGGTCCCATCAGCTGAGGGATCTTGCTCAGCAATTTGGGGATGGCATTTTCACATTAAGCAGTCACTCCTCATGTCCTCCTGCTTCCAGCCCCTGGCAGCCACTGATCTGCTTTGGATTTATCTGGCAGCCACTGTCCCTTTGGATTTATCTATTCTGGGTATTTCGTATAAATGGAATCATACAAAATATGACCTTTTTTGTCTGGCTTAATTCACTTGCATAATGTTTTCAAGGTTCGTCTCTGTTGTAGAATGCATTAGAACTTCATTCCTTTTTGTGACTGAATAATATTTCATTGTATATATTCACCCGTTTGTTTACTGATTCATCAGTTGATGGACATTTGATTGTTTCCAACTTTTGGCTGTTAGGAGTAATGCTGCTAGGAACCTTCATGTACCAGTTTTTGTGTGGACATATGTTTTCATTTCTCTTGGATATGTACTTACAAAGAAACTGTTAGGCTCAGTGGTATAGGTATGTCCATTTCCTCTTCTGGACTTTGTTATCCCCCAATAATGAGTTGGCTATTCTGGGTCTTTTACCTCCTCATGTAAACAGTAGAATATGTTGGTTGATATCCACAAAATAGCTTGCTTAGATTTTGATTAGGATAGTCTTGACATAGAACAAATTGGGAAGAGGCTGGGAATGGTGGCTTATGCTTGTAATCCCAGCACTTTGGGAGGCCAAGGTGGGTGGATCACTTGAGGCCAGGAGTTCAGGACCAGCCTGGCCATGGTGAAACCCCATCTCTACTAAAAAAAATACAAAAATTAGCTGATTGTGGTGGCACATGCCTGTAATCCCAGCTGAGGCAGAATTGCTTGAACCTGCGAGGTGGAGGTTGCAGTGAGCCAATATCGCACCTCTGCACTCCAGCCTGGGCAACAGAGCAAGACTCTTTCTCAAAAAAAAAAAAAAAAAAAAAAGGAAAAAAAAAAAGAACAAGTTGGGAAAAGCTGACATCCGATGGAGTGGCAGTGACTACCTACCATGTTTTGTTGAAAATGATTCTGAGGCTTTGCCTAAATTTGATGTAAAAGCTATGATACCTGCTAGATTTTTGAAGTGACATACGCATTTATGTATCAGTCTTTTCCTAAGGTGGGATAGTTGAGGCCAAATTTGGCTTTACATCAGAATAATCTCTGGATATTTATAAACATATATATTTCTGGATCAAAATCCTGGAACTTTAAAAATAATTATAAACTTGTTAATAATTTTTATTTAGTAATATGTGATTACATTCAAAATGAAGTAAAAGAGGCTACCCTATATGTTACCATCTTTCCTGATTGTCAATTTTACTATATTTTTAAAGAAAACGACTATGTTTAACAGTTTGATGGTACTCTTCTGGACTTTTCTCTAGACACTTAGATATAAATATGTGTAAATGTAGACATATACGGTCCTTTTGAAGTAAATTATAAATGACAAAAGCATATTGTATAAATTTATGTATGTCATCTATTTTTAATATATTTTGGATATTAATCATTTTATTTTTTCTATATCTTGCACAAGTTTTCTTCAATGTGTTATTGATCTTTTCACTTGTGATATCCTGATTTTTGTACTAAGTTTATCAACACTTTCTTATGGCTTCTGCATTTTGTTTTCCGTATTAAGGCTTCCCTTGGTACAATGATTAAAACAAATAGTTTCCCATACTTTCTTAAAGTTATTTTACAACTTTAGACAACGTAGCCTTTCAGTCTTTCTAATAGTTTTGTAACTTTGTACATGAAGTCTTGTAATCCACACTGTGGTGCTAGATAGGAAACTATATTTGTATTTTTCCAAATGGATAAATACTGATATTACATCATTCCCCCATTCATTTGAAATGCCACATTTAGTAGATGTTAAACTATCACCACCCCCTTGCCCCCAAAGTACACAGGTAGGTCTCACTTAGAGACCTGTCATGAGACTGAGGATACACTGAAAGGGTTTAAATAAAGAGAGTTTAGCTATGGGACTATCTATAGAGATGTGGGCATCAATAATTAACGATGAAACGCACAGACTAGTAACAGTAGAAAGCCATATCACATGTGTTGAATTGATTGTTTGCAAAGATGACAATGGCCTTAACACTTCCTCCATCCCTGTGTGTGCTTCCATTTTGCAACATTTCTTTGTCATTCCTCCCATTGAGAGGTAGAATGTATTTCTTCACTCTCTGAATCTGGTTGGCCTCATTACTTGCTCTGGCCATTTGAATGTGGTAGAAATGAGTTGTGAGACTTCCAAGTCTATGCCTCAAGAGGCTTTGCAGCTTCCTCTCTGCTCTCTTGAAGCACTGTCTTGACTGCTACATGAAGAATCCTAGACTAGGACGATAAGAGGATGTGTGAAACAGAGATGACTCAACCTAGGCCGTTCAGTCAAAAGACATGAATGGGGTCGTCTTAGTCTCTCCAGGCCTAGGCGAGCTGCCAGATGACTGCAGCCACATGAGTAACATTATGAGTGTCAGTGCAGTGGGTACTGCAGGGTGTCCTGTGTCATAACACTGAAGCAGGGCAGTGCCATCTATATCTTGAACTTGCTGCAGATTCTTCTCTTGCGCTGGGTCCAAGTCAATTTTGACAGTTTTACCAGTCACCCGATGAATGATTCAGGCTCTCACACCCCAAAACAGTATGTATTATCTCTGAATTCAAAAACTCAAAACGGCCTGCCACTCGTTGTGACTCTTTTTTTTTGTGGTGGACTATGCAAGGTGTAGCCACTAGCATCTCACTTTGTACAGGATATCTCAGCATGCTGCAACCACTGGACCCCAAGAAACTTTGGGGTTGTAACTATCCCTTAACCTCCATAGGTTCTTCTACCACATTCTGGCATGCATGTATCTTACTGAAACATCTAGGGCACTTGCTACTTCTTGCTCACTAAATATATAAGCATGATGTCTTTCACATCATGCAACTTGACCAGCATGATGTTCTAATGGGAAATCAAAACGGTCAGTGTCCCTCTGAGCTACGACAGGACAGTTGACAGCTTGAAGGGAAGGTGGTGAAAATAGTATTATTGTTCTTGTCAGATGAAGGCATTTGTCACCATTGCTGATTGGAATTGAAAATAACATTTTCCAGGTCAATAACTGCATATTAGGTATTAGGAGACGTGTTGATTTTTTTCAACAAATCAACACATTGGAATCTATATTTTTTTCACTAATCAACTATAATTTCACATGAACTAACTAATGAGACTTTAATTTCAACGAGCTAGTTCATTTCACAAAATCTATAACTTCGTTCACCATTGATGGATCCAGGTCACAATTTATCCCTTGATCTATATAAGTCCCTATTCTGATCAATGGACCATGCTGGTATTTTGAGTCCTCAGGATTAGTGTCAGTTCAGAGTCAGTAAATAATACTCCCTGAAAGTCTGGCTATTTCCCCTCCCCTGGGCATAGTCATCATGGTAAAAGGACACAGGACACTATGGAGGAGTCTGCAGGGGAAGATTCGCAGCACATTCCTGTGGTTGCATGGCAAGGTCCTTCCTAAAGAGGACTCCCTCACTCCTTAATGAAAAGGCTGCAAGCCTCTGAACTGGGTCAGGTGTAGGAACCAGGGAAGAGGCTGTGAGTCCTCGTGGTGATTGCATCAGTTTCTGCGCACCACAAGCTAGAATTTTCTTGACTAGACTGCTCATCTAGTTCATTCCTAGGGACTCTGTGATCAGTTAGATACTACCAAGGATCTCTGTAGGTGAAAGCATTTTGTTTTTCACTCTGTCCTTGTGGCTTCTTCTGGTAATTGTGCTCACCTGTCTCTGAGAGTCAATTGTCTGCCACTTCAGAATTCCCTGATTCCCAGTCAAAGCAAGGAATCATGTTTAAAAATTTTTTTCATAAGTTTTATTTTATTTTTTCTTCCAACTTTAATTTTAGGTTTGGAGGTACATGTGCAGGTTTGTTACATGGGTAAATTGCGTGTCACTGGGGTTCTATGTACAAATGATTTCATTACTCAGGTAGTGAGCACAGTATCTGAGAAGTAGTTTTTCAGTCCTCTCCCTCCTCCCATCCTCCACCTTCAAGTAAGTTCTGGTTCTATTGTGCCCCTCTTTGCATCCATGTGTACTCAATGTTTAGCCTCCGCTCATAAGTGAGAATATGTGGTATTTGGTTTTCTGTTCCTGTGTTAATTTGTTTAGGATAGTGGCCTCCAGCTGCAACCATGTGGCTGCAAAGGACGTGATTTCATTTTTTTATGGCTGTATAGTATTCCATGGTGTATATACACAACATTTTCTTTATCCAGTCCACCACTGATGGATGTCTAGGTTGATTCCATGTCTTTGCTATTGTGAAAAGTGCTGCAATGAATATACGTGTGCATGTGTCTTCATGGTAGAATGATTTATATTCCCTTGGGTATATACTCAGTAATGGGACTTCTGGGTAAAATGGGAGTTCTCTTTTAGGTTCCTTGAGAAATCACACTGCTGGGTAAAATGGGAGTTCTCTTTTAGGTTCCTTGAGAAATCACACTGCTTTCCACAGTGGTTGAACTAACTTACATTCTCCCCAGCAGTGTATAAGCATTCTCTTTCCTCTGCAACCTTGCCAACACCTATTATTTTTTGACTTTTTAATAAGTCATTCTGATTGGTGTGACATGATATGTCACTGTTGTTTTGACTTTCATTTTTCTAATGATAAGTTTTTCATATGCTTCTTGGCCACATGTATGTTTTATTTTGAGAAGTGTCCATGTCATTGGCCCATTTTTTAATGGGTTTTTTTTTTTTTGCTTGTTGAATTGTTTAAGCTCCTTATTGAGTCCAGATATTAGACCTTTGTTGGCATAGTTTGTTGATATTTTCTGCATTCTGCAGGTTGCCTATTTACTTGGTTGGTAATTTCTTTTGCTGTGCAGAAGCTCTTTAGTTTAATGAAGTCCCACTTCTCAATTTTTGTTTTTGTTGAAATTGCTTTTGGAGTCTTCATCATGAAACCTTTGCCAAGACAAAGATGTCTAGAATGGCATGTCCTGGGTTTTCTTCTAAGGCATTTATAGTTTTAAGTTGTACATTTAGGTCTTTAATCCATCTTGCATTGGTTATTGAATATGGCAAAAGGTTCAGTTGCAGTCTTCTGCATATGAGTAGCCAGTTATCCCGGCACCATTTATTGGATAGAGAGTCCTTTCTCCATTGCTTGTTATTGTTAACTGTCAAAGATCAGATGGTTATAGGTGTGTGGCTTTATTTCTGAGTTTTCTAACCTGTTCCATTGGTCTATGTGTTTGTTTTTGTACCAGTACCATGCTGTTTTGGTTACTGTAGCCTTGTAGTATAGTTTGAAGACAGGTAGTGTGAGACCTCTTGCTTTCTTCTTTTTGCTTAGGATTGCTTTGGCTCTTTGGGCTCTTTTATGGTTCCATATGAATTTTAGAATAGTTTTTTCTAATTCTGTGAAAAACTGACATTGGTGGTTTGATAGAAGTAGCACTGAATCTGTAAATTGCTTTGAGCAGTATGGGCCTTTTAACAACGTTGATTCTTCCTATCCATGAGTATGGAATGTTTTTTCATTTGTTTATGTCATCTCTGATTTCTTTGAGCAGTGTTTTGTAGTTCTCCTTGTAGAGATCTTTCACCTCCATGGTTAGCTGTATTCCTAGGTATTTTGTTCTTTTTGTGGCTATTCTGGATGGGATCCTGTTCTTATTTTGGCTCTTGGCTTGGCTGTTGCTGGTGTATAGAAATGCTAGTGATTTTTGTACATTGATTTTGTATCCTGAAACTTTACTGAAGTTGCTTATCAGATCTAGGAGCCTTTGGGCAGAAACTATAGGGTTTTCTAGGTGTAGAATCATATCGTCTGTGAAGAGAGAGAGTTTGACTTCCTCTCTTCCTATTCGGATGCCTTTTATTTCTTTCTCTTGCCTGATTGCTCTGGCTAGGACTTCTAGCGCTATGTTGAATGGGAGTGGTGAGAGTGGGCATCCTTGTCTTGTTCCAGTTCTTAGAGAAAAGGCTTTCAACTTTTCCCCATTCAGTATGATGTTAGTTGTGGCATTTAATGATTATGGTTACTTTTTTTTTTTGAGACAGAGTCTTTCTCTGTTGCCCAGGCTGTAGTGCAGTGGTGTGATCTTGGCTCACTGTAATCTCTGCCTCCTGGGTTCAAGCGATTCTCCTGCCTCAGCCTCCGGAGTAGCTGGGACTACATGCACATGCCACCATGCCCGGCCAATGTTTGTATTTTCAGTAGAGACGGGGTTTCACTATGTTGGCCAGGCTGATCTGGAACTCCTGACCTTGTGATCCACCTGCCTTGGCCTCCCAAAGTGCTGGGATTACAGGCATGAGCCACCATGCCCGGCCCTGTTAAGCAGATTTAAGGAAATCAGTATGCTTATGTGATCTTCCTCTTCTTCTGCTACAGTTCCTGAAGTTGTATATATTATGTTTATGTAACCAGAGCTTTTAACATTTGCATCTGTTATGTAACTGTGATTCCCACAGTTGTTTTAGCCTTTAGTCTATATTTAAGATTTTTTTTTCTCACTGTTAGGCATTTTACCACAACTCTGCTGATATTTTTATTGGGAGAAATGTCTCTGACTTTTGTGGTAGACACATGTGAACTTTTTTTTTTTGAGTTTTGCTTGTAAATATCTATCTTCTGACTTTATATTTAATGGCCTTTTTGCTGGGTATACATTTATAGGGTCTTCACTGTCTTTTCTTAAAGTTCTTTTTTAGACATTGTTCTTTAGTCTTTTAACATTAAATACTGTGGTAAAAATTCTCAAGCCAGCCTGCTTATCTCCCCTTATACATAACATGATTTTCTTTTTTTTTCTTTCTATCATATTTTCAAGGAATTCTTTATCTTGGAAACCCAACAATTTCAGTAGAATATGTTTTAGTTTAAAGTAATGATTAGTTATTCCTGAAATACAGTATACTTTCTAGTCTATTGTTTTGAATCTTTTATTTCAGGAAAAAGTTTTTGAAGTATGTCTTTGATTTTTTTGGTGTGTATTTTCTATTTTCTTCAGAACCACACATTTTGTGCGAGCTGCATACCTCTTCCCTTCTCCTTTTTTGTTCTTTCATAAGTATCTTGTCTGTTTTTCAAATTAAGTGTTTTCAAGCTTTTTATAGAAGTACACAGTGATGAGCCACCCATACCTGCACAAGTAAACTTTATGAAAGAAACTGAACAGATATTTAATCAAATTAAGGCAAGGTTACTAACTTTTTTTTTTTTTTATCTCTTCAGGTTTTCAAAATTCACTTCTACAGATCGTAATTCCAGAGAAAATCCAAACAAATACAAATGACAGTTCAGAAATAGAATATGTAAGAGATATTTTTTCACAATCTAAATGTTTATATGAAATTTCATATTTTTATTATATAGCTATGAAATATGTCAAGCCCATTTTAATATGAATATAATGTCTCTTGTATTTCTACTGATAGGAATTAAAAGCTTTGATGGTAAAAGCAAATAGGTAAATTAGAATGTTCTGTATTTTTTTAATGTTTGTCATTTTCTTATGGTAAATTATTTTTAAAAGTTTACATATAGAAGAGAATGTAGAATTAAGTGTTTTATCTGAGTGATATCTAGGACATCAGCACAAAGAGAATAATTTTCTCCAAAATGTCTAAGACAATTTCTTTTAACTAAAGCCTGTTTCTCAATCTCCACCCCTACACCTAGCAATTCTCAGACGAGAAGAAACATTTCATTCTACTATTTTTATTAGAAAGGGAAATACTTTATTTTGTTCATTGATTTATTTAGCAACTATTTCTCTAGACTTGCCATGTGCATACCTATATGCCAGGTGTCTTAGGAGATTTAAAAAAAAGAAATATAATTAAGCAAGCTTTGCTTATAAGTGACCAATCTTTTGGTAACATTCTATTTTTAGCAGTTTTGTTGAGGTGCAATTTACAACACCATAGAGTTCACCCATTTTAAGGGTACAACTCAACAATTATTACAGCAGTACATAAATAGAATTGTGCAAACATTACCACAGTCCAGTTGTAGAATGTTGCTATCAATCCTAAAAAGATCCCTTATGCACATTTGTAGTTCTTCTCCAGCCCTTGGCAACCGCTGATCTGTTGTCTATCTCTATGTATTTGCCTCTTTAGGGGCATTTTATATAAATGGCAGCATGCAATATGTAAGCTTTTGTATTAGACTTTTTTCACTTAGGATTATCCATTTTGTAGCATTTATCAGGTTATTAATTTTTATATCTTATATGTGGATATACCACATTTTGCTTATCCATTCTCATTCTCCAGTTGATGGACTTTGGATTGTTTTCTGATATTGAGTATTATGAATAATTCTTTTATGAACATTCATGTATGGACATATATTTTCCCTTGGGTAGATTCTTAGGAGTGAAATTGCTGGGCACATGATAAGTTTGTGTTTAACATTTTTAGAAACTGCTACACTGTTTTCCATAGTGACTGTACCAATTTACATGTCACATCAGCAATTTTTGAGTGTTCCAGTTTTTTCACATACTTGTGAACATTTGATGTTTTCTGTCTTTCAGATTAAAGCTATTGTAGTGGGAGTGTAGTGGTATGTAATTGTGGCTTCAATTTGCATTTCTTTAATGAATAATTATGCTGAGTATTTTTCATGAGCCTAATAGCCATTTATATGCCTTTTCTGTGGAATGTCTACTCAAATTATTCTCCTGTTTTAAAATTTAGTTGTTTATTTATTTTTGAGTTCTATGAATTCATTATATATTCTGGACACAACTTCTCTATTTGGAATTATTTTCTCCCAATTTCTGGCTTGCTTTTTCATTTTTCTCAGTGGTGTTTTCTCAAACACAAACATTTTCAATTTTGATGACATTCAGTTTATCAAATTTTCTTTTTATGGATCTTGTTTTTGGTTTTGTATCTAAGAACTCTGTTATGGACTGAACTGTGGCCCCTCAAAATTCATATGTTGAATCCCTAACCCCTAATGTGACTATATTTGGAGATAGGGCCTTATGGAGGTAATTAAGGTTACATGAGGTCAAGGGCCTTATGGAGGTAATTAAGGTTATATGCTGTCACAAGGGTAGGGCTTTAATTAATCTAATAGGACTGATGTACTTATAAGAAGAGGAAATATACTAGGGGTTCATGCATACAAACTGAAGGTCATGAAAGGATACAACAAGAAGGCAGCTGTCTGCAAGCCAAGAGGAGAGGCCTCACCAGAAATCAGCCCTGTTGGCACCTTGATCTTGGACTTCCAGCCTCCAGAACTGTGAGAAAATACATTTTTGTTGGTTAAGCCACCTTGTCTGTGGCATTTTGTTTGGGTAGCTTGAGCAGAGTAATCCGATTTTGGTATTGTGAAGTGGGGTGCTGCTGTAACAAATACCTAAAAATGTTGAAGTGGATTTGGAACTGAGTGAAGGGTAGAGGCTAGAAGACTGGTGAAGTACATGCTAAGAAGAAGCCTAGATTGCCTTGAAGGGACTGTTGGTAGAAATATGGATGCTAAAGGTAATTCTAATGAAGGATCAGAAAGAAAAGACTTATAGAGAAAGCTTTTATCGTCTTAGGGAATATACATATCATTATGAACAGAATAGAACTGGTAGAAATATGAACATTAAAGGTGTTCCTGGGCCGGGCACGGTGGCTCACACCTGTAATCCTAGCACTTTGGGAGGCTGACGTGGGCAGATTACCTGAGGTCAGGAGTTCAAGACCAACCTGGGTAACATGGTGAAACCCTGTCTCTACTAAAAATACAAAAATTAGCTGGACGTGGTGGCAGGCACCTGTAGTCCCAGCTACTCGGGAGACTGAGGCAGGAGAATTGCTTGAACCCAGGAGGCAGAGGTTGCAGTGAGCCGAGATTGGGCCACTGCACATTAGCCTGGGTGACAGAGCAAGACTCCGTCTCAAAAAAAAAAAAAAAAAAAGTGTTTCTAGTGAGGTCACAGATAGAAATGAGAAATGTTATTGGAGACTGGAGGAAAGGAGATCCTTGTTAAAAAGTGGCAAAGAACTTGGCTGAATTGTGTTCTAGTCTTTTGTAGAAGGTAGAAATTGTGGGGGAAAACCTTGGGTATTTAGCTGGGGAGATTTCTAAGCAAAATGCTGAAGATGTGGCTTGTTTTGTCATCACTGCTTATAGAAAATGCAAAATGCAAGAGAAGAGAGGTAAATGGAAGGAATTATTTAGCAAAAAGGAACAAGAACTTGAAGATTTGAGAAATTTTCAGCCTACTTTGTATTTTTTAAAATGAGAAATGATGTTTTAGAAAGAACACCAAAGGTGTAGCTGGACAATCAGACAATAAAAAGATTCCTCATGATTTAATCCGCCATGTCAAGTGAAGCCAGGATCAGAGACGGGATTACATCAGCAGAAACACTGCCAGCTGGAACTAAAGGGAACAGAGAAAATTGGATAGAATGAAGGAAGGCTGTTTAACTTCTGGGATTCTACAGGATAGGACGATAGAGTTGTCTGGCTTCAAACATGCATCATTCTTCACAAACACCGCATGTTCTCACTCATAAGTAGGAGTCGAGCAATGAGAACACATGGACACAGGGAGGGGAACATCACACACTGGGGCCAGTCGGGGGGTGGAGGGCTAGGGGAGGGAGAGCATTAGGAGAAATATCTAATGTAGATGACGGGTTGATGGGTGCAGCAAACCACCATGGCACGTGCATACCTATGTAACAAACCTGCATGTTCTGCACATGTACTCCAGAACTTGAAGTATAATAAAAAAAGAAAAAGAGAAGAATGACCCTGAAAGCAATTCAGAGATCATCAGGGCTGCCACTCCTGCTACAGGCCCAGGAGGCAAGGCTGCATTCTCTTTGGTTTCAGAGAGTGGGGCCACCTCCTTGGTTTCAGTAGTCTAGGATGTCACTGTTTATTACCCCAGGAACAAGGCTGTCACCCAGAGCTGTGGGGGCAGAGCCGCTTTACAGAGCTGAGGGGATGGGGCCAGTCCCTAGGGCCATGGGAGAGTTGCTGTCCAAGTGGGCCCAGCAGGGTAGAGCATCCTGTCAAAGAAGAGTATTCTTGAACCTTAAGATCTAACGGAATTTGTCTTGCTAGGTTTTGGACTTTGTTGGGATTGTCACCCCTTTCTTTTTTTCTGGTTTCTCCTTGTTGGCATGGGAATAGCTATTCTATGCCTGTTCTACTATTGTATTTTGGAAGCACATAACTTGTCTGGTTTCACAGGTTCACAACTGGAGAGGAATTTTGCCTCAGGATGAGTCATAACTTGTATCTCAACCATACCTGATTTAAGTGACATTTAGATGAAATTTTGAACTTGGAATTGATGCTAGAATGAGTTAAGGCTTTGGGGCTTTTCCATGCAAGAAGGAAATGAATTTGGGGGGCGCACCATAGGGAAGAATGTTATGAATTGAATTGTGTCCCCCGCCAAATCCATATGTTGAAAACCAAACTCCCAGTATGGAGATAGGACCTTTAAGGAGATAGAGTTAAATGTGATCATAGAGGTGTGACCTTAATCTGATTGGACTGGTGTCCTTATAAGAAGAGGAAGAGATACAAGAGGTCCTTGTCTGTCTCCATGCATACACAGAAAAAAGGCCATGTGAGAACATAGTGAGAAAAGAGCTACCTACACGCCGTAAAGAGAGGCCTCACCAGAAACCAACCTGCTAGCATATTTATCTTGGATTTCTAACATCCAGAACTGTGAGAAAATAACATTTCTGTTTTTGTTTTTGTTTTGAGACAGAGTCTTCCTCTGTTGTCTAGGCTGGAGTGCAGTGGTGCTATCTTGGCTCACTGCAACCTCTGACTCCCAGGTTCAAGCAATTCTCATGCATCAGCCTCCCAAGTAGCTGGAATTACAGGCATGTGCCACCACGCTTGGCTATTTTTTGGTAGAGATGGGGTTTTGCCATGTTGGCCAGGCTAGTCTTGAACTCCTGACCTCAAGTGGTCTGCCTACCTTGGCCTCCCAAAGTGTTGGGATTACAGGCATGAGCCACCACACCTGGTCCTAAAATTTCTGTTGTTAATGTCACCATGCCTGTAATATTTTATTATGGCAGCCTAAGCAGACTAATGTAAGGTCTTTACCTAACCCAAGCTCACAAAGATTTTCTTCTGTGTTTTCTACTAGCTCATAGTCTATGAGCCAATTTGAGTAAACTTTTGTATATGGTGTGAGGTCAGGATATAAGTTCAGTTTTTTTTGCCTGTGGATCCAACTTTCCCAGCACTGTTTGTAGAAAAGACTATACTTTCCCCACTGAATTGTTTTGATACCTTTGTAGATCAAGTAAATAAAAATGTAAAGGTTTATTTCTGGACTTTCATGTCTTTGCCATTTATCTAGCTGGCTTTCTTTGCACCAAGATCTCATTGCTTTGATTATTGTGCATTTTAGGGCAAGATTTGGAATTGGGTAGTGTAAATCCTTCATTATTCATCTTTTCCAAAATTGCTTTGACTATTCTAAGTCCTTTTTATTTCCATATATATTTTTAGAACAACTAAAAATACCTCTATGATCACATTTAACTCTATCTCCTTAAAGGTCCTGTCTCCACACTGGGGGTTTGGTTTTCAACATATGGATTTGGTCGGGGGGCACAATTCAATCCATAACATTCTTCCTTGTGGTTCCCTCCAAATTCATTTCCCATATTGCATGCTCATTTTTACAAGAAAAACTGCTTGGATTTTGATAGAGATTACATTTAATATGTATCGATTAATTTGGGAGAATTGCTCTTTTTACAATATTGAGTGCTCTGATCTATGAACATGTATGATACTTTCATTTATTTAGAGCTTTAATTTCTGTCATTAAAGTTTGGTAATTTTCTTTCCTTTTTTTTTTTTTTTTGTTTGAGTTGGAGTCTCACTCTGTCTCCCAGGCTAGAGTGCAGTGGCGCGATCTTGGCTCACTGCAACCTCTGCCTCCTGCGTTCAAGTGATTCTCCTACCTCAGCCTCCCAGGTAGCTGGGATTACAGGCACACGCCATGACACCCAGCTAATTTTTGTATTTTTAGTAGAGACGGGGTTTCGCCATGTTGGCCAGGCTGGTCTTGATGTCCTGACCTCAGGTGATCCACCTCCGTCAGCCTCTCAAAGTGCTGGGATTACAGGCATGAGCCACTGTGCCTGGCCTTCTTTTTTTTTTTTTCTTTAACATTTATTTTAAGTTCAGGGGTGCATGTACAGGTTGTGCAGGTTTGTTATATAGGTAAATGTGTGCCATGGTGGGTTGCTGCACATATCATCCCATCACCTAGGTATAAGCTCAGCATCCGTTAGCTATACTTCCTAATGCTCTCCCTCCCCCAGCTCTCTGACAGGGCCCATTGTGTGTTTTTCCCCACTATGCGTCCATATGTTCTCATCATTCAGCTCCCACTTATAAGTGAGAATGGGCAGTGTTTGGTTTTCTGTTCCTGCATTAGTTTGCTGAGGATAATGGATTCCAACTCTATCCATGTCTCTGCAAAGGACATGATCTTGTTCCTTTTTATGACTGCATAGTATTCCATGGTATAGATTTACCACATTTTCTTTTTCTTTTTTTTTTTTTTTATTTTTGAGACGGAGTCTTGCTCTGTCGACCAGGCTGGAGTGCAGTGATGTGATCTCTGCTCACTGCAAGCTCCACCTCCCGGGTTCATGCCATTCTCCTGCCTCAGCCTCCCGAGTAGCTGGGACTACAGGCACCTGCCATCATGCCCAGCTAATTTTTGTATTTTTAGTAAAGACGGGGTTTCACCGTGTTAGCCAGGATGGTCTTGATCTCCTGACCTTGTGATCCACCGCCTTGGCCTCCCAAAGTGCTGAGATTACAGGCATAAGCCACCGCGCCCAGCCAATATACTACATTTTCTTTATCCAGTCTATTGTTGATGGGCATTTGGGTTGCTTCCATGTCTTTGCTATTGTGAATACTGCTGCAATAAACATACATGTGTATGTATCTTTACAATGGAATAGTTTATATTCCTTTGGTTATATACCCAGTAAAGGGATTGCTAGGTCAAATGGTATTTCTGCCTCTAGGTCTTTGAGGAATTGCCACACTGTCTTCCACAATGGTTGAACTAATTTACATTCCCCCCAACAGTGTAAAAGTGTTCTTTTTTCTCTGCAACATTGCCAGTATCTGTTGTTTTATGACTTTTTAATAATCACCATTCTAACTAGTGTAAGATAGTATCTGATTGTGGTTTTGATTTGCGTATCTCAAATGAGCAATGATGTTGAGTTTTTTTCATATGTTTGTTGGCCACATGTATGTCTTCTTTTTGCAAGAGTCTGTTCACATCCTTCGCCCAATTTTTAATGGAGTTTTTTGTTTTTTTCTTATAAATTTGCTTACGTTCCTTGTAAACTCTGGATATTTGTTGTTTGTCAGATCTTAAGATCTAACGGAATTTGTCTTGCTAGGTTTTGGACTTTGTTGGGATTGTCACTCCTTTCTTTTTTTCTGGTTTCTCCTTGTTGGCATGGGAATAGCTATTCTATGCCTGTCCTACTATTGTGTTTTGGAAGCACGTAACTTGTCTGGTTTCACAGGTTCACAACTGGAGAGGAATTTTGCCTCAGGATGAATCATAACTTGAATCTCAACCGTACCTGATTTAAGTGATATTTAGATGGAATTTCGAACTTGGAATTGATGCTAGAATGAGTTCTTCATCCTAGGGGTACTCGATTCTTCATCTGGTAATTTTTAGTGTACAGTGAGTAGATTGCAAAAATTTCTCCCATTCTGTAGGTTGTCTGTTCACTCTGATCATACTTTCTTTTGCCCCACAGAAGCTTTTTAGTTTAATTAGATCCCATTTGTTAATTTTTGTTGCAATTGCTTTTGGTGTTTTCATCATGAAATCTTTATCCATACCTTTGTCCTGAATTGCCTAGATTTTCTTACAGATTTTCTTACTTTGGGTTTTACATTTAAGTCTTTAATCCATCTTGAATTACTTTTTGTATAGGGTATAAGGAAGGAGTCCAGTTTAAATTTTTTGCATATGGTTTGCCAGTTCTCTTAGCACCACTTATTAAATAGGAAATCCTTTCCCCATTGCTTGTGTTTGTCAGGTTTGTCAGAGATCAGATGGTTGTAGGCATGCGGTCTTATTTCTGAGTTCTCTATTCTGTTCCGTTGGTCAATGTGTCTGTTCTTGTACCAGTAACATGCTGTTTTGGTTACTGTAGCCTTGTAGTAGTTTGAGGTCATGTAGCATGATGCCTTCAGCTTCGTTCTTCTTGCTCGAGTTCGGGTCTTGGCTATTTGGGCTCTTTGGGCTCTTTTTTGGTTCCATATGAATCTTAAAATAGTTTTTCTAATTCTATGAAGAATGTCAATGGTAGTGTAATGGAAATAACATGGAATCTATAAATTATTTTTGGTAGGCCATAAATTACCATTTTCATGATATTGATTCTTCCTATCCATGAGCATGGAATGTTTTTCCAGTTGTTTGTGTCCTCTCTGATTTCTTTGAGGAGTGGTTTGTAGTTCTCCTTGAAGAGGTCCTTCACTTCCCTCGTTAGCTGCATTCCTAGGTATTTTATTCTTTCTGTAGCAGTTGTGAATGGGAGTTAATTGATGACTTGGTTCTCTGCTTGCCTATTGTTGGTGTATAGGAATGCTAGTGATTTTTGCACATTGATTTTGTATCCTGATACTTTGCTGAAGTTGCTTATTAGCCTAAGAAGCTTTTGGGCTGAGAGGATGGGGTTTTCTAGATATAGGATCATGTCATCTTAAGGACAGTTTGACTTCCTTTCTTCCTATTTGAACATCCTTTATTTGTTTCTCTTGCCTGATTGCCCTGGCTGGAACTTCCAGTACTGTATTGAATAGGAGTGAGACAGTGCATCCTTGTCTTGTGTCAGTTTGCAAGGGAAAAGCTTCCAGCTTTTGCCCATTTAGTATGATACTGACTGTGGGTTTGTCATATATGGCTCTTATTATTTTGAGGTATGTTCTTTCAATACCTAGTTTACTGAGGGTTTTTAACATGAAGCAATATTGAATTTTATCAAAGGCCTTTTCTGCATCTATTGAGATAATCATGTGGTTTTTGTCTTTAGTTCTGTGTATGTGATGAATCACACTTGTTGATTTGCATATGTTGAACCAACCTTGCATCCTGGGGATGAAGCCTACTTGATCATGGTGGATAAGCTTTTGGATATGCAGGTGGATTCAGTTTGCCAGTATTTTATTCAGGATTTTTGCACTGATTTTCATCAGGGATATTGGCCTGAAGTTTTCTTTTTTTGTTGTATCTCTGTCAGGTTTTGGTATCAGGATGATACTGGCCTCATAAAATGAGTTAGGGAGGAGTCCCTTTCTTTTCAACTGTATAGATAGTTTCAGTAGAAATGGTACCAGCTTTTCTTTGTCTTCTTTTTACCTCTGGTAGAATTCAGCTTTGATTCCATCTGGTCCTGGGATTTTCTTCGTTGGTAGGCTATTTATTTCTGCCTCACTTTCAGAACTTGTTATTGGTCTATTCAGGGATTTAGTTTCTTCCTGGTTCAGTCTTGGGAGGGTGTATGTGGCCAGGAGTTTTTCCATTTCTTCTAGATTTTCTAGTTTATGTGCATAGAGGTGTTTATAGTATTCTCTGATGATTGTTTGTATTTCTGTGGGGTCAATGGTGATATCCCCTGTATCATGTCTGATTGTGTTTGAATCTTCTCTCTTTTTCTTCTTTATTAGTCAAGCTAGTAGTCTATCTATATTATTATTTTTTTCCCCAAAAACCAGCTCCTGGATTTATTGATTTTTTGAAGGATTTTTCATATCTCTATCTCCTTCAGTTCTGCCCTGATTTTGGTTATTTCTTGTCTTCTTCTAGCTTTGGGGTTTGTTTGCTCTTAGTTCTCTAGTTCTTTTTGTTGTGATGTTAGGTTGTTAACTTGAGATCTTTCTAGCTTTTTGATGTGGGCATTTAGTGCTATAAATCTCCCTCTTAAAATTGTTTTAGCTGCATTCCAGAGATTCTGGTATGCTGTCTCTTTTTTCTCATTAGTTTCAAATAACTTCTTGATTTCTGCTTTGATTTGATTATTTTCACAACAGTTATTCAGGAACAGGTTGTTCAATGTCCATGTACTTGTGTGGTTTTGACTGAATTTCTTATTCTTGAGATTTCTGTAGATATCTATCAGGTCTGCTTGATCCAGAGCTGAGTTCAGGTCCCATATATCTTTGTTAATTTTCTGTTTCGATGATCTGTCTAATATTGACAGTGTGCTGTTAAAGTCTCCCACTGTTATTTTGTGGGAGTCTAAGGCTCTTTGTAGGTCTCTAAGATCTTGCTTTATTAATCTGGTTGTGCCTGTATTGGGTGCATATATGTTTAGGATAATTAGCTCTTCTTGTTGAATTGAACCCTTTAGCATTATGTAATGCCCTTCTTTGTCATTTTTTATCTTTGTTGGTTTATAGTCTGTTTTGTCAGAAACTAGGTTTGTAACCTCTGCTCTTTTCTGTTTTCTATTTGCTTGGTAAATTTTCCTCCATCCCTTCATTTTGAGCCTATGTGTCTTTGCACTTGAGATAGTCTCTTAAAGACAGCATACTGATGGGTCTTGGCTCTTTATCCAGCTTGCCAGTCTGTGTCTTTTAATTGGGACATTTAGCCCATTAACATTTAATGTTAGTATTGTTATGTGTGAATTTGATCCTGTCATCATGATGCTAGCTGGTTATTTTACAGACTTGTTTATGCAGTTGCTTCATAGTGTCACTGGTCTGTGTACTTCAGTGTTTTTGTAGTGGCTGGTAACAGGTTTTTGTTTCCATATTTAGTGCTTCCTTCAGGCATTATTCCAAGATAGGCCTGGTGGTGATGATTTCCCTCAGCATTTGCTTGTCTGGAAAGAATCGTATTTCTCCTTCAGTTATGCAGCTTAGTTTGGCCTGATATGAAATTCTATGTTGGAAATTCTTTTCTATAAGAATGTTGAATATTGGCCTCCAATATCCCTTGACTGGGAATGCTCAGTTCTTCATTCTGGGGATACTTGGTTCTTCATCTGGTAATTTTTAATGCACAGGAGGACCTTCACTTGTTTTGGTAAATTTATCATCAAGTATTTTATTATTTTTCATGCTATTGTGAACTGAAATGCTCCTTTAATTTGATTTTTCAGATTGTTTCTAGTATATGGAAATACACATACACATTGATTTTTGTTTATTAATCATGTGTCTTGCCACCTTACCTAATTTGTTCATTGGTTCTCGTTTTTTTTTGTCTTTTTTTTTTTTTTGTGGATTCTTTGGGAGTTTCTACAAACAGGATCATGCCACTGCAAATACAGCATTATCCTGTTTTATGCCTTATTTTCCTTTTCTTTCTAGATGTCTTTAGTTTGTTGAATGGAAATGGTAAGAGGGGGCATTTCTGCTTTGTTTCTATCTTGGGAGAAAGTACTCAGTCTTTTAACACTGAATTTCTTGTTAACTAGTGAGGTTTTTGTAAAGGCCTTTATCATGTTCAGGAGGTTCCCTTCTATTCCAAATTTGTCAAATTTTATTGTAAACGTTTATTGGGGTTTTTCAAATGCTTTTTCTACATTTATTGTAATGATCATGTGTTTTTCTTCCTTTAGTTTATTGATGTGGTGTACCATATGAATTAATTTTTGGATGTTAAACCATTCTTGCATTTCTGTGATAAATGGTGTATAATTCTTTTTATATGTCACTGGAATTTGTCTGCTAATATTTCAAGAGGGCTATTGGTCTATAGTTTGTTTTTTGTAATGTCTAGATTTAATTGTTGTATAATTGTATAACCACCATAATTCTGACCTCATAGACTATATTTAGAAATGTTTCTTCTCTATATTTTGAAAGAATTGTGAAGGATTAATATTATTTCCTTAAACATTTGATAGCATTCATCATTGAATTCATCTGCACCTTGGCCTTTCTTTTTGGGAAGATTTATAATTATGAGTGTAATCTTTGTTATAGGTCTATTTGGATTTTATTCAGTTTTGGTAACTTGTTTCTTTTTAGAAATTTATTAATTTTATCTAAGTTATCCAATATGTTGGCATAAAATTGTACATCACATTTCCTTTTTTTTTTTTTTTTCAAGACAATGTCTCACTCTGTCACCCAGGTTGGAGTGCAGTGGCACAGTCTTGGCTCACTGCAACCTCAGCCTCCCAGGTTCAAGTGATTCTCCTGCCTCATCCTCCCAAGTAACTGGGATTACAGGTGCCTGCTACCATGCTCACCTAATTTTTGTATTTTTAGTAGAGATGGGGTTTCACCATGTTGCCCCAGCTGGTCTTGAACTCCTGACGTCAAGTGATCTGCCTGCCTACATTTTCTTATAATACTTTAAATTTCTAAGGGACAGTAGAGAAGTACCTTTTTATTTCTTATTTTGGTAATTTCTTATTTTTCTTCGTCAGTCTAGTTAAAGGTTTGTCCATTTTGTTGATCTTTTCAAAGAATAATCTTGTTTCATTGATTTTCTTTGTTTTTTTGTTTTCATTTCATTTATTTATGGTTTAATTTTTTTTGTTATTTCTGCTTGCTTTTGGTTAGTTTGTTATCATTGTTTAAATGTCTTAAGATGGAAATTTAAGTTACTGATTTGATACCTTCCTCTTCTCTTCTTTTCTTTTCTTTCTACATAGGTACCTAAAGCCACACATTTCTCTACAAGCATTGCTTTAGCTGGATTCCATAAATTATGCTATGGTGTGTTTTTGTTTTCATTCAGTTAAAATATTTTCTAGTTGTCTTTGCAATTTTTTTGATTCATGGGTTATTTAGAAGTGTGTTTTTAAATTTTCAAATTTTTGAGGATTTCCTAGGTTTTGTCTCTTGTTGATTCTAATTTAATTCAATTGAAGCAAAAAATGTACTTTTGTGACTTCAGTTTTATTTTCTGAGACTTTTTGTGGCCTAGAATATGGTCAATCATGAAGAATATTAATTATGCACTTGAAAAGAATATGAATTCTGCAGTTGTTGGGTTAGTAGTCAGTTAGCTTGTGTTGGCTAATAGTTTCATTTATCATGCCTATAATCCCGGCATTTTGGGAGACTGAGGCAGGAGGATGTCTTTTTTTTTTTTTTTTTTGAGACAGAGTCTTGCTCTGTTGCCCAGGCTGGAGTGCAGTGGCGTGATCTCGGCTCACTGCAAGCTCCACCTCCCGGGTTCACACCATTCTCCTGCCTCAGCCTCCCAAGTAGCTGGGACTACAGGCGCCCGCCACCACGCCCAGCTAATTTTTTGTATTTTTAGTAGAGAGGGGATTTCACCGTGTTAGCCAGGATGGTCTCGATCTCCTGACCTCGTGATCTGCCCGCCTCGGCCTCCTAAAGTGCTGGGATTACAGGCGTGAGCCACCGTGCCTGGCCAGGAGGATCTCTTGAGGCCAGGAGTTTGAGACCAGCCTGGGCAACATAGTGAGATCTCATCTCTCCAAAAAATAAAACATAAAAAAATAGCCAGCCATGGTGGCACATGCCTGTAGTCTCAGCTACCTGGGAGGCTGAGGTGGGAGTATCACTTGAGTCCAGAAGGTAGAGCCTGCAGTGAGCTGAGATTGTGCCACAGCACTCCAGTCTGGGTGACAGAATGAGACTGTCAGTAGTTTCATTCAAAGATTTTTTTGTGCTTGTTGATTTTTTGTCTAGTTGTTCTCTCCATTATTGTGAGTGGAGTACTTAAGTTTCCAAATAGGATTATTGAATTGTCTATTTCTCCTTTCAGTTCTGTCAGTTGTTCTTTCATGTATTTTGAGGCTTGGTATTTAATGTGTGTGCACTTACAATTTTTATGTCTTTGGGATGCAGTGATGATTTTACTGTTGTGAAACGTCCTTCTTTCTTTCTGATAATATTTCTTGTCTTTAAGCCTATATTGTCTGATATTAGTATAACTTCTCTTTATGGTTACTATTTACAATATATATATTTCCATTATTTTATTTTCAACCTATTTGTGTATTGAATCTAAGGTGTTTCCCTTGTAGACATCATGTAATTGGAGGGTTTTTGTTTTTTATTTTTTGAGATGGAGTTTCGCTCTTGTCGCTCAGGCTGGAGTGTAGTGGCACGATCTCGGCTCACCTCAATCTCCGTCTCCCGGGTTCAAACGATTTTCCTGCCTCAGCATCCTGAGTAGTTGGGATTACAGGCATGCACCACCACGCCTGGCTAATTTTGTATTTTTAGTAGAGACAGGGTTTCTGCATGTTGGTCAGGCTGATCTCGAACTCCCGACCTCAGGTGATCCGCCCACCTTGGCCTCCCAAAGTGCTGGGATTACAGGCATGCGCCACTGCGCCTGGCCCAATCGGAGGTTATTTTTGAGATAGATAGATTGTACCAATCTATTTCTGCTTTTTGGTTTGGATTTCTAGATCATTTGCATCAAATATAGGTATTTATATGGTTGAATTTATACTCAATATTTTGCTATTTTTACTACTTATTTTCTTTGTGGTGATCCAGGTATTATAATATATCTTAACTATCATGATTTACTTTAGATTAATACTTATTTCTGGTAAAATATAGCAACTTTGCTCCAATATAATGGAATTCTTTCTTCTCTGTACTGTTCTTGTCACATTATTACATCCATATTTTTTAAACCCAACTATATATCATCATAATTATTGCTTTTTCACAATGCTATATCTTTTAAAGACATTGAAAAGAGAAATTAGAAAAACTATTAAAGTCTTTTTATGTTAACTCACACATTTACCATTTCTGCTTTTTGAGTTACCATCTGGTGTTATTTCCTATTAGCCTAAATAAATTTCTTCAGTATTTCTTGTAAGACAGGACTTTATTTCACCATTTTAAAAGCAGATTTTGCTGGATATAAAATTGTTAGTTGACAGATTTTTTTTTTTCTTTCAGCACTTTTTATGTCTTCACTGCCTTCTGGCCTACATTATTTCAAATGAACAATCTGCCACTAATTGTATTAATGCAGCTTCCTTGTATGTGATGAGTTTTTTTCTTGATATTTTCAAGATTTTCTCCTTATGTTTGACTTTCAACATATTAAATATGATGTATCTTGGTGTGTATCTTCTTGTATTTTTTTCTTCTTGAGGTTGGCTGGAATTTTAGATGTGTAGACTACTGTTTTCCTTCAAATTTTGAATGGTTTTGGCCATTATTTGTTCAAATACTTTTTTTCGGACCATGCTATTGTTGGGATGTTTGTTCTCCCAAACCTCATGTTGCAATTTGACCTCAGTGTTGGAAGTGGGGCCTCATGGGAGGTGTTTGGGTCATGATGTCCCTCATGAATGGCTTGGTGCCATCCTTATGGTAATTAGTGAATTCTTGATCTGTTAGTTGAGACCTGGCACCTCTCCCTCTCTCTTTCTTCCTCTCTCACCATGTGATCTGCTCCCCTTTACCTTCCACCATGGATGGAAGCTTCTTGAGACCCACATCAGAAGCAGATATTGTTGTCATGTGCAGAGATGTAATATCTATATGATTTCTTCAACTATAATCAACATCAGTGATGTCTGTGAGTTTCCCAGTGGATTAGGCTATGTTTGTGACTGGGGACTGTGGCGAGGCTTTACTGGGGATGGGGAAACCAGGCAAGCCAGTCTACAGTGGTGGCAGTGGCAGGTCAGGTGGATGGGGCCTTGGGCCCTGGGCAGTGTGTGACACCAGCAGTGGCAGTAGCAGTAGTGGGCCAGTCCTCAGGCTGTCTGGTGGTGCATGTGAACACCATTACGGGTGGCAGTAGGCTGGGTCAGCCAGTTCCCAGGCTCCTGGCTGGTGCATGTGGGTGGGCACTGGTCAGGGTTGTGGCAGACTAGGCGGGCCATTTTCCAGGCTCCTGGGAGGCATGCATGGGCACTGGTGCTGATAGCAGGTGGGGCTGGCCAGATATCAGATCCCCGGATAGTGCATGTAGGCACAGTGGTGTTGGGTAGCCTGAGCTTGCCCTCAGGCTCAAGGACTGCGTTTGGGTGGGCCGGTCCTCAGACTTACTGAAGGCCCATGCAACTGTGCTGTGTCCCTGCTGCTGGGAGCGCGTGAGGTTGCTGTCAGTGCTGGCAGCCCCAGGCAGGTAGCTCTCAGGTTCTGGGGAGTGCATGCTTCATCTCCCTTTGTCCAGGTGGCAGCCTTCCCAATGTGCTACATCGCCCCTTCTCTGGGGTGTAGGACATTGTGTGGGCTAGAGTGCTGGGGACCCAGCTGCCCCACTTGTTCCAGCTGGCGTTGCGCTGCTGCAGCCCTCTGGGTGGACATGGGGGGATGTCAGCAGGGCTCCAGGGCTGAGGAAATGGGGCTGTTGGGTCCCAGGTCAGGATGTAATCTGTTGGGGCTGGGCTTTCAACATGGTACTGTGCTGCCTCTGCTTGGGTATCGAAGGGTGAGTGGGACTCAGTGTGAATTCCCAGTCTGAAAGAATTCAGTCACCAGGAGTGCAGGTAGGCAGGGCCCGTGAAGGCTCAGGGGCTCTCCTGTGGCTTGTATTGCAGAGCATTCGTGGTGGGACCCTGGACTGTGGAAGATCTCTTGCTTGCTTCTTCCCTACAATGGGGACTTCCTCCTGGCTCTCAGCCAATCCTGGCCAGGCCAGCTGCTTATTTGCTTGTCTTTCCTTCTAGGCCTCAGAGGTTCCCTGTCACTTCCCTGCTGAATTCTAGTTCTCTCTCCTAGATTCTCTGTTTGACATGTGCTTATCTGCTCACTGTTTTGGTACCTCTTTGTTGAGGAGGCAAACACAAATTTACCATTATTGTTTAGTAAATTATCTCATGGCCTCCGATAATCAACTCCTCTACACTCTTTAAAGATCTACCTAAACTTCTGTATATAGTCTGCAAATAAAAGGTATTTCATGATAACTCCCATAGTGAAAGTACAGCTAAACAAAGTATTATCTGGGACACTAATAATAATTACTAAGTTTTGGGTTTGAGAAAAATATTCATCCAAGAACTGCTTGCACATCAAATCCACCTTAAAAAAAGATAAAGATGGGGCCTGGTGTGGTGGCTCAAGCCTGTAATCCTAGCACTTTGGGAGGCCGAGGTGGGCGAGTCACCTGAGGTTGGGAGTTCGAGACCAGCCTGACCAGCATGGAGGAACACCGTCTCTTCTAAAAATACAAGATTAGCCAGGCGTGGTGGCGCATGTCTGTAATTCCAGCTCCTCGGGAGGCTGAGGCAGGAGAATCACTTGAACCCGGGAGGCAGAAGTTGCGGTGAGCTGAGATGGCGCCACTGCACTCCAGCCTGAGCAACAAGAGCGAAACTCTGTCGCAAGAAAAAAACAAAAACAAAAAACGATAAAGATGCTCAAGCATCTGTGTTCAGTTATCACATTCAGATCAGGCTCACTAAGGAGCTAGTGTCACCAATGCAAATTTAAAAAGTAGGATGCCCTGCTGTTTCAGGGTTAGGGTTTTCTCTTTGGTCCTTCTGCCTTATATTTGCCATATGCCTGTTATGCTTCTTTTGTTTTCTCGATTTATGTCTGGTTTTTCTTTTTTAAAAATAAACTTCTGAAAATTTGGAATAATTTTAGATATACAGAAAAATTGCTAAAAGACTACAGAGTTCCCATATATACTGTTCACTCAGTTTCCTGTAATGTTAGCTCTTATATAGCCACATGAATACATTATATTTATTAAATACAAGAAATTAGTATTGATACATTACTAGTAAGGAAACTACTTTCTTTGGATTTCTGGATTTCAACTAGTTTGTCTTCTACTGTCCATTTTGTTCCGGGATCCAATCCAGAATACTACCCAGCATGCCCCCTCCCAGGCTCCTTTGCTCTGTTTCTCAGTCTTTCCTTGAATTTCATGACCTTGACAGTTCTGAGGAGGTCAGGTACTTTGTAGAACACCCCTCAATTTGGATTTGTCTGATATTTTCTCATGTTCAGTGAATTTTAGGGAAGATTAACATAGAGATGAGGTGCTCTCCTCATGACATCATATCATGGGGTACATGATATCAAGTTGAGTTATCACCAATAATGTTGACGATCTGGTTTCATTTCTGACCTGGAAACAAACTGCCTCATTCTTCTTTGATCTGTATGGTACCCTGGTTGCTTCTTATTTTCAGAGATCCTGGAATGCTTATCCTTTTTCTGTGTTTTGATATTTGTGTCCTTTTCATTTCTATATGTTTTAACTAATTTTTTCTCTGTTTCTCTACCTCTTGCTTTTCACGTGTTCCCTTTTGCTCTATAAAATCTCATCACTGAGGTTCACTGACCTACAGATATTCCAACCTATTGTCATCCATATTCTAACTTGAAAATAGTAGAGATAAAGTCAAAGACAATATTAAATTTTGTTCAATAATCTTCTGTTTAAAATATAGGGAACAGACAATACATCTTAGGAGGGTTTTTAAGAAAATGGTTAAATAATTTTTATGGTGGACAGAGTAAGCTTCACTGATGTAGAATATCCTCTTATCCCAATGATGCCACCTAAATAGGTATTTTAGTGTAGCACGTGACCTATTCATTCATAAGAGGTTACAGGTTAGTTACAGGTAGATTTTTAATCCTATGTAAATCCTTAGACTGGGTTTATTTGTGTGGAAATAGTAAAAACCATTATAAAATAAGTAAATATTAAATTTTTTGATGTGTTGTTGCACATTTTAAATCACATGTAGTCTGAGAAATGTAATGAAGATGTTTTAAGCATTGTTTGGACAGATTAATTGATATAAAACTGTTGTTTTGCTTCTTGTATTAAATTTGTCTTCACTCTCAGTTGTTTTGAATTCTCTAGGAACAAATATCCTATATTATTCCAATAGATGAGAAACTGTACACTGTGCACCTTAAACAAAGGTAAATTTTTATTCTTTAGTTTTGGATTTTATTTTATTTCTATGAAGCTGTTTACTTGCAATAGAAAATGGAGTATGAGAAAAATACATGGAATTATTAACTTTTTTAATTGTCTTAAGTGAAGAGATGCTGTCCTGTGACTTAATTAAATTTTGGTTTTAATGTCTCAAGTATTCTTTGGTAAATGGGAGTTAGGACAAAAAACAGGGACTTATCTCCTGAAGACTGATTTATGATATTAAGTTGGCAGGACCAGCAGGACCTATATCATCAGGGCAGATGTCACAAAAATAAGTAAATCTGTAGCTGGTTTATATCAGTTAGGGTTTTATCAGAGAAGTGGGATGACCATGAGTAATATGGGACAGGGATTTAATACAGACCTTATAGTGTTGCAGAGCTGGCGAATAGTTTATGGAAAATAGTCCTAGCTATATGCCACTCTTCAGAGAATTATTAAATAATTGAAATAATTTTCTATAGGGTTTAATTCTCTGATGCAAGCCCAGTTGGGAAAGGCTGGCTTGGAAGTAATTTGTGACATTCAAGAGGACAGCTTCAGCTAAACTAGTAAAACTAGACTACATGGCATTGGAGAGAGGTGGATTATGAGAAACTAGAGGTAGCAATTATAGACTTTTTCAAAAACATCCCTCAGAGAAAAAAGAGGCTTACATGAATATTTTTGAAGAAAGAGAAAACAAAGTATTTTGATTGATGGAAAATTTCTTAAGGAGAAGAAAAGAGAGATGAAAGATGTAAACAAGCTGGGCGCGGTGGCTTTCGTCTGTAATCCCAGCACTTAGGTATGCTGAGGCAGGTGGATCAAACTCCTGAGGTCAGGAGTTTGAGACCAGCCTGCCCAACATGGTGAAACCCTGTCTCTACTAAAAAATACAAAAATTAGCCAGGCATGGTGGCGTGCGCCTGTAATCCCAGCTACTCGGGAGGCTGAGGCAGGAGAATCGCTTGAACCTGGGAGGCAGAAGTTGCAGTGAGCCGAGATGGTGCCACTGCACGCCAGCCTGGGTGACAGAGTGAGACACTGTCTCAAAAAAAAAAAAAAAGGTGTAAACAAGTGGTTTATTGTGTGTAAGATACTAAATAATTTTCCCAAAGAAAAGGTTAACTTACTCTTTTAGGCAGAAGAGAAAAAGAATATGGTGGATGATAACGCAAAGATCTTTGTGAAGAGTATGAAGGAAAGTTAGAGAGCTCACATTGCATTTGAACATCTTACTAAGACTATAAGCAGTGTTGAGAAATTGAGAGACCAGAGCTTGGGAGAGGGATAGGGCATGTGTATATCGTTTTGAGAAATTAACTGCTTAATGATTATGATAGCCTAACGACCATTAGGAAGCTACTGCAAATAGTTTATATGAAAAATAATGAGAAGCAGAACTATGACTACATAGAGATAGGGAGTTTCCTTTTTTTGTGTGTATGTTTTTTTAGTTCTTTTTTTATTATACTTTAAGTTCTAGAGTACATGTGCACAGCGTGCAGGTTTGTTACATAGGTATACATGTGCCATGTTGGTTTGCTGCACCCATCAACTTGTCATTTACATTAGGTATTTCTCCTAAAGCTATCCCTCCCCCAGTCCCCCACCCCCCAACAGGCCCTGGTGTGTGACATCCCCTGCCCTGTGTCCATGTGTTCTCATTGTTCAACTCCGACCTATGAGTGTGAACATGCGGTGTTTGGTTTTCTGTCCTTGTGACAGTTTGCTTAGAATGATGGTTTCCAGCTTCATCCATGTCCCTGCAAAGGACATAAACTCATCCTTTTTTATGGCTGCATAGTATTCCATGGTGTATATATGCCATATTTTCTTTATCCATTCTAGCATTGATGGACTTTTGGGTTGGTTCCAAGTCTTTACTATTGTGAATAGTGCCACAATAAACATATGTGTGCATGTGTCTTTATAGTAGCATGATTTATAATCCTTTGGGTATATACCAAGTAATGGGATCGCTGGGTCAAATGGTATTTCTAGTTCTAGATCCTTGAGGAATCACCACACTGTCTTCCACAATGGTTGAACTAATTTACACACCCACCAACAGTGTAAAAGGGTTGCTATTTCTCCATATCCTCTCCAGCATCTGTTGTTTCCTGACCGCTTAAAGATTGCTGTTCTAAGTGGCGTGAGATGGTATCTCATTGTGGTTTTGATTTGCATTTCTCTGATGACCAGTGATGATGAGCATTTTTTCATATGTCTGTTGGCTGCATAAATGTCTTCTTTTGAGAATTGTCTGTTCATATCCTTTGGCCACTTTTTCATGGGGTTGTTTGCTTTTTTTCTTTTAAATTTGTTTAAGTTATTTGTAGATTCTGGATATTAGCCCTTTGTCAGATGGGTAGATTGCAAAGATTTTCTCCCATTCTGTAGGTTGCCTGTTCACTCTGATGATAGTTTCTTTTGGTGTGCAGAAGCTCTTTAGTTTAGTTAGATTCCATCTGTCTATTTTGGCTT
This sequence comes from Homo sapiens, assembly GCF_000001405.40. Lineage (NCBI taxonomy): Eukaryota > Metazoa > Chordata > Mammalia > Primates > Hominidae > Homo > Homo sapiens. Next base: position 39,139,207 of record NC_000008.11, read on the forward strand.
TTGTTGCCATTGCTTTTGGTGTTGTAGTTGTGAAGTCTTTGCCTATGCCTATCTCCTGAATGGTATTGCCTAGGTTTTCTTCTAGGGTTTTTATGGTGTTAGGTCTTACATTTAAGTCTTTAATCCATCCTGAGTTAATTTTTTGTATGGTGTAAGGAAGGGATCGAGTTTCAACTTTCTATATATGGCTAGCCAGCTTTCCCAGCACCATTTATTAAATAGGGAATCCTTTCCCCATTTCTTGTTTTTGTCAGGTTTGTCAAAGATCAGATGGTTGTAGATGTGTGGTGTTATTTCTGAGGCCTCCGTTCTGTTCCATTGGTCTATATCTCTGTTTTGGTACCAGTACCATGCTATTTTGGTTACTGTAGCCTTGTAGTATAGTTTGAAGTCAGGTAGTATGATGCCTCCAGCTTTGTTCTTTTTGCTTAGGATTATCTTGGCAATGCGGGCTCTTTTTTGGTTCCATATGAACTTTAAAGTATTTTTTTCCAATTCTGTGAAGAAAGTCATTGTAGCTTGATGGGGATGGCATTGAATCTATAAATTACCTTGGGCAGTATGGCCATTTTCATGATATTGATTCTTCCTATCTATGAGCATGGAATGTTCTTCCATTTGTTTGTATCCTCTTTTATTTCATTGAGCAGTGATTTGTAGTTCTCCTTGAAGAGGTCCTTCACATCCCTTGTAAGTTGGATTCCTAGGTATTTTATTCTCTTCGTAGTAGTTGTGAATGGGAGTTCACTCATGATTTGGCTCTCTGTTTGTCTATCATTGGTATATAGGAATGCTTGTGATTTTTGCACATTGATTTTGTATCCTGAGACTTTGCTGAAGTTACTTATCAGCTTAAGGAGATTTTGGGCTGAGATGATGGGGTTTTCTAAATATATAATCACGTCATCTGCAAACAGGGACAATTTGACTTCCTCATTTCCTAATTGAATATCCTTTATTTCTTTCTCTTGCCTGATTTCCCTGGCCAGAACTTCCAACAGTATGTTGAATAGGAGTGGTGAGAGAGGGCATCCTTGTCTTGTGTGGGTTTTCAAAGGGAATGCTTCCCGTTTTGGCTGTGGGTTTGTCATAAATAGCTGTTATTATTTTGAGATACATTCCATCAATACCTGGTTTATTGAGAGTTTTTAGCATGAAGGGCTGTTGAATTTTGTCAAAGGCCTTTTCTGCATCTATTGAGATCATCGTGGTTTTTATCATTGGTTCTGTTTATGTGATGGATTACATTTATTGATTTGCATATGTCGAACCAGCCTTGCATCCCAGGGATGAAGCTGAGTTGATCGTGGTGAATAAGCTTTTTGATGTGCTGCTGGATTCAGTTTGCCAGTATTTTATTGAGGATTTTCGCATCGATGTTCATCAGGGATATTGGCCTAAAATTCTCTTTTTTGTGTGTGTCTCTACCAGGCTTTGGTATCAGGATGATGCTGGCCTCATAAAATGAGTCAGGGAGGATTCCCTCTTTTTCTATTGATTGAAATAATTTCAGAAGGAATGGTACCAGCTACTCTTTGTACCTCTGGTAGAATTTGGCTGTGAATCTGTCTGGTCCTGGACTTTTTTTGTGGGTAGGCTATTAATTATTGTCTCAATTTCAGAACCTGTTATTGGTCTATTCAGAGATTCAACTTCTTCCTGGTTTAGTCTTGGGCGGGTGCACGTGTCCAGGAATTTATCCATTTCTTCTAGATTTTCTAGTTTATTTGCATAGAATTTATCCATTTCTTCTAGATTTTCTAGTTTATTTGCATAGAGGTGTTTATAGTATTCTCTGATGTTTGTATTTCTGTGGGATTGGTGGTGATATCCCCTTTATCATTTTTTATTGCATCTATTTGATTCTTCTCTCTTTTCTTCTTTATTAGTCTTGCTAGTGGTCTATCAATTTTGTTGATCTTTTCAAAAAACCAGCTCCTGGATTCATTAATTTTTTGAAGGGATTTTGTGTCTCCATATCCATCAGTTCTGCTCTGATCTTAGTTATTTCTTGCCTTCTGCTAGCTTTTGAGTTTGTTTGTTCTTGCTTCTCTAGTTCTTTCAATTGTGATGTTAGGGTGTCAATTTTAGGTCTTTCCTGCTTTCTTTTGTGGGCATTTAGTGCTATAAATTTCCCTCTACACATTGCTTTAAATGTGTTCCAGAGATTCTGGTACATTGTGTCTTTGTTCTCATTGGTTTCAAAGAACATCTTTATTTCTCCCTTCATTTCATTATGAACCCAGTAGTCATTCAGGAGCAGATTGTTCAGTTTTCATGTAGTTGTGTGGTTTTGAGTGAGTTTCTTAATCCTGAGTTCTAATTTGATTGCACTGTGGTCTGAGAGACAGTTTGTTGTGATTTCTGTTCTTTTACATTTGCTGAGGAGTGTTTTACTACCAATGATGTGTTCAATTTTAGAATAAGTGTGATGTGGTGCTGAGAAGAATGTATATACTGTTGATTTGGGGTGGAGAGTTCTGTATATGTCTATTAGGTCCACTTGGTCCGGAGCTGAGTTCAAGTCCTGGATATCCTTGTTAACCTTCTGTCTTGTTGATCTGTCTAATATTGACAGTGGGGTGTTAAAGTCTCCCATTATTATTGTGTGGGAGTCTAAGTCTCTTTGTAGGTCTCTAAGGACTTGCTTTATGAATCTGGGTGCTCCTGTATTGGGTGCATATATATTTAGGATAGTTAGCTCTTCTTGTTGAATAGATCCCTTTACCATTATGTAGTGGCCTTCTTTGTCTCTTTTGATGTTTGTTGGTTTAAAGTCTGTTTTATCAGAGACTAGGATTGCAACCCCTTCTTTTTCTTTTTTTGTTTTCCATTTGCTTGGTAGATCTTCCTCCATCCCTTTATTTTGAGCCTATGTGCATTTTTAAGTGGCACGTGAGATGGATTTCCTGAATACAGCACACCGATGGGTCTTGACTCTTTAAATCCAATTTGCCAGTCTGTGTCTTTTAATTGGGGCATTTAGTCCATTTATATTTATGGTTAATATTGTTATGTGTGAATTTGATCCTGTCATTATGATGTTAGCTGGTTATTTTTCCCATTAATTGATGCAGTTTCTTCATGGCATTGATGGTGTTTACCATTTGGCATGTTTTTGCAGTGGTTGGTACCGGCTGTTCCTTTCCATGTTTAGTGCTTCCTTCAGGAGCTCTTTTAGGGCAGGCCTGTTGGTGACAAAATCTCTCAGCATTTGCTTGTCTGTAAAGTATTTTATTTCTCCTTCACTTATGAAGCTTAATTTGGCTGGATATGAGATTCTGGGTTGAAAATTCTTTTCTTTACGAATGTTGAATATTGGCCCCCACTCTCTTCTGGCTTGTAGGGTTTCTGCCGAGAGATCTGCTGTTAGTCTGATGGTCTTCCCTTTGTTGGTAAGCCAACCTTTCTCTCTGGCTGCCCTTAACATTTTTTCCTTCATTCCAACCTTGGTGAATCTGACAATTATGTGTCTTGGGGTTGCTCTTCCCGAGGAATATCTTTGTGGTGTTCTTTGTATTTTCTGAATTTGAATGTTGGCCTGCCTTGCTAGGTTAGGGAAGTTCTCCTGGATAATATCCTGAAGAGTGTATTCTATCTTGGTTCCATTCTCCCTGTCACTTTCCGGTACACCAATCAAACATATATTTGGTATTTTCACATAGTCCCTATATTTCTTGGAGGCTTTGTTAGTTTCTTTTCACTCTTTTTTTCTCTAATCTTGTCTTCTCACTTTATTTCATTAATTTGATCTTTAATCACTGATATTGTTTCTTCCACTTGATCGAATCGGCTATTGAAGCTTGTGCATGCATCATGAAGCTCTCGTGCCATGGTTTTCAGCTCCATCAGGTCATTTAAGTTCTTCTCTACACTGTTTATTCTAGTTAGCCATTTGTCTAACCTTTTTTCAAGGTTTTTGGCTTCCTTGTGATGGGTTACAACATGCTCCTTTAGCTTGGAGAAATTTGTTATTACCGACCTTCTGAAGCCTACTTCTGTCAACTCGTCAAACTCATTCTCCGTCCAATTTTGTTCCCTGGCTGGCGAGGAGCTGTTATTCTTTGGAGGAGAAGAGGCACTCTGTTTTTTTGGAATTTTCAGCTTTTCTGCTCTGGTTTCTCCCCATCTTTGTGGTTTTACCTACCTTTAGTCTTTGATGTTGGTGACCCACAGATGGGGTTTTGGTGTGGATGTCCTTTTTGTTTATGTTGATGCTATTCCTTTCTGTTTGTTAGTTCCTTTTAATAGTCAGACCCCTCAGCTGCAGGTCTGTTGGAGTTTGCTGTAGGTCCACTCTAGACCCTGTTTGCCTGGGTATCACCAGTGGAGGCTGCAGAACAGCCAATATTGATGCCTGATCCTTCCTCTGGAAACTTCATCCCAGAGGGGCACCTGCTTGTTTGAGGTGTCTGTCGACCCCTACTGGGAGGTGTTTCCCAGTCAGGCTACATGGGGGTCAGGGACCCACTTGAGGAGGCAGTCTGTCTATTCTTGGAGCTCAAATGCTGTGCTGAGAGAACTGCTGCTCTCTTCAGAGCTGTCAGACTGGATGTTTAAGTCTGCAGAAGCTGTCTGGTGCCTTTTGTTCTACTATGCCCTGCCCCCAGAGGTGGAATCTATAAAGGTAGTAGGCCTCGCTGAGCTGTGGTGGGGTCTGCCCAGTTCGTGCTTCCTGGCCACTTTGTTTACACTGTAGGCTATTCAAGCCTCAGTAATGGCAGATGACCCTTCCCCCAATTAAGCTGCAGTGTTGCAGGGCAATCTCAGACTGCTGCACTAGCAGTGAGAAAGGCTCCATGGGCATGGGACCTGCTGAGGCAGACACAGGAGGGTATCTCCTGGTCTGCTGATTGCTAAGACTGTGGGAAAAGTGCAGTATTTGGTCAGGAGTGTACTGTTTCTCCAGGTACAGTCTGTCACAGCTTCCCTTGGCTAGGAAAGGTAAATCCCCTGACCCCTTGAGCTTCCCGGGTGAGACAACACCCTGTCCTGGTTCAGCTTTCCCTCCGTGGGCTGTACCCACTGTTGATCCAGTCCCAGTGAGATGAACCAGGTACCTCAGTTGGAAATGCAGAAATCACTGCTCTTTTGTGTTGATCTTGCTAGGAGCTGCAGACCAGAGCTGTTCCTATTCAGCCATCTTGGAAGCAAGCCTCCCTTTTCCTGTTTTTGAGAAATGCTGATGTGGCAGAAAAAAGATGTAGTAACAGATTGACTATAGTGGTGGCAGGGATTTGGTAGGGTAGAGGGAGGATGAGAACAGACCTGAGTCAGGTATTATGGCTCCCTGTTGGAGATGCTGGGTATGAAGTGCTTGTGGGATATCCCACAGGGGGAAATATCCTGATGGCAGTTAATTTAGTTTAGAATGGGGGAGAGAAGTGTGAGTATCCACATTCTTTCATGATGTAAACTCTCTGCAAATTAGGCCTAGAAGAGATATACCTTAACACAAAAATGTCATATATGACAAAGCCATAGCTAACATCATACTCAGTGGTAAAAAGTTGAAAGTTTTTCATCTAATATCAGGAACAAGATTAGGATGCCTATTTTCCTTCACCTCTTCTATTCAACATAGTATTGGAAGTCCTAGCCACAGCAATTAGGCAAGAACAATGAATAAAAGGCATCCTAATGGGAAAGAGAAATGTTAAATTGTTCCTGTTGCAGGTGACATGATCTTATATGTAGATTACTTATAGAAGACCCTAAAGACTCCACCAAAATTTGTTAGAACCAATAGACAAGTTCAGTGAAGTTGTGGGATATAAAATCAACATACAAAAATCATAGCATTTCTATACATTAATAAGAAATTTTCCAAAAATGAAATCAAGAAAACAACCCCATGTACAATAGCTACAAAAAATAAAATACTTAGGAGTAAGTTAACCAAGGAGGTGAAAGATCTGTATACTGAGAGCTAGAAAACATGATGAAAGGAATTGAGGAAGACACAAATATATGGAAAGAACATGGATTGGAAGAGTTAATATTGTTAAAATGTCCATACTGTCCAAATTGATACACAAATTCAACGCAATCCCTACCAAAATTCCAATGACATTTTTCACAGAAATAGTAAATTCCTATGGAACCCCAAAAGGCCCTGAATAGCCAAGGCACTACTGAACAAAAAGAACAAAGCTGGAGGCATCACACTACCTGAATTCAAATATATTGCAAAGCTATAATACTAAAAGCAACCTTTTTATATAAGTAGTAAATTAAACCACAGAAATGAACAAGATAAATCTATACAGGTGGGGGTGAATGTTAAAAGTAAGAAAGAGAAACAGCCTAGAATTGAATGCCATGGAAACATTTAAGGGATGAAGGAAGGATCCAAATAAAGGGACTTAGAAACGTAGAAAGACAGGAGAACCAGGAGGAAGTGGTATCTATCATTATCACTGAAGAAGAGATGGTTTCAAGAAGGGGAATGTGGTCCACAGTATGAAGTACTTGAGAGTATTTTATTTATTTATTTTTTTGTTTAATGTATTTTAAAATTATTTTTATTATTTATTTATTTTTGAGACAGGGTCTCTCTCTGTCACCCAGGTTGGAAAGCAGTGGTGGCATCTCAGCTCACTGCAGCCTTGAACTCCTGGCTCAAGTGATCCTGTTGCCTCAGCCTCCCAAGTAGCTGGGACCACATGAGCAGACCACCACACCTGGCTAATTTTGGTATTTTTGGTAGAGATGAGGTTTCGCCTTGTTACCCAGGCTGGTCTCGAACTCCTGAGCCCAAAGCAATCCCTCCACCTCGGCCTCCCTAAGTTTTGGGATTACAGGAGTGAGCCACCCCGCCTGGCTGCTTCAGAGTATTTTTACTTGACATAATACTGTCTTTTGGATTGGACACTCAGGAGGTCATTAGTAATTTTTGTGAGATCAGTTTGAGTGGAGGCTTTCCAACAGAAGCTAGTGTGAGTGGCCTAATTAAGTGACGGTGGGTTGAAGAGTGAACATGAAGTGAGGAAGCATAACTAAAATAGCATCATGAGTACAGGGATTAATACCAAAGTTGAACTTAGACTGGACGTTTCAGTACATATGCTCAGATGAATATGACCTTTATGCAATACTCTTCCACTTCATTATCAAAGTAATATATGTGCATAGTAATAAAGCTTTAGAAAGAATGTAAGAACAGAAAACTCTTACAATCCAACATCCAGTTTATGTCTATTAAATTTTTTTTTTTTTTTTTGAGACGGAATCTTGCTCTGTCACCCAGGCTGGATTGCAGTGGTGTGATCTCAGCTCACTGCAACCTCTGCCTCTTGGGTTCAAGCAATTCTCCCACCTCAGCCTCCTGAGTAGCTAGGATTATAGGCACCTGCCACCACACCCGACTAATTTTTGTATTTTTAGTAGAGACGGGGTTTCACCATGTTGGCCAGGCTGGTCTCAAACTCCTGACCTCAGGTGATCTGCCCACCTTGGCCTCCCAAAGTGTTGGGATTACAGGTGTGAGCCACCACGTCCAGCCTCTTTTACATTTTAGAATGCTCTTCTTTTAGTCTCTTCTTTTTTTCTTAAAAGGAGTCCATTAAGGTAGGAAAACTATTTTGAGTAAACGTATATTGCTTTAAGTAAACATTAAATATATGTCAAAAGAAAATACTACCTTTATATCAGGTTGACAGACGTTTTCTCTAAAGATTCAGATAGTAAATGTTTTAGACTTTGAAGGCCATATGTTCTTTGTCAAAACTAGTTAATCTCTCATCTTACAGCATGAAAAGAGCCATGACAATATGTGGGTGAATGGGTATGGCTGTGTTTCAATAAACCTTTATTTACAAAACAGAGGGTGGGTCAGATTTTGGCTGAGAGTGTTAAGTTTACTATGTTTTTATATGTTTCAAAAAGAATAATTAAAAAAATTTCCTCTTTTTTTATATTCAGATATTTTTTAGCAGATAATTTTATGATCTATTTGTACAATCAAGGATCTATGAATACTTATTCTTCAGATATTCAGGTAAGATTTAAATTCTGTGTTTTATAGTTTTTTTTAAATTTTTTTACATTAAATAAATGCTTTATTATACAGAAGGCTCTCAAGATTCACAGGGGATATATTTAAGACATTTGTTGATTAATGATCAGGGTTTCCTGAAGTTTTGGTAAAGACAAATTAGATTGACTTAGCACCTTTCCCATTGCTGAGAACATAGTCACTATTTTTTAATTTAATTGATATTTTGTTAAATAAAATATTTATTATTTATATTTTGTTTGTAAGAATATAAATTAAATAACAAGAAAAGTGGACATGAATGTTATGAGACACAAATCACAGATCAAAAACTCTTTGTTTTTTTCTTAACTCTTCCTCATCTCATCCATTATTTATACATCCATAAATCCTACTGACCCTGCCCTTCAAACTAAGTGTCCAGCATCCACCTTCTTCCTCTGCCTTCACCCACTGAGACCACCCATTTCCAAGTAAACATCATCTCTAGTTTGGATCATTGCCATAACTTCCTGAATAATCTCCCTGCTTCCTCACCTGTCCATCCCTTCATTTTATTTATTTATCCCTTTATTTTATTCATTTATTTTTGTTTTTATTTATTTATTTTGCCCAGGCTAGAGTGCAATGGTGCGATCTTGGCTCACTGAAACCTCCACCTCCTGGGTTCAAGTGATTCTCCTGCCTCAGCCTCCCGAGTATTTGGGATTACAGGCATGCACCACCATGCCCAGCTAATTTTCTATCTAAACCCTATCAAGAGATAGGGTTTCACCATGTTGGCCAGGCTTGTCTCGAACCCCTGACCTCAGGTGATCCACCTGCCTTGGCCTCCCACAGTGCTAGGATTACAGGTGTGAGCCACCGCACCCAGCCTCAGTCAGTTCTCAACATGGTGACCATATTGATCCTGTTAAGACATAGTCAGATTACCCTGCTTCTCTGCTCAGAACCCTGCATGAATGGCTTCCCACCACTTACAGAGTGAAAGCCAGAGTCACCTGGTTCCCTTTTACCTCTCTGACCTCATTTCCTATTATTCTCTACCTCATTCACTTTGTTCCAGCATTGTTGTTCTTCAAATATAATAGCTATGTTCTCCTTTCAAAGACTTCATACTTTCTATTTCCTGGTATCCAAATGCTTGTTCTTTCCCAACAGACCCATATGTTTTTCATCCTCATTTCCTTCAGGTCTTTACTCAAAATCACCCTATTAGTCGTTGACTAACCCCTACTTTAAATTGGTCTCTTACTCTTAATACTCTATTTCCTTTACCTTTTTTTTTTTTGCCTTTTTCCCATGGCAGTTATCAATACATGATGTATCATATATATTCTATTTATTTACTTTATTTTCTGTCTCCCCAGTGCAATATAATCATCCCGAGGGCAGGGCTTTTGGTCTGTTTTATTTACTGATGTAACACCAGTGCCTAGAAAAGTGCCTAGCACATACTTGGAATATAATAAAAATTTGCTGAAATATTAAATTAGATATGTTGCTTCACTTACATTGGATGGGATCATCATTTTGCTTTATTGCTCCCTTTTCCTTCCCTTAGTTCCATCATAAAGCAGTGTGTTAATAAGAAATCTTAACCTTATTTATAATAAAATTTATAGCACCATTGAATATTGGAAATTATATAATTTTCACATCTGTGACAATGTTTGTGACTCTGTGTGTCTCTAGCTTGATTGTACTGTGCTCAGAGACCAACTCTATACAATTTAATTCCTTTGTAATCTATTGAGTCCTGCTTTATGGCCTGGAGTATGGTTTCTATTTTGTAGATGTTCCATGAGTGTTTAGAAAGCATATATTCTAAAGTTTTTAGGTATAGTATTTTGCATATGTTAACTAGGTCATACTAACCACGTTGTCCAAACCTTCTGTAGATTCTGAACACTTGATCTATCAGTCACTAAGAGAAATTAACTTTAAAAAACTTTTTTATAACTGTAGATTTTTTAATTTTTACTATTCTTTCAATTGTGACTTTATATATTTTGAAGCTGTGTTATTAAGTGAATGCCAATTTGGAATATTTATGTCTTCCTGGCAAATTGAAATGCTTATCATTACCAAATGTCCCTGTTTATCTCTAGTAATGTTTCTGGCCTTAAAGTCCACATTTCCTCTCTTAGTGCAAATTCAGCATCATCCTTTTGGTTTGTGTTGGCATCTAGCCCTTCAATCTTCCTGTGTCATTGCATTTTTATGACTCTTTTTTAGCATCATATTAATTGAGTTTTTAAAGAAATCCAGATTCATCATCTTTGTCTTTTAATTGAGGATCTAAATTTATGTACTGGAAGATATTTTTACCTAAAACATGAGACAACATTTTGGAAGCAGGGTGTAAAATAGTAATCTCAAGTCATAATCTATTATAAAGTGTAGTTAACATAGTGTAAGTGGCAATTATGGGGAGAATTTTTTTCTGAATTTCACCTTACTTGTACTGATATAAATCACGGAGCCTGTGAAAAATATTCAGAAGGTTCTATCAAGTATAGAAGTAGGAAATCACTAGAAAGTTTTGTTACTTCCTAAGTGACTACTTTACTTTTTTTCTTTCCTAGACTCAATGCTACTATCAAGGAAATATTGAAGGATATCCAGATTCCATGGTCACACTCAGCACGTGCTCTGGACTAAGGTTGTTTTCTGTTGTTGATTACAGAACACCTTAGTTATGATATTTGGCTGCAGTGAATTTGTTCTCTTTGTATTAAGTGTGGGGTTGAAGGAGCTTTCCTATGTGGAGATTATTTAATGATATCCCCCTCTGAACATGTTTCCAATTCTCTTATTTCTCCTCACTTTCCTCAGTGACCAGAGACATTTCTAACCTTTTCAAAGGTTTAGATTTCCTAGTCTCCTTGCTCTATGTCTTACGTTTCCTTAACCACAGAAAAGACAATTGAACATGTTTGACTACAAGTGTTTTAGGAGCTAAGTTTAGGACAGCTCAGTCACTGTCTTGGAAAACAGGGAAATTAATCACTGTAATGCTGTATACTTGCACACTTAGCAATTGATTAGGTAATTTCTGCTGCTTTTGTAACTATAAAAAAGTGAAATGGAGAGCTGGTTTTGTAGATTAGGGTAATCTTTTATCTTCTCAGAGTCATCTCTAAGACAGGTTTGAGTCAAAATACTGGACTGAAAATGTATTTATGTTACCCACCATGTGTTTTAATGTTGGAGATATGAAGATAAAGAAGAGATGCTTTTTCTCAAGGAAATCATCTTCAGACTGAGGAGGCAAATTATATAAAAACAAATAATTTTTAATACTCATAAAAATACTCATTTTTCTGATGATATTATTATCTTGAGCTCTTCAAGAATTACTGGGTTTCCTCCTTACGGCTTAGGGAGTTTTCCATTCTGTCAGGAAATTTTCCACCTTCATTTTGTAGTGTAGGGTGTTTGTTTTCACAAACAAATGTTCTTCTTCAGTGCTTCCTACATAGAAGCCTGAAATTTGGATCTGAAATTTATATTTTAGGGAGTAGTGACTTGGGCTGCCACCTGTATTCACAGAAAAATAGTGATACAAGTCATTTACTCTTTAAAATCTTGCTTTTAATTTCTTATTCAGACTATATAAGCAAAAGTAACAAATATTTCATAATTCTGCCAAATTTTATTTTTAAAAGTAAAGTTTCTTATTATATACATTTGTCATATATGCAGTATAATCATTTTTCAAAAGCATGGCATATTTCATAATTCTGCCAAATTTTATTTTTAAAAGTAAAGTTTCTTATTATATACATTTGTCATATATGCAGTATAATCATTTTTCAAAAGCATGGCAAACCAGAGAGAAAGTCATCATGATTTCTGTTTACAATTGCTTTAATTGAGACACTGACTTGGAAAACAATAGAATTACTCAATTACTGTTATGCTATATACTTGTGTACCTAGCAATTGATTAAGTGACTTCTGCTGCTCTTACAACTATACAAAAACGAAATAGAAAATGGGTTTTGTGGATTTGGGAAATCTTTTGTCTCTTCAGAGTCATCTCTAAGACAGAATTCAGAAAAAAATACTGGACTCAAAACGTTTTATTTTTTTTTCTTTTGGATTTTGTCAGAAATTCATTATATAGATTTGATTAAAAGCACTTAAAATTGTATTCATAATTTCACAGAGGAATACTGCAATTTGAAAATGTTTCTTATGGAATTGAGCCTCTGGAATCTGCAGTTGAATTTCAGCATGTTCTTTACAAATTAAAGAATGAAGACAATGATATTGCAATTTTTATTGACAGAAGCCTGAAAGAACAACCAATGGATGACAACATTTTTATAAGTGAAAAAGTGAGTTGTATATGTTTTATTACTACTTTTAAAGCAGTTATTACTTCCATTTAATTTATTTAAAAAATAAATTTATAAGCCCACTGTAGAATTGTAGCAAATATCCTTTCCTTGTGAACATCTTATCTTTTTTTTTTTTTTTTCTCACTCTCTCACTCAGGTTGGAGTGCAGTGGACTGATCATGGCTTGCTGCAGCCTCTGTCTTCTGGGCTCAAGCAATCCTCCCACCTCAATCTCCTGAGTAGCTGGGACCACAGACATGCACCACCATACCAGACTAATTTTTTGTAGAGACAGAGTCTCTACAAAAAAGAGACAGACCATGCTGGTCTCAAACTCCTAGGTTCAAATGATCCACCCGCCTCAATCTCCCAAAATGTTGAGATTACAGGCATGAGCCACCGTGCCTGGCTGTTCATCTTTCTGTTACCTAACAATTTCCTTGAAACCATACTTTTTATGATTCACTTTATTTTTGTTCTTATTTTGCTTGTTACATTCTTATTACTTTCCAAAAATTCCCTCTTGTATATGCAATATAAACTTTAAAAACTCAGTTCCTGCTTTTGCTCCTACATTCCTGGAAGTTACTCAATAAAGTCAATAATTTTAAAGGTTATATTCATGACCAACGAGTCAGCATTAATTAAATCATAGATATAATTAAAATGTCATAAACAGAATTGCCGGTTATGGTCATGTAAATTGTTCAGTGAACACACTATGTAACTGCATGTGTTGGTGCTTACACAAGCAATTGTGAAAGAGAAAATTTTTATACCAAGTAACATTGGCATAACTATGCATAGTTTATACAAGAGTATGTGGCAGTATTCATTGTTTCCAGTATATGCTCTCCCTGTTTTCTGTCAGTAAAGAAAAAAATACCAGGCCAGGCATGGTGGCTCACACCTGTAATCCCAGCACTTTGGGAGCCCAAGTTGGGTGGATCTCCTGAGGTCAGGAGTTCAAGACCAGCCTTGCCAACATGGTGAAACCCCGTCTCCACTAAAAATACAAAGATTAGTCAGGCATGGTGGCAGACGCCTGTAATCCCAGCTACTCGGGAGCGGAGGCTGAAGAATTGTTTGAACCTGGGAGGTGGAGGTTGCAGTGAGCTGAGATCACACCACTGCACTCCAGCCTGGGTGACAGGGCAAGACTCCATCTCAAAAAAAAAAAAAAAAAAAAAAAAAAAAAGAAAGAAAAAAGAAAAAAACACCAAACCTCAGAATTTAGCTGGGCATATAAACAAAGACAATATTTCTCAACCTCCCTTACCTCTAGGTAGGGCCATGTGACAAAATTATGGCCAATGACGTGTGAGCAAGCATAATATGTGTTACTTCTGGCTTGAATATTAAAAGGAGGGGTTTTATCTTCTTTCCCTTTTCTGCTGGGTGGAGTGTGGACATACTGACATGTAATGGTCCACAAGGATGAGGCTGACGCCATACAGGTAGCAGAGAAACAAGGTAAAATGAGCCTTGCTTTTGAAGAATTTTCAGAATGGAACTACCATACCTCTTCACAAATTTATGTGAGAGAGAAATAGACTCTAAGTTTGCTTAATTCACTATTATTTTCTGTCTCTGTGTAGACGGCAATCCTATATCTTAAATAATACAGGGTCCAAATGAGAGTGCAGTGCCAGAGTTTTCAATGCTAGCAAATATATATGTATAATTTCAAATAATGTTTGTGAACTAGATGCTGAACTTTTTTTTCTTGCCTTGTGAAAATTTCTAATTTACAATGACTGAGATGACCCAGTGTAGCGAACAATGTCAGTGCCCTGCCCAGAACCCCTCATATTCCTTTCTAGTATATTTTTGTGGGGATGATGCAGGAGGGTGGGACACCATGTCTTTGTTTATGCCTTTGCTTTGAACATGTGCCACTTGTAACTCTTTTTTATGTGGGCTGCCCTTCAGCCAACTGAAACTGCTTTGCCCAGATGGCAAGGTAAACATAAGTACTGGAGATTTACATTTCCCCAGGGTGGTCCTTAGCCAGCACCTCACCAGTGTGGGAAAGGGTGAGTTTGGTTTCTTGTTACAGGTCAGGACAACTCTGTAGCACAACTTACACACCAGATTTTCTCTGTGGGACTGTGTCTGAGAGCACACTCTTGTGTGGATTCCTCCTGATCCTAATCCTGCTTCTCCCACTCATTAGCTGGTCTCTCCTGGGAGAACTTTATTAGTAAATTATCTACATATAAATCCTGTCTCAGATTTGTCTTTGGGTTTCCTTTGAAAATCAGGAAGTTTTCACATACTTATTTTACAATGAAGTGATAATTACTACAATAAAGTTATTTGAGCACATATGTCAGCCAAATTGCATTTGTATGTATCATTTGGAAAGTGGCATGATCTGGAAAGCTGGGAAGCTCTGGATCCCCACAGATATCATCGTTTGTCTGGACAAGTGTTGGAGGAAAGAAAAACAGCCAAGTAAAAGACAAACAGAAAGTTCCTCATATATATATATATATGTAATTATACTTTAAGTTCTGGGGTACATGTGCAGAACGTGCAGGTTTGTTACATAGGTACACACGTGCCATGGTGGTTTGCTGCACCTATCAACCCGTCATCTACATTAGGTATTTCTTCTAGTGCTATCCCTCCCCTACCCCCCATCTCCCCGACAGGCCCCAGTGTGTGATGTTCCCCTCCCTGTGTCCATGTGTTCTCATTGTTCATCTCCCACTTATGAATGAGAACATGTGGTGTGTGGTTTTCTGTTCTTGTGTTAGTTTGCTGAGAATGATGGTTTCCAGCTTTATCCATGTCCCTGCAAAGGACATGAACTCATCCTTTTTTATGGCTGTATAGTATTCCATGGTGTATGTGTGCCACATTTTCTTTATCCAGTCTATCATTGATGGGCATTTGGGTTGGTTCCAAGTCTTTGCTATTGTGAACAGTGCAGCAATAAACATATGTGTGCATGTGTCTTTACAGTAGAATGATTTATAATCCTTTGGGTATATACCCAGGAATGGGATTGCTGGGTCAAATGGTATTTTTGGTTCTAGATCCTTGAGGAATTGCCACACTGTCTTTCACAATGGTTGAACTAATTTACACTCCCACCAACAGTGTAAAAGCATTCCTATTTCTCCACATCCTTTCTAGCATCTGTTGTTTCCTGACTTTTTAATGATTGCCATTCTAACTGGCATGAGATGGTATCTCATTGTGGTTTTGATTTGCATTTCTCTTAATGACCAGGGATGATGAGCTTTTTTTTTCATATGTTTGTTGGTTGCATAAATGTCTTCTTTTGAGAAGTGTCTGTTCAAACCCTTCACCCACTTTTTGATGGTTTTTTTTTTCTCATAAATTTGTTTAAGTTCTTTGTAGATTCTG
The DNA here is from genome assembly GCF_000001405.40 of Homo sapiens. Taxonomy (NCBI): domain Eukaryota; kingdom Metazoa; phylum Chordata; class Mammalia; order Primates; family Hominidae; genus Homo; species Homo sapiens. The sequence continues at coordinate 39,154,930 of NC_000008.11, forward strand.
GATATTAGTCCTTTGTCAGATGGGTAGATTGCAAAAATTTTCTCCCATTCTGATTATCTCAATAGATGCAGAAAAGGCCTTTGATAAAATTCAACACTCCTTCATGCTAAAAGCGCTCAATAAACTAGGTATTGATTGAACGTATCTCAAAATAATAAGAGCTATTTATGACAAATCCACAGGCAATATCATACTGAATGGGCAAAAACTGGAAGCATTCTCTTTGAAAACTGACACAAGACAAAGATGCCCTCTGGCATCACTCCTATTCAACATAGTATTGGAAATTCCAGCCAGGGCAATCAGACAAGAGAAAGAAATAAAGGATATTCAAATTGGAAGAGAGGAAATCAAATTGTCCTCATATGCTTTCTTAGTTACTGCATGTCATTGTAATTTATGGTAATCTGTGTCAAGAATTTCAATAGCCTGGATGGATGCATAGAGCAAAGTGGCAATAATGGTAGTAACAGAGGCAGTATAGCTCTACCTTTATGTGACAATAGCATGACATTGAGAGAGGCCAAACATGTGAGGCTTCCTGAACTGACAGACTCAAGATATAGTTGCTTATACCAGTAAAATAGTCAATGGATGGATTAATTTCTGAAGTAGTAGGGTTTTCCTTGATGTGCAGAAGCAAGATGACACAATAAATATAAAGAGCAGTGTGGCAGTAGATTCAGGAAAAGAGATGTCTAAGCCATACAGAGCACCAGTTGTGGATCTCGACTCACTGCAACCTCTGCCTCCTGGGCTCAATAAAGACTTAATTTGACATTTGCTAATCGTTTTCTATATGTCTTCTATCTTTTTTTGTCTCTATTTCTCTATTACTGCCTTCTTTTGTTTAGTGGATTTTTTTCTAGTATGTCATTTTGATTCCCTTCTCATTTATTTTTCTTTATGTAATTTTGATTATTTTCTTAGTGGTTACTCTGGATATTACAATAACATCTTAAATTTATAACAATCATAGTTTGAATTAATACCAACTTAGCCTCTATAGTATACAAAACGCTGCTGCTATACAGCTTTGTCTTCTTTATGTTTTTATTATCACAAATTATCTAATAACATTAAGCTATGTTAATGATAATACAATGTACAAGCTATTGTATAGTAATACAATAGCTTAATAATTATTGTTTGATACATTTTCTCTTAAATAATTTGGGGAAAAGTGAGGAATAACAAAACAAAAATATAATAATAGTATCTTTTTTTTTGGAGGCAGGGTCTTACTCTGTCATCCAGGCTGGAGTGTGGTGCTGGTGCTGTGATCACAGCTTACTGCATCCTTTACCTCCTAAGCACAGGTGATCCTCCTGCCTCTGCCTCCCAATTAGCTGGGACCACAGGCATGTGCCACCATGCCCAGTTAATTTGTTTATTTGTAGAGACTGGGTCTTCCTTTGTTGCCCAGGCTAGTCTCAAACTCCTGGACTCAAGCAGTCCTCCCATTTTGGCCTTCCAGAGTGCCAGGAGTATAAGTGTAAGCCACTGCACCCAGCTATAATAATATCTTCTATAGTTACCAATGTATTTACCTTTACTGTGTTTTTAATTTCTTTTATTGCTTCTTGTTACTGTTTTGTGTGCTTTCATTTTAAACTGAAGGACTACCTTTGGCATTTCTTGTAGGGCAGTGTATTAGTTTACTACAGCTGCCATAACAATTTACCATGGACTGGGTAGCTTAAACAAGGATATGTATTTTTTCACAATTCTGGAGCCTGGAAGTTTGAGATCAAGGTGTTAACTAAGTTGTAGTTTCTTCTGAGGACCCTCTGCTTGGCATATAAGTAACCACCCTCTCCCTGTATCTGCACAAGGTCTTCCTTCTGTGTTTGTGTTCTAATTTTCTCTTATAAAGATACCAGTTACATTGCATCAGAGCCCATCCTAATGACCTAATTTTCAATCTAATTACCTCTTTAAAGGCCCTGTCTCCAAATACAGCCTCATTTTGTGACATACTGGGGTTAGATCTTTAACATATGAATTTTACTGGGATACCATTTGGCCTATAATAAGCAGGCAAGTCTACTAGCAATGAGCTTTTTCAGTTTTTATTTATCTGGGAATGTCTTAATTTCTCCTTCATTTTTGAAGGATAGTTTTGTCAGATATAGAATTCTTGTTTGACAGTTTTTTTCCCTCCAGCACTTTAAATGTCATCCCACTGCCTCTGGCCTCCCTGGTTTCTAATAAGAAATTAGATATTACTATTATTGAAGATCTCTCATTTGTGAGGAATTGCTTTTCTCTTGCTGTTTTCAAGGTTCTCTTTTTATCATTAACTTTGGACACTTTGATTATAATATGTTTTGGTGTGAATTCTTTTGAGTTTATTCTACTTGGAGTTTGTTAAGCTTCTTGGATGTGTAGATTCATATATTTCATCAAACTGGGGAGGTTTTCACCCATTATTTTTCAAATTTTCTTTCTGCCCCTTTCTTCTCTTCTGCTAGGAACTCTTCTTATTTATGAGCTTGATGGTGTCCCACAGGTCTCTTAGGCTCTGTTCATTTTTCTTCACTCTTTTTTTTTCAGTGTCAGATAACTTTTATTGAGATCCCATCAGCTGTACAATCTGTTCCTGGCATTAAGCTCCTTCTTCCTTTGCAATCTGGTCTTTCTTGAGTGGTCCCATGAATGCTTCTTCTCCATGGTTTGGAAGCGGCCATGGCCAAATTTAAAGGTAGTGTCAATGAACTTAAGGTCAGTCTTCTCCAGAGCCTGCTGCTTGGTCTGCATCAAGACTTGTGGAGGATGAGCGCTTGCCTCTTAGTTCCCACCACACAGCACTTCAGCATGACAAAGTCATTGGTCACTTCACCATAGTGGACAAAGCCACCCAGAGGGTTGATGCTCTTGTCAGGTTATAGTCAGTGGAGGCACTGATCAATTTGCCATCCTTGATGAAGTAGCCCTGACTGATATTATAGATCTTCTTGTTGATCTCAGTGCAGTGATAGTTTGTGTCTAGTACGTGCCACAGAGAAGGTCATATGGGCAGGATGCCATGCCCCAATATAGGCAACCTTCCACAGCCCTCAGTGGGTCTTGTAGGGCAGCTTCTTGGTATGCCAATGACTGGTGACCTCTTTGTAGCCTTTGCCCTTGGTCACCCGTTTGATGTCAATCATCTTGTCCTGCCCAAACGCTTGCTTCACAGGTACCTGGTCCTCTAGCCTCTCCAGAGACCAGTCCAGTTTCTCGGTCACAGTGCCTCTGTTCACCTGGATGTCCATTAGGTGGGTCTTCTTCATACATAGAGGAAGCAGGTGCATCTGGGTGTAGATATTCAAGCATGCTGTTGAAGTCCTTCTTCAGCTGCTTCTTGTCATCCTCACCCTGCAGTTTCTTGCAGTACTTGGTAAAAGCCTTCTACTTCGCTTTATGCCAGTTCCTATAGAAGTGCCTTTTGCACTCATTGCTAATGTGCTCAACAAAGATGGTCTTGGAAATTCAGAGGCCTTGAGGGGTTTCCATGTAGCCCAGGATGCCTACTACCACCATGGGCAGTGTCTCCACAATGGTCATAGCCTCTACCCCTTCCTTCTTGTTCACCTTGGGTCCTAGCCGGCCAGCTTCCCACACGATGTGTCATGCCAGCCTTGTATCCCAGGAAAGCTGTGAGGTGGACCAGTTTAGAAGGGTCATCACTGGGGAAGCTCTTCACCTTGCCATGATGCCTACTGCTGTGTTTCCAAGGCAGGAAGCCCGGGGACCCATGTCTTGGAGCAAAAGATTTCCTGCGAGACATCATGCCATCAAATCCTGCTTTATTCTTTGATTGTGCTCCTCAGATTGAATAATCTTGATTGATTTGTTTTGAAGTTTGCTGATTCCTTTTTTCTGCTTGCTCAACTATGTTATTGAATCCTAGTGAATTTTCATGTGTTTTACTTTTTAGCTCCACAATTTCCTTTTTATAATTTCTATATTTTTATGGATACTCTCTATTTGGTGAAGTATCATTCTTCTGGTTTCCTTTAGTTTTTTTTACATAGTTTTTCATAGCTTTTTGAACATATTTTAAAACAATTAATTTACATTATTTGTCTAGTAAGTACAATGTCTGGGCTTCCAGTGGTACCATTTCTGTTTCTTTATTTTCTGAGAATGGGCCATACTACTTTCTTGTTGTTGTTGAAATTTGAACATTTTGAATATTTTGATGTGGTAATGCTGGAAATCAGATTCTTCCTCACTCCCCAGCAAGGTGTGTTGTTACTGCTTGTTGTGGGTTGTAGTTGTTTGCTTGTTTACTGACTTTTCTAAAGTAAAGAAATATTTTGTGAACAATATTGTTTAGTAGTCACCAAGTGATTTGATAGAGATTTCTTTAAATTACTGGAGCCAAAAAAGAGAAAAGACTTCCTTGGTTTTTACAGATTGACTCTGGGTTTGGATATACATGCAACACTTATTCCAGATGTTGACAACTCACCCTTAGCCTTGACTCTTGCTTGTACAATGTCTGAAAGCCAGGCAGAGGAGAAAGCTTAGTGTCTTTTCAAGTCTATTCTGAGCAAGTGTCCAGCCTTGGACATGTGGGTGGCCCTCTAGATTTCCCAGTATATGCCTGAGGTTTTCAAAGCCTTCATTTCTCCACCCATTTCCTTCCTCAGCCTCTTTCTTCCTAGACTTTTTAGTGTGCTTGCTGCTTTTCTTGTCCGTTTTTCCTTGCTCCAGGTGGCTGCAGCCAGTGTATTTGCCTTGAAATGCTTTTTATAAACACTGCCTTGGAGTCCACTCCAACCCTGTGAAATTTCATGGTGGAGGAAACAAAGGAAAGCTCTTGAGCAAAACCTTTAGGGAGCCACTGGACAGCTCAAAACACATAACCATAATTCTTTGAGAACAAATTTGGTATTTCTTCCTCTGGCACGGGAAAGCCACACCAGGAATATGGGCCTCTATCTTAATGGATGCCAATGAGCTGGATGTGTGAGATGGGATGGTAGGTGGGTCAGTTCAAGGACCACAATACTCCCTTATAGAAACCCAGCAGCTTTTTTCCCCCCTCAAGCATTGTCCTGTTTTTTATTTTTATGTTTTTTTCTGGGGCAATTGCGTGAATAGGCCATTTGCTCTTATCATCTGGCAGTCTGGCCAGATGTGTACAGGCAGGGATTCCAAGATCAGGAATGGCAGTATGAAAGGCGACTTAGGCTCAAGATTGGCAAAACAACACTTCTATTGCCTTTATTGGCTCAAACAAGTTACAAAGCCCAGCCCAGATTGAGAGAGAGGAAAAATGAACTCACCTCTTGATGACAGGCACTGAAAAGTCATATTGCAAAGGACACAAATACAGAAAGGAGCGCGGTGGCTCACGCCTGTAATCCCAGCACTTTGGGAGGCCAAGGCGGGCGGATCGCGAGGTCAGGAGATGGAGACCATCCTGGCTAACACAGTGAAACTCCGCCTCTACTAAAAATACAAAAAATTAGCCCGGCGTGGTGGCAGGCGCCTGTAGTCCCAGCTACTCCGGAGGCTGATGCGGGAGAATGGCGTGAACCAAGGAGGCGGAGCTTGCAGTGAGCTGAGATCGCGCCACTGCACTATAGCCTGGGCGACAGAGCGAGACTCCATCTCAAAAAAAAAAAAAAAAAAAAAAAAAAAAAAATCCTCCACACACATATAGTTTTTAAAGCAAAAGTTTATTTCTGATATGCAGATGAAGTAGATGGAAATGCTAGGTGTTTTTTCTTAGTTCATAAATTGGAAGTTGTAGATATACTGAGATAGATGTTACAACTTCATGGGCAATCTTCTAACTACTTGAGTACATTGCCATAAAACTTAAAACTTTATTTATTAATTTTAACCAATTTGATAAAGCAAACACCTCTGCATATCTTGTAAGTGCTGTGGTATTAGCTTTAAAGAAGAGTTCAAGTAAAAAAATTATGAAATTTTTCATGTATTATATGCTGTTTTCCTTTTTTCTAGTCAGAACCAGCTGTTCCAGATTTATTTCCTCTTTATCTAGAAATGCATATTGTGGTGGACAAAACTTTGGTATGTGTTTTGCTTTTTCTTTGCTTTGAAATATTTGATCCAAATGTATGATTATGCCTAGCTAGCTAGACAGAAACTAAAAGATTCCAATGTTCTTACTCACATGTCATAGAGACAATAGTGGAAAAATGTGCAAACTGAGAAACTAAATAGTCAAAATGATACTAGTTTTATCAGAAATGTTTTATTTGAAATACTTACACAACAGTACTGCAGAACAAAATGTATTTTTTTCCCTGGCACTTCACATTTCTAGAGTCCCTCTCAATCCATACTACCATTTAATGGTGATTTTGGTGGAAGTGAAATTCTATTTTAGGGAAGTTTGAAGAGCAGAATGTAGTCTAGGGAACATTCCACCCTAGAATATTTATTGGAACAAAAGTGATGATAGTATAACTATCTACTAGAATGACTTTCACTAATGTGTCAAGAAGTTTTTTAGCAGTTTTTGGTGGGGCACCCATTCTAGTCCATTGTTTACCTGTTGAAAAGAGTACCTCGAGATTCCTAATTTCCATAAACAGTCTGAGGCCTCTGAATTTCAGAACGTTAGGGTGACAACTTAGTTTGCAGTCAACTAGGTATGTCTTTATTTCTTTTAATAGTTGAAAGATTTCAGAAAATAGAGATTAAAAATATACTTTCTAGGTTTTATTCTGATGATAAGCCTTTATTTGTGTATACCTATGGAATACCACAGCGGGTATGACTAATACTCTTTACCAATTCTATTCCTAGGGTTTAGAGCTTGTCAGGAAGCCAGAGTTAAGGTCAGGGACCAGGATTTGGAGAAAGAGATGAAAATAACTTGATTAATTAGAGTACAGGGAAAAGGGAAAAGGGAACATTTAAGAGAACATTGAGACATTGAGATAGTTGAGAGAAAATTGAAGTATTTCTGATAAATATGACTAAGTTTCCAGGGAATATTTTGGATTTTGAAACTCCTTTTGTTTTTGGATTATGTTATATATCTTGAGAGTAGTTTCAAAAGCTTCTCCAAATTGCCAGGTTTTCTTTTTTATTTTATTTTATATATATATATATATATATTTATTATACTTTAAGTTCTAGGGTACATGTGCACAACGTGCAGGTTTGTCACATATGTATACATGTGCCATGTTGGTGTGCTGCACCCATTAACTCATCATTTACATTAGGTATATCTCCTAATGCTATCCCTCCCCCCTCCCCCCACCCCACAATAGGCCCTGGTGTGTGATGTTCCCCTTCCTGTGTCCTAGTTTTCTCGTTGTTCAATTCCCACCTATGAGTGAGAACATGCGGTGTTTGGTTTTTTGTCCTTGCGATAGTTTGCTGAGAATGATGGTTTCCAGCTTCATTCATGTCCCTACAAAGGACATGAACTCATCATTTTTTATGGCTGCATAGTATTCCATGGTGTATATGTGCCACATATTCTTGATCCAGACTATCATTGTTGGACATTTGGGTTGGTTCCAAGTCTTTGCTATTGTGAATAGTGCTGCAATAAACATACGTGTGCATGTGTCTTTATAGCAGCATGATTTATATTCCTTTGGGTATATACCCAGTAATGGGATGGCTGGGTCAAATGGTATTTCTAGTTCTTTTACACTGTTGTGGGACTGTGAACTAGTTCAACCATTGTGGAAGACAGTGTGATGATTCCAAATTGCCAGGTTTTCAAGTCATATAATGCTGATTAAACATTTCTTCTTTATGTTCTTATACATTTTTACATATTCTTTAGTAAAAAAAAACCCTTGGTCGGGTGTGGTGCATGCCTGTAATCCCAGTACTTTGGGAAGCTGAGGTGGGTGGATCACCTGAGGTCAGGAGTTCCAGACCAGCCTGGCCAACATTGTGAAACCTTGTCTCTACTAAAAACACAAAAATTAGCCAGGCGTGGTGGTGGACACCTGTAGTCCCAGCTACTCAGGAGACTGAGGCAGGAGAACTGCTTGAACAAGGAAGGTGGAGGGTGCAGTGAGCCGAGATCGCACCACTGGCCTCCAGCCTAGGCAACAGAGGAAGACTCCATCTCAAAAACAAAGAAACAAACAAACAAACAATCATAGTATTCATATTTTCTTCAGTGACTTTATAATTTGTAAATCCGTAATTATGGCATAGTGAATTCATTGCCATGATTGTAGAAAGCATATGGTTCTATATATACACAGTTTAATAATGGAGACAGACATGGAAACACAACTGTAAGTTGTTATACTATAAGAGCATCCAAGTGGGTGTTTTAAAATGTAGGTTTTATTACTACTCAGGTATATTGAAGCCAACAGATCAGTAGATGGTTGCTATTGAAAAGACAGGCTGTTACTCAGTTTCCAATGGTAGGGGGCACTCTCCATCATTCAGGGCCCACAAAGGGAAGGAGGGAAGATGTCATTGAAATATTTTAAATAGGGGAGTGACATATTTCTATTTTACCTTAGAATAATCATTTTGGTAATAGTGTAGGGACCAGATTGCTGGTGGGAAAATTGGGGAAGGAGGAATCAAATTTTAAGAGACTGTTCTAGTAATCAGGGTGAAAACTTAGAAATTAGTGGCATCAAGAATAAAAATAAAGGAACAACTTTAAAAGTTACTGATTGGGTTGAATTAGAAGAACTTGATTTGATTGATTTATTCGTTTACTTAACAAATTCATTGAGCATCATCTAGATAACAGTTGCTGTTCTAGCCATTGGGGATATAGCAGTGAATAAAACAGAACAATTTCCGCTCTCATGGAGCATGTAGTGTAATAAATGTAGGATGTGTTAGATAATAATACCATTCACTAAAGTAGTGAAAATATAAGTAGGAAGAGATTTTTGAAGGAAGACGATGAGTTTAGTTTTGAATATATTTATTTTAGTTTTGGATATGAGTTTACTCTGGGATAATTTGAGGATCCTGTGGAACATCCAAGGTGATGTACTATAGAGAGTTTGTCTATGGATATATACAGTTTGACATAGTTGCAATCCAGTTTTTCAGATTTCAAGAGCGATGTATATGTATGTATACATACACACACACTCATTTGTGTGTGTGCATTTATGTACAGTTTTATGCAATGGTATTACATAGGTAGCCTTCCATAACCATTGCCACAATTGAGACACTCAACAGTACCATCACCACAGCACTCTCCTGTGTGATCCCATTAGAGCCACACTGATCCCCTGCCCGCTTCTGAGCCTTTGGTGTCCACTAAGCCATTCTCCTTCTTTGTGATTTCACACACATTGCATAAAGTTATCAAGCAGTCTGTATCCTTTTGAGATTATGTTTTCATGCTGAGCATAATTTTCTTGAGATTTATCCAGGCAGTTCCATATATCAACATTTGTTTCTTTTTATTGCTGAGTTTATGGTAGGAATGTACTACAGTTTATTTAACCATTTAACCACTGAAGGATATATGAGTTATTTCTAGTTTTTAGCTATTATGAGTAAAGATGTTATGGACATTCATGTACAAGTATTTGCGTGAGGATCAGTTTTTTGAGATAAATGCTCAGAAGTGAGATTGCTGGGCCATATAGTAAATCCATTCTTTGTTTTGATTTCAAAGAAGTTGAAGTTACCAAATTATTTTCCAGAGTGGCTGTACCATTTTACATTCCCATCAGCAATGCATGAGGGATCCAGTTTATATTCAGTTTTTACTTATTAATGTTTTATTTTGAACTGTTGAAACCCAAAGCAGCCTTACACCTCTGACAGTAGATGGAAAAGAATCTTAAAAATACTACATAATAATTTGTACTTAAATATAAAATTAATTCTGTTTTTCAGTATGATTACTGGGGCTCTGATAGCATGATAGTAACAAATAAAGTCATCGAAATTGTTGGCCTTGCAAATTCAGTAAGTGTTTTCCTTTTCATATTAAAATAATTGTTGTTTTGAAATGATAATTTGCCTAAACTTGATGCGGTATTCCTGGATAATTAACCCACCCATATAAACTGAGTGTGGGATTGTAAAAACTTTGAATTTCTGGGTTTTTATAAGATAACATAAATATTAATTATGCATGTATTTATCTCTTCTGTTTTTAGATGTTCACCCAATTTAAAGTTACTATTGTGCTGTCATCATTGGAGTTATGGTCAGATGAAAATAAGATTTCTACAGTTGGTGAGGCAGATGAATTATTGCAAAAATTTTTAGAATGGAAACAATCTTATCTTAACCTAAGGCCTCATGATATTGCATATCTACTAATGTAAGAATAATGTTTCATTATTCCTAGAAAGAAAACAAAGACCTGTGATAATTATGTGGCTTAATGTAAGGAATTATTATTCATTTCTGAATATCCATGCTTTGATTATTTAGTATGTGCTTTATTCAGGCTTTATGCTCAATTTCTAGTTGTCAGGCAATAAAAAACTTTACTAACATTTATTTCTATGCTAATAAAGCTTTTATAAATGAAGACATTGAGAGTTTCAAGAGGTTAAGCCATCTCAGGACTCTTGGATCTGGTGGTACTACTAGGTTTGAACCCACAGTTCGTAACTCTAGAGCCAAAACTCTTAACCACTACTTAAAGAGATGGGATTTATCTTGAGAGGTTTACATTCTTAAATAAGCTTTGACCAAAGACTTGGTAAATGTGGCTACAAAGACTTTACCCTAATGAATTTTCTGAGTAATTTTAAAATGTTAGTTTTCTAATTATAAATTATAGCTATATATTTATAATTGTATTCATATTAAATTTATTAGCAATAATTAGCAAGTGTCTTTCAATGAAACTATACATGTCTATATATGTATTTAAGTTTGGTATGTCAGTGTTTTCTTTTGCTTGTGTGAGACTAATCTTTCCCTCACATCTCTGCCAGCCATAAATGTTACTGCTCTTTTAATTTTTGGTAGTCTGATGGATATAACTTAATGTCATTGTCATTTTAATTTGCTTTTTTTCTGATGACTGGTGGATTTGAGCATCTTTTCAAATGCTTGTTGATCATTTGTATCTGTCCTTCTGTAATTGCCTTTTCTTGTCATTTGACTACTTCCCTATAATTTGTAAGGGTTTTTAAAAAATAATTTCATTATCTTTAATATTTATATTTTTTCCCCATAAGTTATTGGGGTACAGGTGATATTTGGTTACATGAGTAAGTTCTTTAGTGGTGATTTATGAGATTTTGGTGCACCCATCACCTGAGCAGTATACACTGCACCATATTTGTAGTCTTTTATCCCTCGCCCCACCTCCCACTCTTCCCCCCAGTCCCCACAGTCCATTGTATCATTCTTATGCCTTTGCCTCATAGCTTAGCTCCCACATATTGGTCAGAACATACGATGTTTGGTTTTCCATTCTTGAGTTACTTCACTTAGAATAATAGTCTCCAATCTCATCCAGGTCGCTGCAAATGCAGTCAATTCATTCCTTTTTATGGCTGAGTAGTATTCCATCACATTGCCACAGTTTTTTTATCCACTGGTTGATTGATGGGCATTTGGGTTGGTTCCATGATTTTGCAATTGTGAATTGTGCTGCTATAAACATGCGTGTCTAAGTATCTTTTTCAATTAATGACTTCTTTTCCTCTGGGTAGATACCCAGTAGTGGGATTGCTGGATCAAATGGTAGTTCTGCTTTTAGATCTTTAAGGAATCTTCACACTGTTTTCCATAGTGGCTGTACTAGTTTACATTCCCACCAGCAGTGTAGAAATGTTCCATGATCACTGCATCCACACCAACATCTACTGTTTTTTGATTTTTTGATTATGGCCTTTATTGGAGGAGTAAGGTGGTTTTACATTGTGGTTTTGATTTGCATTTCCCTGCTCATTAGTGTTGAGCATTTTTTTCATATGTTTGTTGGCCATTTGTATATCTTCTTTTGAGAATTGTCTATTCATGTCCTTAGCCCACTTTTTGATGGGATTGTTTGTTTTTTTCTTACTGATTTGTTTGAGTTCATTGTAGGTTCTGGATATTAGTCCTTTGTCAGATGTATAGATTGTGAAGATTTTCTCTCACTCTGTGGGTTGTCTGTTTACTGTGCTGACTGTTCCTTTTGCTGTGTGAAAAGCTCTTTAGTTTAACTAAGTCCCAACTATTTATCTTTGTTTTTATTGCATTTGCTTTTGAGGTCTTTGTCGTGAAATTCTTGCCTAAGCCAATGTCTGGAAGGGGTTTTTCAATGTTATCTTCTAGAATTTTTATAGTTTCAGATCTTAGTTTAAGTCCTTAGGTTAAATCCATCTTGAGTTGATTTTTGTATAAGGTGAGAGATGAGGATCCAGTTTCATCTCCTACATGTGGCTTGGGAATTATCCCAGCACCATTTGTTGAATAGGGTGTCCTCTCCCCACTTTATGTTTTTGTTTGCTTTGCTGAAGATCAGTTGGCTGTAAGTATTTGGGTTTATTTCTGGGTTCTCTATTCTGTTCCATTGATCTACATGCCTATTTTTATACCAGTATCATGCTGTTTTGGTGACTATGGCCTTACAGTATAGTTTCAAATCAGTTAGTGTGATGGCTCCAGATTTGTTCTTTTTGCTTAGTCTTGCTTTGGCTATGAGGGCTGTTTTTAGGTTCCATATGAATTTTAGAATTTTTTTTCTAATTCTGTGAAGAATGATGGTGGTATTTTGATGGGGATTGAATTGAATTTTTAGACTGCTTTTGGCAATATCATTTTCACAATATTGATTCGATCCATCCATGAGCATGGGATGTGTTTCAATTTGTTTGTGTCATCTATGATTTCTTTCAGCATTGTTTTGTAGTTTTCCTTGTAGAGGTCTTTCTACTCCTTGGTTAAGTATATTCCTAAGTATTTTATTTTTTTGCAGCTATTGTGAAAGGGGTTGAGTTCTTGATTTGATTCTCTGCTTGATCACTGTTGGTGTTATAGAAGAACTACTGATTTGTGTACATTAATCTTGTATCCGGAAACTTTGCTGAATTCTTTTATTAGATCTAGGAGCTTTCTGGAGGAGTCTTTAGCATTTTCAAGGTAAATGATCGTATCATCACCAAACGTGACAGTTTGACTTCCTCTTTACCGATTTGGATGCCTGTAAGGGCTTTTTGAATGCTTAGATACTAACATTGTTTATCTTTATGACAAATACTTTTTCCATATCTATAATTTTTCTATAAACTTTTTTTTCTCTGCTACATTGCAGCAGACCTTGCTGGACTGAACAAAGGAGGACGAATGCAGGAATAAAGACAAAGAGAAAAGAATATATTTGCAAGAAGGGGTCAGGGGGCTCCTTGCTTTTAGTGAACAGGGGCCCTGAACTTCTAGAGCCCTTCATATTTATTGAGTAAAGGAGATAGGGAGAAGGGGGTGGTTGTGGTCAGCTGCTTGACTTAGTGCAGGCCTGCATGACTGCATTCTTTGAACAGTAGGCTCCAGATGTTCCAGTAGATACCCTCAAGGAGCACGGCACCAGGGAGTGACTGCCCTCAGCATACCTTCTGGTGGCAGGCACAGATGTGAATTTGCCCACATTATGCATTCATGATAAACAGTTTGCTGTTTAATCATATAGCCTCCAGGGGAATGCTGAGTTGGTCATGACCCTCAGGCTTTCGGCTCCCAACACTACATGAAAACTTTTACATTTCATATGGCCAAATTTGTTAATATTTTCTTCTTACTTTTTGGTTTCCTGTATAGTGTAGAAGGTCTCTTCCACCCCCAACTTTTAGTCTGCTAGAGTTTTCTTTAGGATTAATATTATTACCTTTTATAGAGTATGGAATTCATAGTTAGAACTGGAGCTGAACCTTTGAAGGAGGGAAAGGAAACAAACACTGACAAAGCAAGGTGGTAGATCTTGACAACTGATTTGATGTGGAGTGGGCACGTCAAAAGGTGTCAGTATGAGGTAAAAAATATATTACTGAGCTTGTCAGGAGTATGTGTAGAATTTTAGGGGAAGTCTAAGTTGTAAAAAAAGGGCTTATTAAAGTATCTGTGGGAGGGAGAAACAGAGTAAACAATACTTAGATGTTGGAACATAAAACCAATGTTTGGCATTAGGAACAAATACTTGGAAACAAATGCTGGAAGGGTTAGGTATAAACAATATCAGAGAGACAGAATAAAAGTAGTGGAGAGGCAGTGCGATTGTGAAGTGAAGTGCACTTGAGACAGAAGGGGCATTTCAAATTGAGAATTGAATTCCAAGCTTCTTAAGATTCTTTACTCACATCCTGGCTTATTCGTTTTGGTGGGGGCTCTAAATAAGGCAGTAAATGCTTGGAGCATCTATACCTTAGTAGTTGAGAATATGGCTCGGATTCAGACTGTGTAAGTTCAGATCCTTCAGTAGGACGTATTAATCATGCTACCTTGAGAGAGTTACTTATACTTCGCATCTGATACTTGATTTGCTCAATGGGGACAAAAATAATATCTACTTCACTAGTTTGTTTTGAGTGTTAAATGGATTAGTTAATGTAAAGTTCTGAGAATAGTGCTATTATTATATGACAGTTTAAATGGCTCCTTACTCAAGGCTGAAATAATAATGTTTGGGTGTGAAACAATAAAGCACTCCTATTGGAAACTGTTGAACTTTACTACCTGGGAGCAACATATTTTAATCTATACATTGAAACGATTTGTCACTGTCACTCAACAAAGTATTTTTTATCAGAATATTGGAGCAAAGCCTTTGGCAAACATAGCCAGATGTGATGAGAACACTAAAGGCATTAAAAACTTTGATCTATTAGATATGTTTCAGATATCAAGAGTGTTTAATCTAATTAATACTAATATGTCATATTAAATAATATTCCAAATTTGAAACAATTGAGGACATATGGAAAGATCATACCTCAATTTGCTTCAGATTTGGATTTTATGAACTGCAGACTTAAATTATTAGCAGGAATTCTCATTTTTAAATTGTCTGTTAAAATCAATTATAAATGTAAATTTATTTATTTAGTTATATGGATTATCCTCGTTATTTGGGAGCAGTGTTTCCTGGAACAATGTGTATTACTCGTTATTCTGCAGGAGTTGCATTGGTATGTAACTATTTAATCTTATTTTTTAAATTAACACGTTTAAAAATTATTTGACATGATAGTATATATTTTGTACAATTTATGTGCATGTTTCCATTTACAGATTGCATTTTTTTCCATTACTGTTAAAATTTTTAAGTGTGTAGAAGGAAGAATATTTTGTAGATCAATATCTTGTTGCAATTAATTATGTTTCAGAGTTGGAATAAAAATATCATAAATACGCATGCTGTTCTTGATATACAGAATAATGCATTGTGAAAAATTATCTGCAGTAAAATTTCTATAACCCAAAATAGATTTTTGCTTACAGACATAAAATTGGAGAAATATTCTTATAGATAAAATAGATTCAAAATCAAAACAAAAACCAGATTAAGGATTCCTTAAGATGTTTCAGAACTCTGAAAGACAGTAAAATAAACTTTTATGTGTATTTTAAGCATTTATAATACGGATAAATGTGATTTTATATATATAATGGGTAAAAATAAATGCATTATTGAAAAGTTGATGCATCTCTTTGTGCCATTTTCTCACCCTACTCATTTTTAAAAAAACAAGTTTAAGTACTATTTTTTTAACTTACAAAGTAATTTATGTTAATGATGTCAAATTTGTTGAGTATATATATATAGGAACATATAAGAAAATTCATATAATTTTGCATTTTGCCACCAGGTGGAGATAACCACTATTAACATTTTGATTGATATATATATCTTATTGTTTTCTTAAAAGAGTTTTAAATAAAAAAATTTTTAGAACATGTTTTTAGAAACTGTTATTCATTTTTTTATTGACACATAATAGTTGTATGTAAAGGCAGTGAGCAGAATGGTGATTACCAGAGGTTGGGAAGGGTAGGGGGAAGAGGAGATGAAGAGAAGTTGAGTAATGGGTACAAAATTACAGTCAGGTAGAAGGAATAAGTTCTAGTATATATATATATATTTTGACAGAGTCTTGCTTTTATGCCAGGCTGGAGTGCAGCAGCCTGATCTTGGCTCACTGCAACCTCCGCCTCCAAGGTTCAAGCGATTCTCATGTCTCAGTCTCCCTAGTAGCTGAGATTACAGAGGTGACCCACAACAACCAGCTAACTTTTTTGTATTTTTAGTAAAGAAGGGTTTTGAACATGTTGGCCATGACAGTCTCAAACTCCTGGCCTAAAGTGATCTGCCTGCCTCGGTGCTGCCTGCCTCCCAAGGTGCTGGGATTACAGGCATGAGCCACCATGCCTGGCCAGTTCTAGTATTCGATAGCACAATAGGGTGACTATAATTAACAATAATTTATAGTATATTTCAAAATAGCTAGAGGACAAGATTTGGATTGTTCTCAGAACAAATAAATGGTATATGTTTGAGGTTATGGATAGCCCAGTTACCCTGATTTGATCATTACATATCACCTGCATGTATATCTTCTACTTCGTGTGTTTCTCTGTTTATCTGTTACTGTAGCTCTCTCTATATATATTTTTTTGCAAAATGTGATTTTGCAGCACCTATTTTTATTTCTAATACTTAAACATTTTTTATTACTGAAATAATGAATGCACATGGTAAATTGTTTAAACTATAGATATACAAAGCAAAAAATGATAGTAAAACTGTCTACCTCTTCATTTAGTCCTATTTAAGAATTTAATAATTTCCATTTAAGTTCTTCTGTTGGTTAAATTTATTTATTTAAAAATATATATGCCCTTACCTCTATTTTAATTTATAAACTGTAGACAATATTGGTAATATTACATTTGATATGTTGAGTCCACTCTCTCTACTTGTTGCTTATGTTTAAATATATATATTTAAATATTGGTTCTTATTTTTAATTTTATGTAATATCTATATATATGTTAAACAATGTCCACTGTTTGCTTGCTGTGAACAGTAAGAGGTGTAATGTAGTTGTATATTTCTTATACCCATTGTCAATATTTAGATAATTTATAACTAATTCTGTAGGGCTTTTGCACTTTGTCTAGAGATTGATGTAAGAATTAAATAAATAAACAGCATTTTATAGTATTATAAATATATAAATAATATTAACTATTGAATAAAGAAATAAATATTTCTTATGACAGTAAAGCTTTGATGGTCAAAGGAGGACATTTTAGGCATCAGAATCTAATGGAGCACTGAATTTTTTTCTAACTTCTTTTACTTGTTATGGGTGAAACCAACTGCCACAGAAAATGAAATCCCATCTTCCTTTTCTTGGAATCTTTTACTACTTTTCTGGAATAACTCTTGATTTTTTTTTTAACACAGTGTATATGAATTGCAAACATTGAGCTATTTTATCAATGAAAGCACTTTTTTTCTTCAGCGTTTAAGTTCTTGGGTACATATGCAGGATGTGTAGGTTTGTTACATAGGTAAATGTGTGCCATGGTGGTTTTCTGCACCTATCAACCTATCACTTAAGTATTAAGCCCCACATACATTAGCTGTTTATCCTGGTGCTCTCCCTTCCCTGGCCCCCTGACAGGCCCCAGCGTGTGTTGTTCCCCTCCCTGTGTCTATGTGTTCTTATTGTTCAGCTCCCACTTATAAGTGAGAACATGCAGTGTTTAGTTTTCTGTTCCTGTGTTAGTTTGCTGAGGATAATGGCTTCCAGTTCCATCCTTGTCCCTGCAAAGTCTTTCCTTTTTTCGACTGCATACATAGTATTCCATGGTGTACATGTATCACATTTATATATGTATCACATTTGCTTCATCCAGTCTATCATTGATGGACATTTGGGTTGATTCCATGTCTTTGCTATTGTGACTAGTGCTGCAATGAACATACAGGTGCATGTGTCTTTATAATAGAATGATTTATATTCCTTTGGGTATATACCCAGTAATGGGATTGCTGGGCTAAATGGTGTTTCTGCCTCTAGGTCTTTGAGGAATTGCCACAGTGTCTTCCACAATGGCTGAACTAATTTACATTCCCACCAACAGTCTAAACATGTTCCAGGCCGGCCGCAGTGGCTCACGCCTATAATCCCAGCATTCTGGGAGGCTGAGGCGGGTGGATCACGAGGTCAGGAGTTTGAGACCAGCCTGACCAACATGGTGAAACCTTGTCGCTACTAACAATACAAAAATTAGCCAGGCATGGTGGCAGGCACCTGTAATCCCAGCTACTCAGGAGGCTGAGGCAGGAGAATCACTTGAACCTGGGAGGCAGAGGTTGCAGTAAGCCGAGATCGTGCCACTGCACTCCAGCCTGGGCAACAAGAGGGAGACTCTGTCTCAAAAACAAACAAGCAAACAAACAAACCAAACAAAACAAACATATTCCTATTTCTCCATAGCTTTGCCAGCATCTGTTGTTTCTTGACTTTTTAATAATCGCCATTCTGACTGGAGTGAGGTGGTATCTCATTGTGATTTTAATTTGCATTTCTTTAATGATCAGTGCTGTTGAGTTTTTTTTTTTCATGTTTTTTGCCCACATGAATGTCTTCTTTTGAGAAGTGTCTGTTCATGTCCTTTGTCCACTTTTTAATTTTTTTTCTTGTAAATATGTTTAAGTTCCTTGTAGACTCTGTAGATTAGACCTTTATGAGATGGATAGATTGCAAAAATTTTCTCCCCCTCTGTAAGTTGTCTATTCACTCAGATGATAGTTTCTTTTGCTCTGCAGAAGCTCTTCAGTTTAATTAGATCCCATTTGTCAGTTTTTGCTTTTATTATGATTGCTTTTTTCATTTTTGTCATGAAATCTTTTCCCATGCCTCTGTCCTGAATGACGTTGCCTAGATTTTCTTCAAAGGTTTTGATAGTTTTGGGTTTTACATTTCAGTTTTTAATCCATATTGGGTTAATTTTTTTTTTTGAGACAGGGTCTCACTCTGTAGCCCAGGCTGGAGTGCAGTGGCACAATCTAGGCTCACTGCAACCTCTGCCTCCAAGGTTCAAGCGATTCTCTTGCTTCAGACTTGCCAGTAGCTGGGATTACAGACGTGCACTGCCACACTTGGCTAATTTTTGTATTTTTAGTAGATACAAGGTTTCACTGTGTTGGTCAGGCTGGTCTCCAACTCCTGTCCTCATGTGATGCACCTGCCCTGGCCTCCCAAAGTGTTGGGGTTACAGGCGTGAGCCACCATGCCCAATCAACTTAATTTTTGTATAAGGTGTAAGGAAGGAGTCCAGTTTCAATTTTCTGCATATGGCTAGCCAGTTCTCCCAGGTCCATTTATTAAATAGGGAATCCTTTCCCCATTGCTTGTTTGTGTCAGATTTGTTGAAGATCAGATGGTTGTAGGTGTGTGGTCTTATTTCTGAGTTCTCTATTCTGTTCTATTGGTCTATGTGTCTGTTCTTGTACCAGTACGATGCTGTTTTGGTTACTGTAGCCTTGTAGTATAGTTTGAAGTTGGGTAGCATGATGCTTCCAGCTTTGTTCTTTTCTCTTAGGATGGTTGTGGCTATTTGAACTCTTTTTTGGTTCCATATGATTTTTTTTTTGCCTCAGTTTCCTTATTTATTTATTTATTTGTTTATTTTTTATTATTATACTTTAAGTTTTAGGGTACATGTGCACAATGTGCAGGTTAGTTACATATGTATACATGTGCCTTGCTGGTGCGCTGCACCCACCAACTCATCATCTAGCATTAGGTATATCTCCCAGTGCTATCCCTCCCCCCTCCCCCGACCCCACAACAGTACCCAGAGTGTGATAGTTTTTTTTTCTAATTCTGTGAAGAATGTCAATGGTAGTTTAATGGAAATAGCATTGAATCAATCTATAAATTGCTTTGGGCAGTATGGCCATTTTCATGATATTGATTCTTTCTATTTATGAACATGGAATATTTTTCAATTGTTTGTGTCCTCCCTAATTTTCTTGAGCACTGATTTGTAGTACTCCTTGAAGAGGTCCTTCACTTCCCTTGTTAGCTGTATTCCTAGGTATTTTATTCTCTTTGTAGCAACTGTGAGTGGGAGTTCATTCATGATTTCACTCTCTGCTTTTCTGTTGTTGGTGTAGGAGTGCTAGTTATTTTTGCATATTGATTTTGTATCCTGAGACATTGCTGAAGTTGCATATTAGCTTAAGGAGCTTTTGGGCTGAGAGGATGAAGTTTTCTAGGTATAGGATCATGTCATCTGCAAACAAAGACAATTTGACTTCCTCTCTTTCTATTTGAATTCCCTTTATTTTTTTATTTTGCCTTATTGTCCTGGCCAGAACTTGCAATACTATGTTGAATAGGAATGGTGAGAGAGGGAATGCTTGTCTTGTGCCAGTTTATAAGGGGAATGCTTCCAGCTTTTGCCCATTCAGTATGACATTGGCTTTGGGTTTTCCATAGATGGTTCTTATTATTTTGAGGTATGTTCATTCTTTCTACCTAGTTTACTGAGAGATTTTAACATGAAAATTTTTTCAAAGGATTTTTCTGCATCTATTGAGATAATCATGTGGTTTTTGTCTTTAGTTCTGTTTATGTGATGAATCACATTTATTGATTTGTGTGTGTTGAACCAACCTTGCATCCTGGGGACGAAGCCAACTTGATCATAGTGGATAAGCTTTTTGATGTACAGCTGGATTCAGTTTGCCAGTATTTTATTGAGGATTTTTGCATCGATGTTCATCAGAGATATTGGCCTGAAGTTTTCTTTTTTTGTTGTATCTCTGCTGGGTTTTGGTATCAGGATGACGCTGGGTTCATAAAATGAATTGGGGAGGAGTCCCTTCTTTTCAATTGTTTGGAATAGTTTCATTAAAAATGGTACCAGCTCTTCTTTCTACCTCTGGTAGAATGTTAGCTGTAAATTTTTCTGGTCCTGGGCTCTTTTTGGTTGATAGGCTATTCATTAGTTCTGCCTCCATTTCAGAACTCATTTATTTGTTTATTCAGGGATTCAATTTCTTCCTGGTTCAGTCTTGGAAGGGTGTTATGTGTCCAGGAATTTATCCATTTCTTCTAGATTTTCTAGTTTACGTGCATAGAGGTGTTTACAGTATTCTCTGATGGTTGTTTGTATTTCTGTGGGTTCAGTGGTGATATCCCCCTTATCATTTCTGATTGTATCTATTTGATTCTTCTCTCTTTTCTTCTTTACTAGTCTAGCTAGTGGTTTATCTATTATATTAATTTTTTCAAAAAAGCAGCTCCTGGATTCATTGATTTTTTGAAGGTTTTTTTGTGTGTCTCTATCTCCTTCAGTTCTGCTCTGATCTTGGTTATTTCTTGTCTTCTGCTAGCTTTGGGGTTCGGTTACTCTTGGTTCTCTTGTTCTTTTAGTTGGCATGTTAGGTTTTTGATTTGAGATATTTCTAGCTTTTTGATGTGGCCATTTAATCCTATGAATTTCTCTCTTAACATGGCTTTACCTGCATCCCATAGATTCCGGTACGTTGTCTCTTTGTTCTCATTAGTTTCAAAGAACTTCTTGATATCTGGCTTAATTTCATTATTTACCCAGGAGTCCTTTGGGAGCAGGTTGTTCAATGCTTATGTAGTTGTGCAGTTTTAAGTGAGTTTCTGAATTTTGAGTTCTAATTTGATTGTGCTGTGGTTTGAGAGACTGTTTGTTATGATTACAGTTCTTTTGCATTTGCTGAGGAGTGTTTTACTTTTGATTATGTGATTGATTTTAGAGTAAGTACTGTGTGGCGATGAGAAGAATGTATATTCTCTTGATTTTGGGTGGAGATTTCTGTAGATATCTATCAGGTCCACTTGATCCAGAGCTGAGTTCAAGTCCTGTATATCTTTGTTAATTTTCTGTCTCAATGATTTGTCTAATATTGTCAGTGGGGTGTTAAAGTCTCCCACTATTATTGTGTGGGAGTCTAAGTCTCTTTGTAGGTCTCTAAGAACCTGCTTTATGAATCTGGGTACTCCTGTATCGGGTGCTTATGTATTTAGGATAGTTAGCTCTTCTTATTGAATTGAACCCTTTACCATTATGTAATGCCCTTCTTTGTCTTTTTTGATCTTTGTTGGTTTAAAGTCTGTTTTGTAAGAAACTAGGATTGCAACTCCAACTTTTTTCTGTTTTTCATTTGCTTGGTAAATTTTTCTTCATCTCCTCCTTTTTTTTTTTTTTGGAGACAGGAGTCTCACTCTGTTGCCCAGGCTGGAGTGCCATGGCATGATTTCGGCTCACTGCAACCTCTGCCTCCCAGGTTCAAGAGATTCTCTTGCCTCAGCCTCCCAAGTAGCTGGGATTACAGGCACACATCACCATGCTTGGCTAATTTTTTGTGTTTTCAGTAGAGACAGGATTTCACTATGTTGGCCAGGCTGGTCTTGAACTCTTGACCTCAAGTGACCTGCCCACCTTGGTCTCCCAAAGTGCTTGAGTGATTACAGGCTTGAGTGATTGCTCCCAGCCATCCCTTTATTTTGAGCCTATGTGTCTTTGCATGGGAGATGGGTATCTTGAAGGCAGTATACCAGTGGGTTTTGACTCTTTATTCATCTTGTCATTTGTGTCTTTTAATTTGGGCATTTAGCCTATTTACATTTAGCCGATTTACATTTAAAATTAATGTTGTTCTGTGTGAATTTGATCCTGTCATCATGATTCTAGCTGGTTATTTTGCAGACTTTTTTATGTGGTTGCTTCATAGTGTTACTGATCTGTGTACTTCAATGTGTTTTGGTAGTGGCTGATAATTGTTTTTCATTTCCATATTTAATGCTTCCTTCAGGAGCTCTTGTAAGGCAGGCCTGGTGGTGATGTATTCCCTCAGCATTTGCTTGTCTGAAAAGGATCTTATTTCTCTTTTGTTTATGAAGCTTAGTTTGGCTAAATATGAAATTCTGGGTTGAAAATTCTTTTCTATAAGAATGTTGAATATTGGCCCCCAATCTCTTCTGGCTTGCAAGGTTCCACTGAAAAGTCTGCTGTTATTCTGATGGGCTTCCTTTTGTAGGTGACCTGGCCTTTCCATCTGACTGCCTTAACATTTTTTTTTTTTTACTTTCAGTTTGACCTTGGAGAATCTGATGATTGGGTGTCTTGGGGCTGAACTTCTCATGGAGTATCTTACTGGGGTTCTCTGGGTTTCCTGAATTTGAATGTTGGTCTGTCTTGCTAGGTTGAGGAAGTTCTGGATGACATCCTGAAGTATGTTTTCCAACTTGGTTCTGTTCTCCCCATCTCTTTCAGGTATCTTAATCAGTTGTAAGTTCAGTCTTTTAATATAATCCCGTATTTCTCAGAGGTTTTGTTAATTCCTTTTCCTTCTTTTTTCTCTGTTCTTGCCTGAATGTCTTATTTCAGAAAGACAGTCTTCAAGCTCTGATATTTTTTCCTCCTCTTGGTCTGTTCTGCTATTGATACTTGTGATTGCATTGTGAATTTCTTGTGTTGTGTTTTTCACCTCCATCAGGTCAGTTATGATCCTTTATAAACTGGCTATTCTGGTTAACTGCTCCTGTATTGTTTTATTATGATTGTTAGCTTCTTTGCATTGGGTTAGAACATTCTCCTTTAGCTCAACAAAGTTTTTTATTACCCACCTTCTGAAGACTACTTCTGTCATTTCAGCCATCTCTGCCTCAGCCCAGTTCTGTGCCCTTGCTGGGAGATATTGGGGTCATTTGGAGGAGCAGAGACATTCTGGCTTTTTAAGTTTTCAGTGTTTTTGCATTGATTTTTCTCATCTTTGTGGGCTATCTACCTTTGATCTTTGAGGTTGCTGACCTTTGAATGGGGTTTTTGTGGGGCCTTTTTTGTTGATGTTATTTTGATGTTATTGTTGTGGCTTTCTGTTTGTTTTTCCTTTTAACAGTCAGGCCACTCTTTCATAGGGCTGCTGCAGTTTGCTGGGGGTTCACTCCAGACCCTAGTTGCCTCAGTCTCTCCCACACCTGGAGGTATCACCAGTGAAGGCTAGGAAACAGCAAAGATGGCAACCTGCTTCTTCCTCTGTGAGCTCCATCCCAGGAGGGCACTGACCTTATACTAGCCCATATACTCCTGTAGGTGATATCTGTAGGAGGTCTCACCCAGTCAGGAGGAATGGGATCATCAGGGACCCGCTTAAAGAAGCAGTCTGGCTGTCCCTTCACAGAGCAGATGTGCTGTGTTTGGGGGAGCCCTCCTCATCGAGACCACCCAGACTCTCTAGAGCCAGCAGGCTGGAAAGGCATAGTCGGCTGAACCACAGAGACTATGGCCATCCCTTCCCCCTGGAAGCTTCATCCCAGAGAGAGATCAGAGTTCTGGTCTGGACTACCTGGAGTCTCCAGAGACAGCAGGCTAGAATGGCCAACTTGAAGCACAGAGATGTGGCCGCTCCTTCCCCAAGGAACTTAGTCCGTCTCAGTCAGTCTCCAGCCTGCTGCTACTGGCTGGCTCGAATTCCAAGCCAGTGGGTCTTAACTTGAGAGGTGCTGTGGAAGTCGGGCCTGCAGAACAACACTGCTTGGCTCCCTGGATTCAGCCCCCTTCCTACAGGAATGCATGAATGGATCTCCCGCCTGGCAGGAATTCCTGGGGCTAGGGTATTCAAAACTCCTGGGTGTCCATAGTATGCCCAAATGGCTGCTTCCCTGAGGCTCCACACTCTCTGTGCTTTGGACCCAAGGCCCTGGTGACATGGGCTCATGAGGGGATCTCCTGATCCATGGGCTGCAAAGAGCCATGAGAAAAGCACGGTTTTCAAGGTAGGGCTGCACAATCACTCATCACTTCCCTTAGCTGGGGATGTGGGCTTCCCTGGCTCCATGCCACTCCTGGGTGGGCCATCACCCCACCTTGCTTTTCCTTGCTCTCCGTGGGTCAAGCCGTCTGCCTAGTCAGTCCCAGTGTAAGAACCTGGATACCTCAGTTGAAAGTGTAGAATTTGCTTGCCGTTTTCATTCCTTTCCATGAGAGCTGGGGACTGTAGCTGCCTCTAATCAGCCATCTTGGTCCTACCCGCTTCAATGAAAACACTTTTATTTTGTCTTAATGAGAGGTGACAGCTTGCTGGCAGTCCTCAGAGCCCTCGCTTGCTCTCGGTGCCTCCTCTGCCTGGGCTCCCACTTTGGCAGCACTTGAGGAGCCCTTTGGCCCACCGCTGCACTGTGGGAGCCCCTTTCTGGGCTGGCCAAGGCCAGAGCTGGCTCCCTCAGCTTGCAGGGAGGTGTGGAGGGAGAGGCGCGAGTGGGAACTGGGGCTGCGCGCAGCGCTTGCGGGCCAGCTGGAGTTCCGGGTGGGCGTGGGCTTGGCGGGCCCCGCACTCGGAGCAGCGGGCCGGCCCTGCCGACCCCAGGCAGTGAGGGGCTTAGCACCTGGGCCAGCGGCTGCAGAGGGTGTACTGGGTCCCCCAGCAGTGCCAGCCCACGGGTGCTGTGCTCGATTTCTCGCCGGGCCTTAGCTGCCTTCCCATGGGGCAGGCCTCCGGACTGCAGCCCGCCATGCCTAAGCCTCCCCCGCCTCAGCCTCCCCTGCCTCTGTGGGCTCCTTTGCGGCCCGAGCCTCCCCGACGAGCGCTGCCCCCTGCTCCACGGCGCCCAGTCCCATCGACCACCCGAGGGCTGAGGAGTACGAGCACATGGCGCGGGACTGGCAGGCAGCTCCACCTGCAGCCCTGGTGCGGGATCCACTGGATGAAGCCAGCTGGGCTCCTGAGTCTGGTGGGGAGGTGGAGAGTCTTTATGTCTAGCTCAGGGATTGTAAATACACCAATTGGCACTCTGTATCTAGCTCAAGGTTTGTAAACACACCAATCAGCACCCTGTGTCTAGCTCAGGGTTTGTGAGTGCACCAATTGACACTCTGTATCTAGCTGCTCTGGTGGGGCCTTGGAGAACCTTTATGTCTAGCTCAGGGATTGTAAATACACCAATTGGCACTCTGTATCTAGCTCAAGGTTTGTAAACACGCCAATCAGCACCCTCTGTCTAGCTCAGGGTTTGTGAGTGCACCAATCGACACTCTGTATCTAGCTGCTCTGGTGGGGCCTTGGAGAACCTGTGAGTCCATACTCTGTGTCTAACTAATCTGATGGGGAGGTGGAGAACCTTTGTATCTAGCTCAGGGATTGTAAACGCACCAATCAGCACCCTGTCAAAACAGGCCACTTGGCTCTACCAATCAGCAGGATGTGGGTGGGGCCAGATAAGAGAATAAAAGCAGGCTGCCCTAGCCAGCAGTGGCAACCCGCTTGGGTCCTTTTCCACACTGTGGAAGCTTTGTTCTTTCACTCTTTGCAATAAATCTTGCTACTGCTCACTCTTTGGGTCCACACTGCTTTTATGAGCTGTAACACTCACCACGAAGATCTGCAGCTTCTCTCCTGAAGCCAGCGAGCCCATGAGCCCACCAGGAGGAACGAACAACTCCAGACGTGCCGTCTTAAGAACTGTAACACTCACTGCGAACGTCTGCAGCTTCACTCCTGAGCCAGCGAGACCACGAACCCACCAGAAGGAAGAAACTCTGAACACATCCAAACGTCAGAAGGAACAAACTCCAGACACGCCACCTTAAGAGCTGTAACACTCACTGCGAGGCTCCGCGGCTTCATTCTTGAAGTCAGTGAGACCAAGAACCCACCAATTCCGGACACATTAACATTTGATTGATAATTGGGCTAGGTATAGAATCTTTGTCCTAACATCTTCCTACCTCAGCATTTTGAAGACTAATGTATCATATTTTTGCCAAGTCATTATGAAGTGAAAAGATGGCAAGGAAATTCAGGGTGTATGTAAAGGAATTTGAACTGATGAGTGAAAGAGAGAAGTTAGTAAGGAAGTTAGGAACAGTGAAAATGTGGTTGGAACCATGAGTTAGATGTGCTGGCTGGTTCATGAATTGTTGGAGGTGCTAGAGGAGTAATCAGGAAAAAATGCAGATGATCAGTCTGTGAGATGCAGTTACTAAGATGATGGAGGGGTGGCAGTTATTGATAAAGATCTGTTGACAAGGGCTAGAGTGTGAAACATAAGAATGAGTGGCTGAGGCAAGGCATACGATAAAATTGTGGGAGGAGATAAATTCAAGGAAGTGTAAAACACAATTTTTATACTTACACTTTTACAAAGCCACAATAATTTTGAAGAACGACAAAGTTGAGGGACATATTATAGTTTATATCAAGACATTATAAACACTTAGTAATTAAGACAGAGACAGGTGCAGTGATAGACCAATAGACCAGAGAGTTCAGAAACAAAAAAATGTATAGGCATACACTAAATTTTTTACAAAGGCGACACTGTAGTGCACTGGTTAGCAGATGGGCTTTTTGATAAAAGAAACTCTACTTTGACTTGATGCTATTTGAAAGACAGAATATAAATAGATTATAGCTCTATATGTGCAAGTTAAACAGTAAAGCTCTGGAAGATTAAAAAAAGGAACAAAGATTCATGACTATGTGAGTAGAGAAAGATTGTTTTTTCTTTTATTTCAAATTCATTTATTTTTTAAATTGACATATAAAATTGTCTGCCTTTACCATGCACAACATGATGTTTTGAAGACTGTATACATTATAAAATGGTTAAATCTAGCTAACAAATGCATTGCCTCACATACTTATCATTTTTACGGTGAGAATGCTTAACATTCACTCTCTTAGCATTTTTCAAGAATACAATTTATCATCATTAACTGTAGTTACCAAGCGGTACAATAGAACTCCTGAATGTATTCTTCCTTTCTGTCTTTAAATATCCATTCTTTGACCAACATCTCCCAGAAGAGGATTATTTTGAATTCTTTGTCAGTCATTTCATAAATATCCTTTCTTCTGGGTACACTGCAGGAGCTTTATTAGTTTCTTTCTGTGATGTCATATTTTCCTGATTTTTCGTAATCCTTGTGTCCCTATGCATTTGAGGAGATGTTCACGTCTTCTAGCTTTTGCAGGTGTTCTTTTCTGGTAACAGACCTTTACTTTTACTGTAACCTGGGATTCTGGATGCCATTGGTTACAACCGTGGACAGGCAGACCTTGGTGTTGGGTTCTCTAGTTGGGCTTGGTTGCTTCCCGTACTCTGAGGTCAAATGGTATAGTTGGCTGTGCTCCGTGGTCTAGTGAGACCACTGGCTGGACTCTAACATCAGGTGGGGATACTGGCTGGGTTCTGTGATTGTTTCTGATGGAGCAGTATTGTAGGTTGTCTTCCCTGGCTAGGCAGTATTTTTGTATGTTTGGAATCTGTATCGTGTTTCCTGCAGCATGATGCTGTTGGCTAGTCTTTCTGGCGTGGCACCTCCATTGGCCAGAATGAAGAGCAACCCCAAAGAATCATGTGCTGATCACTGTGAGCCCCACCACTATTTTTCATCTCCAACTGACCCAGATGGCTTAGCCCTACCAGCACTCCCAGTGGTTCCTGTGTGATGAGACAGGAGTGAGCCTCTCACAAATGGTCCCAGAATGGTGGGGAAGTTAAATGTCTGCCTCTAATTCACCCCTACCATACCAGAAACCTTAGGCCCAGAGTAACTCTGCATGCAGTGCCGCACCAGCCTGGGGCTATTCCCAATATAGTATATTCCCAATATAGTATAGTAAGTCACCACAGCCTCTGCCAGCTAGTATGCAGCAACTTATCTAGCAATTCCCATCCCATCTTTCCTCATCATCACTCACTCTGTTCTCAGACTCAAGCCTAATGGCTATGGGGGAAATGGCACCAAGTTTTGGCTGCTGCTTTAGGATATTTAAAAAATCATTAGTGACATCCTTCCTACCTCTCTGGATGTTGTTCCTTAGCTGGTGCCACAACTGAATCTTTAGCCAGCCATTACAGTCTTGTATTAAGCCAGTTGCTTCTGTGTTACAGGACATGTGATAAGTAAATCTTGTAGTAATGAACCCATTTCTATAAATACTAGGCCACAAAATGTGACCCTGGTCAGAAACAATAGTGTGTGGTGATGTAGAAGACACTCTTTAAGCGCAGGAATGTCGTGCTTCAGAATCACTGCAGACAGGCAAGGAAAATCCATACCTGGGATACACGAGGACAAATCGTTCCTCCTTCAATGAATGAGCAGTCCACTGTAATAAACCTATCTCCAGTTTACTGGCTAATCCAACAGGGGCATAGTGCTATGGTGGAGGCTTATCACTGGCTTCTGTTGATGGCAGGTAGAGTGCTCGAGCTGTTTAGAAAGGCAGATCGGTTTCAGATGATAATTTACAGTCATTATCTATCTTTTGCTTTTGCACCAGGCAAACAAACAAGTTAAATGATTATGTGACATGTATCATTACTCCTACAATTTCAAACTTTAATGGCAACACTAATATAAGTAGTATGCAATTCCCCAAGGGATGCCATATTACTCTTGATTTATCATCTTGGGAGCAGTTCCAGGCACTTCCTCTTGGCCCTCCCTATCATAACATGTCTCACTCCATTGGTCAGCAGACAATATGTGCTAGTATTTCTATTCCAGCCATAATTCTGGGATTTGGAAAATAATAGTAGGACATATCTGAAGTTCTTTTGGATTTACTGTTAGATGAACTTGAAACAAGTTTCTTCTGACTACCTGACCTCCATAAGCCTGCACTTAGACCAGTAGACTAAGGTGGTATTCAGTTTTTCAGGGTAACTTTAGTTCTGACTCAGAAACCAATAAGCCCCAGAAGTCCTAGCTATTTTCTTTTCCTGTGTGCACAGTTATTCTAGTGAATAGCTACAGGTCCCTCTGTGGAAGGCTTGGGGGAATAGTCAGTTTCATCTGTATGGCAGGTTCCTGACTTAGTTGTGAATCCCTGAGGTTGTGAATTGGTTTAGTTCTGGGAATCTGCATCACAGCAACTCATGTTAAGTTTTTGCCACCAGACCTAGAATGTCAAGAAAATCTTCAGTATGATGCTCATATATTTTATTTTTAGGGTCCCTGAAATAATTATCATAATCCCTGTAGGTCAAAGCAGCTTTGATAATCTGTAAGCCCCTTTAGCCTATGGTGGTAATTGCACCCACCTTGTCTCAGTTAAGCTGTGCCGCATGGCCTGTAACACTCCTGGTCCCAATGTTCCTGTTGGGGCTGGGCGTGGTGGCTCATGCCTTTAATCCCAGCACTTTGGGAGGCTGAGGCAGGTGGATCACTTGAGGGTCAGGAGTTCGAGACCAGCCTGGGCAACATGGCAAAACCCAGTCTGTACTAAAAATACAAAAATTAGCCAGGCATAGTGGTGGGTGCCTGTAATCTCAGCTATTCGAGAGGCTGAGGCAGGAGAATCACTTGAACCCAGGAGGTGGAGGTTGCAGTGAGCCAAGATCATGCCATTGCACTCCAACCTAGGCAACACGAGTGAAACTCCATCTCAAAAAAAAAAAAAAAATTCCAACTGGTTTCAGAGAACCAAGATCCATTGCACTATGCTACTGTCATCTCCAGTCTACAAAAAAAAAACAAAAAACAAACAAACAAACAAAAAAACAGCAGAGATTTTTGACGATATTGGTGTGTCTTTCAGCAAAGCATTTCCAAGTGTCTTGAAGGAAATATCCTCCCAGCTCTCTTTGAATGTTTGATCAAGGGTAGTTTCCCAACAGGTTTCACACAGTAGATTCATTCAATATTACCATATTCCTGAAACTCAGCACTTTTTCACCATACAGTATGCCAGGAAAGCTCTAGTATTTTGACCTTACTGACAGTAGGCTCCCATTAAGTCTAATTTCAGTTAACATGACTCCTGCTTTTACTTGGCACATTAAATACAAAATCCCAGGTGAGTCATGAATTACAATAAATTTGTTCCAGTCCAGCCTTCTATTTCATACTGTCTGATCAATCCCTTTCAAAGTATAAATTATCCCCTTCCAGAGCAGTACATTGATACTTCTCCTTCAAGACCATGTTGATAATTAATTCTTGATTTGGACCTAGAGGCAATGTGGGGTAGTGAGACTAATGTTCCAGCTATCGTCATTAAAACTTTTTTTTTTTTTAAATGCAGGGGCTCTCTCATTGTTTGGAGAGGGCTTCCTCTGCTGGCAAGGGAAGTAAAGAGATGTTATTCCAATTGTTCGCCTCCCAAGTTTCAGATTCTAATGCTTTTCCCACCAAATCTGGTAGGTTCCAGCTTGGTCCTCAGCCATGTCAATCCATGACTACAGATGAGTTACTTCATTGCTGCTGCAGAGGCTTTCTGATTCCGTTTGCATTTTCCATTGCTCATTTGCAGCGTTCCCTTTCTGTTCTTCATTATGTGCATCCTTTAGGGCTGTTATAAGAAATTAATTGACTCCAAAATCTTTATTATCCCTATTGTCACCATAGCAATTAAATGTCTTTATCTTCCTCCTCCTGCATCATATCCTATGCCAGCTTTGGTGATAATTTGAGAAATCATGATGTCATTGCATACCATGAATTACCAATGCCCCATTTCTTTTTCGCAAGGAGGTTATCTGTGTTAAATATATAAACAGCCTAATCCAATAGTGCAATCTGAAGGATCTGTTTTCTGTGGCTTCTTTTCATACCAGTCACTGTGTCAATGAAGTTCCTAGTAGGCAGCAGGGTGAGCACTTAAATTGGGTAATTTGGTTAGTGGCCATTTCATGAGCTGGGGGTTAGGGGAGATTATACGGATTATCCAAAATGAGTATTAGAGCTCTTGTAAAAAGTTAGATGAGTTGAAGATTATGGTCCATATAACCAACAGTGTAATGTAGATTTTCTTTATCAAAACAATTTTTTTATATATTGATACTAACTACCTAAGAATTATGTTAGGTGTTCAGTTGTTAAATTATCACAAAGCTTGGCATACACTCAATGTGCTTCTATCTCAGTAAAACTTCATAAGAAGAGCTTCAGCTTCTCACCTGTTCAAGGATCCATATCTCCCTAATTCTTTAGCATTTGATAAAATAATAAAATATTCATAATTAGAAAATTATTTTTACCACCCTTTAGAGAATTATCTTTCCTTAGAATTTTCTTTGTTGTTATTATAGTACCCCAAGGAGATAACTCTGGAGGCATTTGCAGTTATTGTCACCCAGATGCTGGCACTCAGTCTGGGAATATCATATGACGACCCAAAGAAATGTCAATGTTCAGAATCCACCTGTATAATGAATCCAGAAGTTGTGTAAGTTTTAACAATTTATTTATTGCTTATGTTTATTTCATTTTAAATATTCAGAGTGTGAAAATTTAGTATTTACTTAAAGCACAAATTAGCTATCAATGGACCAAATTCACCAAGTATAAACATGTAATTTTAAATGTAAAAGTAGTATAAAGTATAAACTAAAGATAATCAAAGATAACAAATCCAATCTGAAAGATATATTAGCAAAAGAATATGAAAGCACTTAGTATGGATTTTTTTTGAGATGGAGTCTCGCTCTTTCGCCCAGGCCAGACTGCAGTGGCGCTGTCTCGGCTCACTGCAAGCTCTGCCTCCCGGGTTCACACCATTCTCCTGCCTCGGCCTCCCGAGTAGCTGGGACTGCAGGCACCCGCCACCGTGCCCAGCTTATTTTTTGTATTTTTAGTAGAGACCGGGTTTCACCATGTTAGCCAGGATGGTCTCGATCTCCTGACCTCATGATCCGCCCGCCTCGGCCTCCCAAAGTGCTGGGATTACAGGCGTGAGCCACCGCGCCCGGCCAGGATCTTTAAAAATATGTCAGCAGAACATAATAAGTGGCCTTTGTTTTAGACAAGGTGTTTTTGGTTTTGCTTTTAGAATTGTTTGATTTTATGAAAAAAACCCCTAACATCCAAAAGAGTAAGAAGTCCTAGTTGGAGACCAAAATATATATATATATATGTTTGTGTGACTTTGGATAAATTACTTGACTTTGCCTAAGTTTACTTTTCTCATCTTTAAATGGGAATAATTATGCCTATTCTTTTATTTCACAGGGTGATGTAAGAATAAAAGAAAAAATGAAATAGGAAAGGGTTTTCTAAACTGTAGAATTCTATAAGTATGTGATTGATTAGCTACAGTGATTTCTAAACTTATTAATCTTCCCCAGATGATATATCAGACAAGAACTACAGCAGGTGTCATTAGCATTTTGTAGTTTTTCTGTTTGCAAATATGGCCTATGACGTGGGTAACCTATCATAGGTTAAAAGGTCAAAGGTCAAAAGTGAAAATAAGACATTAAATTTTGAAAACATATTATTTTTATGGGTACTCCTAAGCACCTTTTAAGGGTTAACTCTTATGTTCTAAAAACAACTCAAACTCAACATATATACCCACAAAAATAGCTCAAACTCAACATATTTTATATGTGTATACACATGCAATTATATTACAAATTAGCTCTGAAAGGAATGTGTGTATATATGTACATATACACACACAAACACACATAATCACACATATCCATATATGTATATATATAATTGATATGCATATGTCCATATAGATGGATAAATGGAATCTGTCTATCTATCTGTCTGTCTGTCTGTCTATCTATCTATCTATCCATCCATCTATCACAACAACATAAGAATAATTATTTTGGGCTCATTGTTCATATGGCCAGCTATTCTCAAGTATGCTAGGACAATGTTTTGTGTAGGTCACCCAGAGCCTAAGATTAATGATAATAAGATGAACAAATATTTACATTGTACTTACTATGTTCTAGAGACCATTCCAAGCACTTTACATATATTAACTTACTTGATTCTCACAATATCTCTACAGGGCAGTTCCTATTATTCCCATTTTTACAGATGAGAGGCTAAGTTATAAAAAGGATAATTACTTATGGTCAGATGGCTAGTTTGTGGCAGACTTGGGTTTTGAGCCTGTATTAGTAAACCTTTAAGTTCATGTGGTACTTTATATTTAAAATGCTTTCATATATAATCTCCAATTTCTTACAAATCTCTGGTGTATGAGTAGAGTATTATATTAATTTTTACAAAATCTAATAATAGCACACGTGTAACTCTTTTGCATATCCACAGTACATCTCACACATTATGTTAGTTCTCAAAGAAAGCATGTAATTAGTTACATATTTCAATTTAATGTGTTTATTAAAAAGCCCTGGAGTATAAGTAGCTGAAGTGATCTACATTTACTAGATATACAGTTAATTAGTGTACACACTTTAGCAGGTGCCAGTAATACTAGCAGTGATTTACTGTGTACCTATTAAAAGCCAGATAATTGAATTAGACACTTCACTTATTTAATTATACTTAATTCTCACAGCCTCACCTATCTATGAGGTAGATAGGCATTATCCCTATTATGCAGATGAAAATACTAAGACTTAGATAATTTAATCACTTTGCCTAAGGCCTCATAAGTCATAGGGTTGGTATTAGTCAACAAGTTTATCTAATTTCAAAGCCTTGTTTCATTCTCTAGTCTACACTTCCTTCATGTAGAAGACTTAATATATTGGCATTCGCTTAAACTAAGTAGCAAGAGAATATTCATATGTATTTGTTCAAAATTCACTTTTATACTTAAGCGCTCCTTCCATTATATCATTTTTTTTGGGGTAAAACTGTGTCTAAATGTATTATTATTATTGAAAAAATTCTATTGATATATAATAATTGTACATATTTATTTGGTACACGTGATATTTTCATATCTGTATACGTGTGTGATGATCAAATCAGGGTATTTAGAATATCCGTCCTCTCAAACATTTATCATTTATTTGTGTTGAAAACATCAAATCTCCTCTTCTAGCTATTTTGAAATATACAATAAATTACCATTAATTACAGTCACCCTACTTTGCTATTGAACACTAGAACTTATTCTTTCTATCTAACTGTGTCTACTTATTAACCAACCTCTCTTCATTCCCCTACCCACTCTTCCCAGTCTCTGGAAAGCATTATTCTACTCTATATCTTTTTTTTTTGAGATGGAGTCTCGCTCTGTTGCCCAGGCTGGAGTGCGGTGGCGCGATCTCGGCTCACTGCAAGCTTCGGCTCACTGCAAGCTCTGCCTCCTGGGTGCACGCCATTCTCCTGCCTCAGCCTCCCGAGCAGCTGGAACTATAGGCGCCAGCCACCACGCCTGGCTAATTTTGTTTTTGTATTTTTAGTAGAGACGAGATTTCACCATGTTAGCCAGGATGGTCTCGATCTCCTGACCTCGTGATCCGCCTGCCTTGGCCTCCGAAAGTGTCTACTCTATATCTTTATGAGTTAAACTTTTAAAGTCCTGCACATGATTGAGAATTGTGATATTTACCTTTCTGTGCCTGGCTTTTTTCACTTAACATAATGACCTTCTGTTCCATTCATGTTGTTACAAATGAAAAAGTTTACTTCTTTTCTATGGCTGAATAGTATTCCATTGTGATGTATACCACATTTTCTTTATCCATTCATCCACTGATTCACACTTAGGTTTATTCCATGTTTTGGCTATTGTGAATAGTGCTGCAATAAACATGAAGGTTCAGGTATCTTTCTAATATACTGATTTCCTTTACTTTGGATAAATACCAAGTACAAAGATTGCTAGTTTGTATTGTAGTTCTAGTTCTAGTTTTTTGAGAAACCTCCACAATACTTCCTATCATGGCTGTATGAATTTACATTCCCACTGACAGCGTATGAGTTGCCTTTTCTCAACATCATCACCAGTATTTGTTAGTTTTTATGTTGTTTGATAATAACCATTCTAACTGGGGCAAGATGATATCTCATGGCGGTGTTGATTTAAAAATTTCCAATGATTACTGATGCTGAATATTTTTTCGTGTCAGAAAAGAGAGCAGTTTGGCAATTTGTATGTCTTCCTTTGAGAAATGTCTGTTCAAATCCTTTGCCCACTTTTAAGTGAGATTTACTTGTGTGTGCGTTTTTAAATTTTTATTTTAGGTTCAGGGGTACCTGTGCAGTTTGTTATATGGGTACACTTGAGTCATGGGGGTTTGTTGTACAGATTATTTTGCCACCCATGTACTAAGCCTAGTACCCAATAGTTTTTTTCTGATCCTCTCCCTCCTCCCACCTTCCACCCTCAAGTAGGACCCAGTGTCTATTGTTCCTCTGTATGTGTCTATGTGTTCTCATCCTTTAGCTCCCAAATATGTGGTATTTAGTTTTCTGTTCCTGTGTTAGTTTGCTAAAGATAATGGCCTCCAGCTCCATCCATCGTCCTGCAAAAAACATGATCTCATTCTTTTTATGGTTACATAGTATTCCGTGGTGTGCGTGTACCACATTGTCTTCATCTAGTCTACCACTGATGAGCATTTAGGTTAACTTCATGTCTTTGCTGTTGTGAATAGTGCTGCAATGAACATATACATGCGTGAGTCTTTATGATAGAACGATTTATATTCCTTTGGGTATATATCCAGTAGTCACATTGCTGGGTTGAATGGTCGTTCTATTTTTAGCTTTTTGAGGAATCAACACACGTTTTCTACAATGGTTGAACTAATTTACACTCCCACCAACAGTGTATAAGTGTTCCTTTTTCTCCACAACCTCACCAGCATCTGTTATTGTTTGACTTTTTAATAATAACCATTCTGATTGGTATGAGACGGTATCTCATTGTAGTTTTGATGTGCATTTCTCAAATAATCAGTGGTATGGAGCTTTTTTTCATATGCTTGTTTGCTGCATGTATGTCTTCTTTTAAAAAGTGCCTATTCATGTCCTTTGCCCACTTTTTAATAGGGTTGTTTTTTTCTTGTAAATTTGTTTAGGTTCCTTATAGATGCTGGATATTAGACCTTTATCAGATACATAGTTTGAAAATATTTTCTCCTGTTCTGTAAGCTGTTTGTTTACTCTGTTGATAGTTTCTTTTGCTGTGCAGAAGCTCTTTAGTTTTAATCAGATCTCATTTGTCAGTTTTTGTTTTTGTTGTAATTGCTTTTGGAGTCTTCATCATGAAATGTTTCCAGTTCCTATGTACAGAATGATTATTACCTAGGCTGTCTTCCAGGTTTTTTACATTTTGGGCTTTACATTTAAGTCTTTAATCAATCTTGAGTTGATTTATGTATATGATGTAAAGAAGGAGTGTCAGCAGGAATGGTACCCGGTCTTCTTTGTACATCTGGTAGAATTTGGCTGTGACTCTGTCTGGTCTTGGGTTTTCTCTTTTGGTTAGTTGGCTATTTATTATTGAATCAATTCCAGAACTTGTTTTTGGTCCGTTCAGGGATTTAATTTCTTGCTAGTTCAGTCTTAGGAGATTGTATGTGTCCCAGAATTTATTCATTTCTTCTAGATTTCCTAGCTTGTGTGCATAGAGGTGTTTGTAGTAGTCTGTGATGGTTATTTGCATTTCTGTGGGGTCAGTGTAACATCCCCTTTGTCATTTCTAACCTTTACCATTATGTAATGCCCTTCTTTGTCTTTTTTTATCTTTGTCGGTTTAAAGTCTGTTTGCCTGAAATTAGGACTGCAACACCTGCTTTTTTCTGTTCTCCATTTGCTTGGTAGATTTTTCTCCATTCTTTTATTTTGAGCCTATGGATGTCATTGTATGTGAGATGGTTTTCTTGAAGACAGCATATCATTGGGTCTTATTTCTTTTTCTAGCTTACCACTCCATGCCTTTTAATTGGGGCATGTAGCCTGTTTACATTAAGGGTCAATATAAATATGTGTGAATTTGATCCTGCCATCATGTTGTTAGCTGGTTATTTTGCAGACTTGTTTGTGTGGTTGCTTTATAGTGTCATTGCTCTGTGTATTTCAGTGTGTTTTTGTAGTGGCTGGTAACGGTCTTTTCTTTCCACATTTAGTGCTTCTCTCAGGAGCTCTTGTAAGGCACATCTGATAGTAACTAATGCCCTCAGCATTTGCTTGTCTGAAAAGGATCTTTTTTTCACCTTCGCTTATGAAGCTTAGTTTGGCCAAATATGAAATTCTTGGTTGGAATTTCTTTTCTTTAAGAACATTGAATATTGGCCTCTGGTCTCTTCTGGCTTGTGGGGTTTCTGCTGAGAGGTCCACTGTTAGTCTGATGGGCTTCCCTTTGTAGGTGACCTGTCCTTTCTATCTGGCTGCCTTTAACATTTTTTCTTTCACTTTGACCTTGGAGAATGTGATGACTATGTGTCTTGGGAATAATTTTCTTGTGAAGCATATTGTGGAGGTTCTCTGGATTTCTTGAATTTGAATGTTGGCCTCTCTAGCTAGGATGATATCCTGAAATATGTTTTCCAAGTTGCTTCCATTCTCCCCATATCTTTCAGGGTTGCCAATGAGTTGTAGACTTAGTTTCTTCACATAATCCCATATTTCCTGGAGGTTTTGTTCTTTCCTTTATATTCTTTTTTCTTTATTCTTGTGTTACTGTCTTATTTCAGAAAGCCAGTCTTCAAGCTCCAAGATTCTTTCCTTGGCTTGGTCTGTTCTGCTCTTAATAGTTGCAATTGCATTATGAAATTTTTATACTGTGTTTGTCAGCTCTATCAGGTTGGTTATGTTCTTTTCTATCCTGACTATTTTGTCTGTCAGCTCCTGTATCATTTTATTGTGATTCTTAGGTTACTTGAATTGGGTTCAATGTTCTCCTGAATCTCAATGATCTTCATTCCTATCTATATTCTGAATTCTGTTTCTGTCATTTCAGCCATCTCACCTTGGTTAATAACCCTTGCTGGAGTACTAGTTTGGTGTTTGGAGGAAAGAAGACATTCTGGCTTTTTGAGTTGTCCGAGTTCTTCCGCTGGTTCTTTCTCATCTTTGTGGGCTGGTGTTCCTTCAATCCGTGATGTGGTTGTCCTTTGAATTTTTTTTCTTTTATCATATTTGATGACCTTGGGGGTTTGATTTTGGTATCAGGTGGGTTCAGTCGACTGGCTTTGTTTTGGAAGATTTTTAGGGGGCCAAGGCTAGGCTCAGGATTCCTGGACTGCATGCTTTAATTCTGTGGGACTAGTATCATGCCCCAGCTTTGTTCTCTGGCTCCTTGAGATTAGGAACCTGCTTCTGTGGAGGAGCCATGGTGCTCCCAGACTGCTGGCCACAACATTCCAATAGGTGGTGCCAGCCAAAGTGCTTCCTAGGGCAGTGGCAGCAGGATC
Source organism: Homo sapiens (assembly GCF_000001405.40). NCBI lineage: Eukaryota > Metazoa > Chordata > Mammalia > Primates > Hominidae > Homo > Homo sapiens. The sequence continues at coordinate 39,193,962 of NC_000008.11, forward strand.
CATCTTTATTTGCATGTGCCAACAGCAGTGGCGGTGGCGGCACAGTGGGGTGCATGCTTGTCAGTTGCAGGAGGGTGCTAGTGTGTACTGGGGTGCTGGCTTCCATACCAGTGTTTGTAGCAGCGATGGTGACAGCATAGCTCAGGGTGGGGTGGGAAGCCCCCAACAGCTACTGTTCATGTATTTGTGCTGGTGGTGGTGTTAGCATGGGGGCACTGGTGGGTGCAGGACAGTGTGTGCCCTCTGTGCACACTCGCGTGGTTAGCAGTGGCTGCTCAGTGAAGGGGTGGGTTTGCTGTTTTTAATGCCTAGTTTTACGCTGATGTCAGTGTCAGTGCAAGGGTGGGGCTCATGGGCTCTGTGCCTTCCAATGCTCCAGTGGCAATGGTGGTGCAGCAGAGGGATGGTATGGGGTACACCAATGCTGGCAGCAGTGTTTTGGCAGGGTGCACCTGAACTGACGGGGAAGGGGAGGCAAGGTTCTCCTGCACACACAGACACACACACCAGCAAAGCACTGTAGGTGGTGGCCATGGGTGAGTGTGTATAGGTAAAGCATCATAGACAGGCTGCAGTGAAGAGAGGGCACAAGCAAGCTGATATTTGTCTGTGGGGGCTGCTCTGCTGGTCAGATGCAGTCCACCAGTGCAGGAGCTATGATGCAGGTCCCTAGGAGGTATCCTCCCTGGGCAACTGAGGCTGTGCTGCAAGCAGTCATGGCCATGCTGGGTCCGTGGGAGAGTCCACCAGTTAGAGGGGTGCTCAGGTCAGACTGGCCCCATCTCATGGGCAAGACTGCTTTGCAGACTTCAGGTACGACAGTTCCCCTAGGGCTAAAGTCTCGTACGGAAGGAAGTTAAGCCTAGGCAGATGGGTGACGCTGGTCATGCTCTACTACTGACACTCCTGCACCAAACCTCTGGGCTCTACACCGGTTGGAGTTCTGCCTCTGCCACTTCTGTAAGCAGCTCTCCTGGCCAACTCAAGCATCTGTGGTGGTTGGGGGCTCTCCTCCTGCTGGGATTCCAGGGGCCTGTGGTGAGAGCAGGTTGCTTCTTGCCTGTTAAACTCACCCTTTCCCCAGGAGTGTTTTGGGGCCAGGAAGAAGTCTCAGTGCATAGTAGCCTTGTGTAAGGTTCCCAGCTTCCTCCCCCTTCAGCCCAGCATCTGTGTCTTCCCTCTGTCTGCTCTTATTGCCTTCTCTGAAGATCTGCTAGGAGCCCACCAGTCTTCCTAATGTCCCAGTCCCTCAGTGGCAGATGTTATTCCTGGCTGCGTCTAATTGGCCACCTTGCCACCTCTCCCCTTAAATGCGATTATTTTTTTATTTGCCGTTGAGGTTTTTGAGATCCTTGTATATTCTGGATATTAACCACCTATTGGATGAATAGTTTGCAAATATTTTCTTTTATTCTACAGATTGTCTCTTCATTCCATTGATTGTTTCTTTTGCTGTACGTAAGTTTTTTAGTTTAATAGAGTTCCATTAGTCTATTTTTGTTTTTGTTGCCTGTGCTTTTGAAGTCTTAGCCATAAAATCTGCCTAGAACAATGTCCTGAAATATTTCTGTTTTCTTCTAGCAGTTTTACAGTTTCCGGCCTTATGTTTAAGTCCTTAATCCGTTTTGAGTTGATTTTTGTATGTGGTTAGAGATAGGGCCCTAGTTTCATTCTTCTGCATATGGATATCCAGTTATTCCCAGCACACGTATATGTTCTTGGTATCTATGAAGAAAATCAGTTAGCTGTAAATAGATGGGTTTATTTCTTGGCTTTCTATTCTGTTTCATTGCTCTGTTTGTCTGTTTTTATACCAATACTGTTCTGAATTTATTCCTACAGACTTACAGTATATTTTGAAGGATCTTTTGTGGTTCCATATTAATTTTAGGATTGTTTTTTCTACTTATGTGAAGAATATTATTGGTATTTTGTTATGGATTTTGTTGGATCTGTAGATCGCTTTGGGTGGTATGATCATGATAACAGTATTAATTTCTCTACTCCACATGGGTGGATGTTTTTCCATATGTTTTTGTTCTCTTTAATTTTTTTATATCTCTGTTTCGTAGTTTTTGTGTAGAAGTCTTTTACCTCCTTGGTTCAGTTTATTTCTAGGTATTTTATATTTTTCATGGCTATTGTAAATGAGATTGCTTTCTTGATTTATTATTCAGCTAGTTTGTTTCTGGAGAATAGAGAGGCTACTAATTTTTGTATGCTGATTTTGAATCCTGCAATTTTACTGAATTTGTTGATCAGTTTTTAGAGTTTTTTGGTGGAATCTTTGATTTTTCTATATATAAGAGCATGTCACCTACAAGGAGGGAAAATTTGACTTCTACATTTCCAGTTTGGATGCCTTTTATTTCTCTTCTCTAATTCCTCTGGCTAGGATTTTCAGTACTATGTTGGTTAAAAGTGGTGAAAGTGGTATTCTTGTCTTGTGCCAGTTATTGGGAGAAAGGCTTTAAGCTTTTTCCTGTCCAGTAGGGTGTTAGCTGTGGGTTTGTTATATATGGCCCTATTATGCTGAGGTACATTTTTTCTATATCTAACTTATTGATAGTATTTATCATGAAGCCATGTTGAAATTTGTCAAATGCATTTTCTGTGGCTATTGAAATGATTTTGCGGTTTTTGTCCTTCATTCTGTTGATGTGATGTATCATATTTACTAATTCATATATGTTAAACCATCCTTGCAATCTTGGTATAAATCATACTTGATCATTATATAATATATCTCCTTGATGTGTTGTTGGATTAGGTTTACTAATACGTTGTTGAGAATTTTTGTGTCTATGTTCATTGGGGATATTGGCCTGTAGTTTTCTTTTTTTTTGTTGTGTCCTTGTCTGATTTTCCTATCAGGGTAATGCTGGCCTCCCTCAAGACTGAGTTAGTGAGAATTTCCTTTTCTTTGATGTTTTGGAATAGTTTGAGAAAAACTGGTGTTAGTTCTTCCTTATATGTTTGATAGAATTTAGCAGTAAAGTCATGTGGTTATGGGCTTTCTTTGTTGGGAGACTTTTGATTATTGATTCAGTCTCATTACTTGTTATTAGATTGTTCAGGTTTTCTATTTCTTCCTTGTTCAATCTTGGCAGGTTGTATGTGTCCAGGAATTTATCTGTTTCCTCTAGGTTTTCCGATTTGTCAGCATAGAGTTGTTCACAATAGATTCTAATGATTTTTTGTATTTTTGTGGTATCTGTTGTAATGTCTCGTTATCATTATTTAATTTATTGGGTCTTTACTCATTTTTTCTTGTTTAGTCTAGATATCTGTGTATCAATTTTGTTTACGTTTTCCAAAAATTAATTTTTGCTTCTTTAGTTCTTTTTATTTTTTAGGTTCTATTTCATTTATTTCTGCTCTGGTCTTTATTTTTTTCTACTAATTTTGGGTTTGGTTTTTTCTTGCTTTTCTAGTTCCTGAAGTACATCATTAGGTTATTTGAAATATTTCTACTTTTTTGATGACATTTATTATCATAAAATTCTGTCTTAGTACTTCTTTTGTGTATGTCACTAGTTTTGATATTATTTTGTTTTCATTTTCATTTGTTTCAAGAAATTTGTTGTTTCCTTCTTAATTTATTCATTGACCCAATGGTTATTCAGGAGCATTCGTTTACCTTTCATGTATTTGTACAGTTTTCAAAATTCCTATTATTATTGATTTTTACTTTTATTTCATATGGTCTAAGAAGGTACTTAATATGTATTCAGTGTTTTAAAATTAATTGAGACTTCTTTTGTGGCCTAACATGTGGACTATGCTGGAGAATGTTCCATGTACTAATGAAAAGAATGTTTAGACTGCAGCTATTAGATGAAATCTTCCATATATATCTGTTAGGTTTATTTGCTTGATAGTGCTGCAGATTAAATCTGATGTTTCTTTGTTGATGTTCTGCCTAGATGATCTGTCCAATGCTTCAAGAGGGGTGTTGGAGTCAACAACTATTATTGTATTGGGGTCTATTTCTCTGTTTACTTCTAATAATATTTGTTTTATATATCTGGGTGCTCCATTGTTTGGTGCATATATATTTATAATTTTTATGTACTCTTGCTGACTTGTTCTCTTTATCATTATATAATGACTTGGTTTTTTTTATGTGTTTTATCCTATAATCTATTTTTTTTCTGACATAAGTATAGCTACTCTTTCATGCTTTTGGTTTCTGTTTGTGCAGAATTTTTTTTCCTATTCCTTCACTTTTGGTCTACATGTCTTTACAATGTGAGTTTTTATAGGCAGCATATATATTTTTAAATCCTTTCAGCCAGTCTATATTTTTTAATTTAGAAATTTAAGCCATTTACATTTGATATTGTTATTAATAAATTAGGACTTACTCCTGTCATTTGTCAATTGTTTTCTGATTGATATATTCTTTCTTTCATTCTTCCTCTTTTTTTCTTTTAGGCAGGGTCTCACTTTGTCACTCAGGCTGGAGTGAAGTGGTGTGATCTTGGCTCACTGCAACCTCTGCCTCCCGGGTTCAAACGATTCTCCTGCCTCAGCCCCTCAAGTAGCTGGGACTACAGGTGTGCACCACCATGCCTGGCTAACTTTTGTGTTGTTAGTGGAGATGGGGTTTCACCATGTTGGCTATGCTGGTCTCGAACTCCTGACCTCAGGTGATCCACCCACCTTGGCCTTTCAAAGTGCTGGGATTACAGGCGTGAGCCATCATGCTCAGCCTTTCTTCCTGTTTTATTGTATACCTTTACATTAGATAATTTGGGTTGTGATAGCGTTTAACATTTTTTTTTTCTCTTCTCCTTTTCTTTTCTCTTCTCCTTTTCTTTTCTCATCTATTCCACCAGTGAGTTGTACACTTGTATGTGTTTTCAGGATGGTAGCTATTCTCCTTTTACTTCCTGGTTTAGGATTCTCTTAAGCATTTCTTATAGGACTAGTCTAGTGGTGACAAATTCTTTGTTTTTTTCTTGTCTGAAAAAGACATTCTATTTCTCTTTCATTTTTGAAGGATAGCTTTGCTGTGGATAATATTCTTGGCTGATAGTTGTTTTCTTGCAGTACTTTGAATATATACTTTCATTCTCTCCTGGCCTATAAGGTTTCTGCTGAGAAATCTACATTTATTCTCATGGGTAGTCCTTTATACATGACTTGACATTTTTCTCTTTCTGCTTTTAGAATTCTCTCTTTGTTTTTGAATTTTGGTAGTTTGACTATACGTGCCTTGAACAAGACCTTTTTGGGTTGAACATATTTCAAGATCTTTAGTTACCTGTATCTTGATGTCTATATCTCTTGCAAAACTTTGGAGAGTTTCAGCTATTATTCCTTACATAAGTCATCTATGCCTTTACGTCTCTTCTCCTTCTAGTCCCAAAATGTGAATATTTTGTTCCTGTATGCTGTTTCATGTGTCATGTAGGCTTTCTGTCATATATGTATATAATTTGTCTGATCAGGTCATTTAAAAAGCTCTGTCTTCAAGTTCAGAAATTCTTTCTTCTGATTAATCTGGTCTACTATGGAAACTCTCATTTGTATTTTTAATTTTATTTATTGAAATAATCACTTTCAAGGTTTCTGTTTGATTCTTTTTTATGATATCTATCTCTTTGTTAAATTTCTCATTGAAATTATGAATTGTTTTCCTGATTTCTTTTTTTTTAACTTTTTAAAATTATACCTTAAGTTCTAGGGTACATGTGAACAATGTGCAGGTTTGTTACATATGTATACATGTGCCATGTTGGTGTGCTGCACCCATTAACTCATCATTTACATTAGGTATATCTCCTAATGCTATCCCCCCCACCACCCCCCACCCCACAACAGGCACCGGTGTGTGATGGTCCCCTTCCTGTGTCCAAGTGTTCTCACTGTTCAATTCCCACCTATGAGTGAGAACATGCGGTGTTTGGTTTTTTGTCCTTGCGATAGTTTGCTGAGAATGATGGTTTCCAGCTTCATCCATGTCCCTACAAAGGACATGAACTCATCATTTTTTATGGCTGCATAGTATTCCATGGTGTATATGTGCCACATTTTCTTAATCCACTCTATCACTGATGGACATTTGGGTTGGTTCCAAGTCTTTGCTATTGTGAATAGTGCTGCAATAAACATATGTGTGCATGTGTCTTTATAGCAGCATGATTTATAATCCTTTGGGTATATACCCAGTAATGGGATGGCTGGGTCAAATGGTATTTCTAGTTCTAGGTCCTTGAGGAATTGCCACACTGTCTTCCACAATGGTTGAACTAGTTTACAGTCCCACCAACAGTGTAAAAATGTTCCTATTTCTCCACATCCTCTCCAGCACCTGTTATTTCCTGACTTTTTAATGATTGCCATTCTAACTGGTGTGAGATGGTATCTCATTGTGGTTTTGATTTGCATTTCTCTGATAGCCAGTGATGATGAGCATTTTTTTCATGTGTCTGTTGGCCGCATAAATATCTTCTTTTAAGAAGTGTCTGTTCATCTCCTTCGCCCACTTTTTGATGGGGTTGTTTGTTTCTTTCTTGTAAATTTGTTGGAGTTCTTTGTAGATTCTGGATATTAGCCCTTTGTCAGATGAGTAGATTGCAAAAATTTTCTCCCATTCTGTAGGTTGCCTCTTCACTCTGATGGTAGTTTCTTTTGTTGTGCAGAAGCTCTTTAGTTTAATTAGATCCCATTTGTCAATTTTGGCTTTTGTTGCCATTGCTTTTGGTGTTTTAGACATGAAGTCCTTGCACATGCCTATGTCCTGAATGGTATTGCCTAGGTTTTCTTCTAGGGTTTTTATGGTTTTAGGTCTAACATTTCAGTCTTTAATCCATCTTGAATTAATTTTTGTATAAGGTGTAAGGAAGGGATCCAGTTTCAGCTTTCTACATATGGCTAGCCAGTTTTCCCAGCACCATTTATTAAATAGGGAATCGTTTCCCCATTTCTTGTTTTTGTCCGGTTTTTCCAAGATCAGATGGTTATAGATGTGTGGTATTATTTCTGAAGGCTCTGTTCTGTTCCATTGGTCTATATCTCTGTTTTGGTACCAGTATCATGCTGTTTTGGTTACTGTAGCCTTGTAATATAGTTTGAAGTCAGGTAGCGTGATGCCTCCAGCTTTGTTCTTTTGGCTTAAGATTGACTTGGCAATGAGGGCTCTTTTTTGGTTCCATATGAACTTTAAAGTAGTTTTTTCCATTTCTGTGAAGAAAGTCATTGGTAGCTTGATGGAGATGGCATTGAATGTATAAATTACCTTGGGCAGTATGGCCATTTTCACAATATTGATTCTTCCTACCCATGAGCATGGAATGTTCTTCCATTTGTTTGTGTCCTCTTTTAGTTCGTTGAGCAGTGGTTTGTAGTTCTCCTTGAAGAGGATGTAGTTCACATCCCCTGTAAGTTGGATTCCTAGGCATTTTATTCTCTTTGAAGCAATTGTGAATGGGAGTTCACTCATGATTTGGCTCTCTGTTTGTCTATCATTGGTATATAGGAATGCTTGTGATTTTTGCACATTGATTTTGTATCCTGAGACTTTGCTGAAGTTGCTTATCCGCTTAAGGAGATTTTGGGCTGAGACGTTGGGGTTTTCTAGATATACAATCACGTCATCTGCAAACAGGGACAATTTGACTTCCTCTTTTCCTAATTGAATACCCTTTATTTCTTTCTCCTGCCTGATTGCCCTGGCCAGAACTTCCAACAGTATGTTGAATACGAGTGGTAAGAGAGGGCATCCCTGTCTTGTGGCAGTTTTCAAAGAGAATGCTTCCAGTTTTTGCCCATTCAGTATGATATTGGCTGTGGGTTTGTCATAAATAGCTCTTATTATTTTGAGATACATCCTATCAATACTTAATTTATTGAGAGTTTTTAGCATGAAGGGCTGTTGAATTTTATCAAAGGCCTTTTCTGCATCTATTGAGATAACCATGTGGTTTTTGTCTTTGGTTCTGTTTATATGCTGGATTACATTTATTGATTTGCATTGATGAACCAGCCTTGCATCCCAGGGATGAAGCCCACTTGATCATGGTGGATAAGCTTTTTGATGTGCTGCTGGATTTGGTTTGCCAGTATTTTATTGAGGATTTTTGCATTGATGTTCATCAGGGATATTGGTTTAAAATTCTCTTTTTTTGTTGTATCTCTGCCAGGCTTTGGTATCAGGACGATGCTGGCCTCATAAAATGAGTTAGGGAGGATACCCTCTTTTTCTATTGATGGGAATAGTTTCAGAAGGAAGGATACCAGCTTTTTCTTGTACCTCTGGTAGAATTTGGCTGTGAATCCATCTGGTCCTGGACTTTTTTTGGTGGGTAGGCTCTTAGTTATTGCCTCAATTTCAGAACCTGTTATTGGTCTATTCAGAGATTCAACTTCTTCCTGGCTTAGTCTTGGGAGGGTGTATGTGTCCAGGAATTTATCTGTTTCTTCTAGATTTTCTAGTTTATTTGCGTAGAGGTGTTTATAGTATTCTCTGATGTTAGTTTGTATTTCTGTGGGATCGGTGGTGATATCCCCTTTATCATTTTTTATTGCGTCTATTTGATTCTTCTCTCTTTTCTTCTTTGTTAGTCTTGCTAGCAGTCTATCAATTTTGTTGATCTTTTCAAAAAACCAGCTCCTGGATTCATTGATTTTTTTGAAGGGTTTTCTTTTGTATCTCTATCTCCTTCAGTTCTGCTCTGATCTTATTTCATTCTTGCCTTCTGCTAGCTTTTGAATGTGTTTGCTCTTGCTTCTCTAGTTCTTTTAATTGTGATGTTAGGGTGTCAGTTTTAGATCTTTCCTGCTTTCTCTTGTGGGCATTTAGTGCTATAAATTTCCCTCTACACACTGCTTTGAATGTGTCCCAGAGATTCTGGTATGTTGTGTCTTTGTTTTTGTTGGTTTCAAAGAACATCTTTATTTCTGCCTTCATTTTGTTATGTACCCAGTAGTCATTCAGGAGCAGGTTGTTCAGTTTCCATGTAGTTGGGTGGTTTTGAGTGAGTTTCTTAATCCTGAGTTCTAGTTTGATTGCACTGTAGTCTGAGAGACAGTTTGTTATAATTTCTATTCTTTTACATTTGCTGAGGAGTGCTTTACTTCCAACTATGTGGTCAATTTTGGGATAAGTGTGATGTGGTGCTGAGAAGCATGTATATTCTGTTGATTTGGGGTGGAGAGTTCTGTAGATGTCTATTAGGTCTACTTGGTCCAGGGCTGAGTTCAAGTCCTGGATATCCTTGTTAACTTTCTGTCTCATTGATCTGTCTAATGTTGACAATGGGGTGTTAAAGTCTCCCATTATTATTGTGTGGGAGTCTAAGTCTCTTTGTAGGTCTCTAAGGACTTGCTTTATGAATCTGGGTGCTCCTGTATTGGGTGCATATATATTTAGGATAGTTAGCTCTTCTTGTTGAATTGATCCCTTTACCATTATGTAATGGCCTTCTTTGTCTCTTTTGATCTTTGTTGGTTTAAAGTCTGTTTATCAGAGACTAGGATCGCAACCCCTGCCTTTTTTTGTTTTCCATTTGCTTGGTAGATCGTCCTCCATCCCTTTATTTTGAGCCTATGTGTGTCTCTGCATGGGAGATGGGTCTCCTGAATACAGCACACTGATGGGTCTTGACTCTTTATCCAATTTGCCAGTCTGTGTCTTTTAATTGGAGCATTTAGCCCATTTACAATTAAGGTTAATATTGTTATGTGTGAATTTGATCCTGTCATTATGATGTTAGCTGGTTATTTTGCTCGTTAGTTGATGCGGTTTCTTCCTAGCATTGATGGTCTTTACAATTTGTCATGTTTTTGCAGTGGCTGGTACTGATTGTTCCTTTCCATGTTTAGTGCTTCCTTTAGGAGCTCTTATAAGGCAGGCCTGGTGGTGACAAAATCTCTCAGCATTTGCTTGTCTGTAAAGGATTTTATTTCTCCTTCACTTATGAAGCTTAGTTTGGCTGGATATGAAATTCTGGGTTGAAAATTCTTTTCTTTAAGAATGTTGAATATTGGCCCCCACTCTCTTCTGGCTTGTAGAGTTTCTGCTGAGAGATCCGCTGTTAGTCTGATGGGCTTCCCTTTGTGGGTAACCGGACCCGTCTCTCTGGCTGCCCTTAACATTTTTTCCTTCATTTCAACTTTGGTGAATCTGACAATTATGTGTCTTGGAGTTGCTGTTCTCAAGGAGTATCTGTGTGGCATTCTCTGTATTTCCTGAATTTGAATGTTGGCCTGCCTTGCTAGATTGGGGAAGTTCTCCTGGATAATATCCTGCACAGTGTTTTCCAACTTGGTTCCATTCTCACCATCACTTTCAGGTACACCAATCAGACGTAGATTTGGTCTTTTCACATAGTCCCATATTTCTTGGAGACTTTGTTCATTTCTTTTCACTGTTTTTTCTCTAAACTTCTTTCTCGCTTCATTTCATTCATTTGATCTTCAATCACTGATACTCTTTCTTCCAGTTGATCGAATCAGCTACTGAAGCTTGTGCATTTGTCACGTAGTTCTCGTGCCATGGTTTTCAGCTCCATCAGGTCATTTAAGGACTTCTCTACACTGGTTATTCTAGTTAGCCATTCGTCTAATATTTTTTCAAGCTTTTTAGCTTCTTTGTGATAGGTTCAAACTTCCTCCTTTAGCTTGGGGAAGTTTGATCATCTGAAGCCTTCTCTCAACTCATCAAAGTCATTCTCCATACAGCTTTGTTCCATTGCTGGCGAGGAGCTGTGTTCCTTTGGAGGGGTAGAGGCACTCTGATTTTTAGAATTTTCAGCTTTTCTGCTCTGTTTTATCCCCATCTTTGTGGTTTTGTCTACCTTTGGTCTTTGATAATGGTGACGTACAGATGGGGTTTTGGTGTGAATGTGCTTTCTGTATGTTAGTTTTCCTTCTAGCAGTCAGGACCCTCACTGCAGGTCTGTTGGAGTTTGCTGGAGGTCCACTCCAGACCCTGTTTGCCTGGGTATCAGCAGCGGAAGCTGTAGAACAGCGAATATTGCTGCACAGCAAATGTTGCTGCCTGATCATTCCTCTGGAAGTTTTGTCTCAGAGGGGTACTTGGCCCTGTGAGGTGTCAGTCTGCCCCTACTCAGGGGTGCCTCCCAGTTAGGCTACTCGGGGGTCAGGGACCCACTTGAGGAGGCAGTCTGTCTGTTCTCCGATCTCAAACTCCATGCTGGGAGAACTACTACTCTCTCCAAAGCTGTCAGACAGGGACATTTAAGTCTGCAGAGGTTTCTGCTGCCTTTTGTTTGACTATGTGCTGCTCCCAGAGGTGGAGTCTACAGAGGCAGGCAGGCCTCCTTGAGCTGCGGTGGGCTCCACCCAGTTTGAGCTTCCAGGCAGCTTTGTTTACCTACTCAAGCCTCGGCAATGGCAGGCGCCCCTCCCCCAGCCTCGCTGCCACCTTGCAGTTCCATCTCAGACTGCTGTGCTAGCAATGAGTGAGGCTCCGTGGGCGTGGGACCCTCTGAGCCAGGCGTGGGATATAATCTCCTGCCGTTTGCTAAGACCATTGGAAAAGCACAGTATTAGGGTGGGAGTGACCTGATTTTCCAGGTGCCATCTGTCACAGCTTCGCTTGGTTAGGAAAGGGAATTCCGTGACCCCTTGCACTTCCTAGGTGAGGTGGTACCTTGCCCTGCTTCGCCTCACACTTGGTGCGCTGCACCCACTGTCCTGCACCAACTGTCCGACAAGCCCCAGTGAGATGAACCTGGAACCTCAGTTTGAAATGCAGAAATCACCCATCTTCTGCGTTGCTCAGGCTGTGAGCTGTAGACTGGAGCTGTTCCTATGCTGCCATCTTGGAACCTCCTTAAAATTATATTTCCTGATTTCTTTGTATTATTTATCTGTGCTCTGTTTTGTCTCACTAAGTTTCTTTACTATCATTATTTTGAATTCTTTTTCAGACGTTTCATAGATTTCTTTTTGTTTTGGCTCTGTTACTGCATAATTTTTGTATTCCTTTAGAGGAATATTTTTTCTTTCTTGTTTCATTCATATTTTTGTGTCTTTACATTAATATTGGCACATCTGGTGTATCAGTTGCTTCTTACAATTTAATGAGTTGACTTTCATGGGGAAATACTTTTCCCTGTAGATGTATTTATAGTATTAGTTGGATAGGATATTTTGGCCTTATTTATTGGTGAGCACAGAATTGTAGTCTCCATAGGATTTCTTTGTCTGTTAGCAGCATCAGTGGTGTTTATGAGTTCCCCAGTAGCTTGGTCTGTGTTTGTTAGTGGAGGCTGTGGTGAGGTTCTGCTAAGGACAAGGATGCCAGGTTTATTGGTCCTTCAGCACCCGTGGTGGTGGTAGTAGGCAGGGCTTGCTGGAGCCTTCAGGTGGCATAGAAAGGCACCAGTGATGGTGGTTTTGAGTGGATTGTTCTTCTGGCATCCAAGTGACATGCTCAGGTGCCAGCAGTGGTGGCAGTTGGTAGACTGGGCCTGTTCTCAGGTTTCCAGATGGTCTGCATGGGCACTGAAGTCAGCAGGTGGGGCAAGCTTGTCCTCAGGCCCCAGGACAGCATGTTATCAGGCCAGTCCTAAGTCCCTCTGAAGGTAGATGCAGGTACACAGTGACCTTGACATTGGAGGGTTCTGGGTTGCTGTCAGTTGCAGCAGACCTGGGTAGGAAGCTTTCAAGCTCTGGGGAGCATTTGTTTGGTTCCCTTCATCCTTGAGGTCACCTTCTTGGTGCACTGCACCACTCATTTCCTGGGCTATAGACACTGAATCAGCTAGAGTGCTGGAGACACAACTACATTCCTGGGTCAATCCTGTTTTGTGACACTGCAGCCCTCTGGGTGGATGTGGGGGTATGTCAATGGGATGATAGGGATGTGGAGATGCTGGAACTGTTGGGATTCAGTTCAGGATCTGAACCTGAATCTGGTGGTTTGGTGGGGCTGGGCTCTCAAAATAGTATAGTGCTGTGTCAGCTTGGGTCTTGGTGGGTGGGGGATGGGGGTGTTTGGGATCCAGCACAAACACCGTCTGTGGAACAATACCAACTTGTGGACTCGAAGCACCTGCCTATACTAATCTCAGAGCCTGTGTGGACTGAGGCACTGTCCCACCGCTAGGACTGTAGCTGTCCACAATAGGAATGTGGATGGCTGGGGATCTTGTTTACCTTTTCTTGCAGTGAGGATTTGCTTCTGGATTTGAGCTTATTATGGCCAGGCTGGCTTCTCTGCTCCTCTGTCTTTCTACATCTCAGAAGTTTTTTTTGTCACTTCTCCAATGAATTCCAGTGCTTGCTCTTAGAACCTCTATTTAATGCCTGGTTATTTACTTGCTCTTTTGGTCTTTTTTGTGCATGAGAAAAGTGCCAGGCTCCCCTACTCAGCCATTTTGAAGCCCCCTCCTATTCCTGATATATCATTTTGATAATTTGATTTATATATACTTTTTAAAAGTGACAACTCATGTCTTTTTTTATTCATACATTTTAAAAATTTATAATGGACCAAAATTTTTACGTGTATATGGGGGTACAGTGTAATGTTTCAACATATGCATATATTGTATAATGATGAAATTAGGGTAATTCCCATATCCATCACTATAAACATTTATCATTTCAGCATGACAATAACATTCAAAATCTGCTCTTCTAGCTGTCTTGGAATATGCACTACATTGTCATTTGGTATAGTCACCCTACTGTGTAATAAAATACCAGAACTTATTCTTCCTGTTTAACTAACTTTTACACATTAACCAACCTCTCCCAGTCTTCCTCTCTCTCTTTCCCTCACCAGCCTCTGGTAACCACTATTCTACTCTCTATTTTTATGAAATCAACTTTTTTTATGAAATCAACTTTTTAAAAATTTCACACGTGAGTGTGATCATGAGGTGTTTGTCTCTGTGTCTGGCTTATTTCACTTAACATAATGTCCTCCTGCTCCATTTATATTGTCAGAAATGATAAGATTGCATTCCTTTTTATGGTGGAATAATATTCCATTTATATATATACCACATTTTAAAAATCAGTTTATCTGTAGATGGGCATTTAGATTAATTTCATGTCTTGGCTATTGTGAATAGTGCTGCAGTAAACATGGGAGTGCAAATATCTCTGTGACATTCTGATTTTTTTTTACAGATATATACCCAGTTGTGGATTGCTAGATCATATAGTAGTCCTATTTTTAGTTTTTTGAGGAAGATTCATATTGTTTTTCATAATGGTTGTGTAATTTACATTTTCACTAAGAATGTTCAAGATATTGCCTTTATCCTCATCTTTTATAGTGTGTAATTTTTTGTCTTTTTGATAATACCCACTTTTTGATCACAAAGAATGAAACAAACACAACCTGAAAAACTCTACACTTTAACTCCCTTCTCCCCAATTTTGACTTTTTGATCTCTAAATTCACATATTTTTATATTACCTATCTCTTAAAAATTGTTGTAGTTATTGTTTTCAATATCTTTGGCTTTTAATCTTTATACCAAAGATATGAATGGTTTACACACCATAGTTACAGTGTTAGAGTGTTCTAAATTTGTTTGTTTACTTTTATACCTTCACATGTGTTCTTGTTGCACATTAGCATTCTTTTCTGTCAGACTGAAAAACTTCTTTTAGCATTTCTTATGGTTTGGTGGTGATGAATTCCCTCCACTTTCATTGGTCTAAGAGTTTTGAATCACTTCTTCATTTTTAAGGATAGTTTTCCTGGGTACAATATTCTTGGTTGAAAGTTTTTTCCTTCAGGACTTGGAATATGTCATTCCAGTCCTTCCTGGTCTTTAAGGTTTCCATAGAGAATTCTGCTGCCAGATGTACTGGCACTCCTTCATATGTTATTTGCTTCTTTTCTCTTACTGCTTTTAGGAGTCTCTATTGTCTTTGACCTATGAGAGTTTGATTATTATATGCGTTGAGGTAGTTTTATTTCGGTTGACTCTTCTTGGTGATCTTTGACCTTCTTGTAACTGGATATTTATATTGAGGTTTGGACAATTTTCCATTATTATTTATTTGAATAACCTTTCTACCCCCTTTCTCTTCCTCTACTCCCTTTGAAGGTCAATGACTCTTACATTTGCTATCTCACTGATCCAATAACTGTTCTTTGTTCTTTTAAATAACTTTTCTACCCCCTTTCTCTTCCTCTACTCCCTTTGAAGGTCAATGACTTGTACATTTGGTATCTCACTGATCCAATAAGTGTTATTTGTTCTTTTAAATTCACTTTTTCTTTTTTCTTCTTGACATATTTTCAAATAGCCTGTGTTTGTGCTCGTGAATTCTTCCTTTTGTTTGATCACTTCTGCTTTCGAGACCCTCTAATACATTTTTCAGTTTATCTATTATTGCTCCAGGAATTCTGCTTGATTTTTAAACTTATTTCAATCTCTTTGTTAAGTATCTCTGATAATTAATTTTCTGAATTGTTTCTCTGTGTTTTCTTGATGTTATTTGAGCTTCCTCAAAACATCTATTTTGCATTCTCTGTGTAAGAGTTTACACATATTTCTCCAGGTTTGGTTACTGGTGCCTTATTTATTATACTTGATGGGATCATATTTTCCTGAATGTTATTAATGCTTGTGGATGTATCTGGGCATTAAATAATTAAGTATTTCTTCTCATCTTTACAGTCTGGCCTTGTTTGTATTGGTCCTTCTTCAGAGGACCTTACAGAAATTCCAAGAGTACTGACTGATGAGTTAAGACCATGGTCACTGCTGCCATTTCAGCACTAGATAGCACCTTAAGCTCAATTACGCTGTGGCTCTCTTGAAGATTCCTATGCATCCAACCCTGATGGACTTGGGGAATATCAGAGACAGTTCTGTGGGTTTCCAAGCCCAAAGTCTCTTGCTCACTTCCTTTTTCTTCCCCTAGCAGAAGGAGTTGCTCTCTATACTGCACTGTCTGGAGTTGCTGGAGAGGTGATACATGCACTTTCATGGCCACTGCAACTGGCAGCATACTGGCTTACACCTGAAGCCCATGGCCTCATAGACCAGCACAGTAATGGTTAGGGTTTGCTCACCTAACACCCACAGTCACTATTACCTGACTGCTGCTGATATTTATTCATGGCCTAAAGCTTCTTTCATCAGCCAGTGGTGAAGCTGGCCAAGGCTTGGCTCTATCCTGCTGGGGTGATGAATTTTCTTCTTAGCTGGGGCAGGTCTAGAAATCTGTGGGCACCAGCCTGGAATCAGGGACCATGGGGTTCAGCCTGGTGCTGTGTTTTACGGTAGTGGGGCTGGTACAGGCTTTTCAGGCAAAGTCCCATGCACACTTCCTTCTCCCTCTCCTAAAAAGACAAATTCACTCTCTATGTGCATTGCTTCAGATTGGGGACGGGATGGTGTAGGCAACGCAAAACTGTCATTCCTATGCTCTTCAATGTGTCTTTTCTTGTTGTTATGCCAAAACCAGTTACTGTGATCTTTTACCTCATTCTTTTAGCTCTTGTGAAGGTGTTTTCTTGCATGGATAATTGTTCACTTCAGTGTCCCTACAGAGGGATGATCACTGGAGGGTTCTATCCCGTGCTCTTACTCTGCCTCCTCTTCCACATCTGATATCTTAAATCGTCACTTTCAAGACAATGTGCACAGCCAAATCAGTAATGAAATCTGGCACATAATAGGTACTCAATAAATCTCAGTTTCTTCCTTGCCTTACAGATGTTTACTACATACAAATATAGTAAAAATGGACTTCCTATGGAACTAGTCAATGAATTCTCTTTATTATTGGTATATGGACATAATAATATATAATTTTGATAAATATACACTTTTTTTCTGAGATCTTCAGGACTAAGCACATTATCATTTGTTTAATAAAATTTTGTGGTTAATTGGGTGCTAATTTTTATTTGAAGTGATGTCTGTCCAAATCTGGGTGCTGATTTTTATTTGGAATAATATCTGCTCAAATCCTTTGCCTATTTTAAAATTGGATTACTGTGTGTGTGTGTGTGTTGCTATTGAATTGTACTTAATTTTGTTTTATTAAGAACATGTATTCCAGTGAATAAAATCACATGACATCCTCAAGTATGATTTTGGCCTCTAAGCACTTATTATAAACATTTGTAACAGCCAATTGAATTTAACATTTTGAAATTAATTTATATCATATAGAAATGTGTTTCCAGAAGTATACTGCCAATGACATTATATGGATTCATCTTTAGGCAATCCAATGGTGTGAAGACTTTTAGCAGTTGCAGTTTGAGGAGCTTTCAAAATTTCATTTCAAATGTGGGTGTCAAATGTCTTCAGAATAAGCCACAAATGCAAAAAAAATCTCCGAAACCAGTCTGTGGCAATGGCAGATTGGAGGGAAATGAAATCTGTGATTGTGGTACTGAGGCTGTAAGTATGATAACTAGGAAAATTGATTAATAAATTTATTGTTTTAATTTATCTTTTTCATAAATGTCATATATCTCAAATGTGAATGAGTACCATGCAGAATGTTGACAGTAAGTGAAGTTGGGTCGAAATACATACAAGAAAATACTGTTTAGATTTTGTAGGTTGAAGAATTTTGAACAAGTTTATAATGTACTGCAAAAAATTATTGGTAATGGGAAACAGGAGAGTCTAGAATAAGCTTTTGAGTTTCAGACTAAATATATAGGGTTCTTTACAAATCTCTGCTTAATCTTTGGACATTTTACAGATGTCTTAATGAAGATTGATTAAGCAGCCCAATGTGTCCTTTAGGTTATTACTTCACAATGGAATCAGTAGTACAGGAATCTGTATCAATATCAATATGAACACTAGATATTTTGATTATTCACTTGATAGGGAAACCCTGAAAATATAATGAATTCAAAAGGCCTAGGGTTTAATGCTTTTATATAATTCAGTATTTGTAGCAGTACTGCAAATGTTATAAATTTCCTTGGTTACAAGGTAGACAGAAATTTATTAGGGTCTGTTACATCCATAGGTCTGAATTACTTGAACCATATCACATTATTTTAATTACTGTGTTTTTGTATTATGTTTAACTATTTGGTAGAACAAGTCATCTTTCTTTATTTTTTATTTTATTTTAATTAATTTATTTTTTGAGATGGAGTTTTGCTCTTGTTGCCCAGGCTGGAGTGCAATGGAGCAATCTCGGCTCACTTCAACCTCCGCCTCCTGGGTTCAAGCGGTTCTCCTGCCTCAGCCTCCCAAGTAGCTGGGATTACAGGTGCCTGCCATCATGCCTGGCTAAGTTTGTATTTTTAGTAGAGACGGTTTCATCACGTTGGTCAGGCTGGTCTCAAACTCCTGACCTCAAGTAATCCACCTGCCTCGGCCTCCCAAAGTGCTGGGATTGCAGGCATGAGCTACCACACCTGGTTCTTGATTTTTTTTAAAAAAATCAATCTTATTGGGGTATAATCCACATACAATAAAATGCACCCATTTTAAGTGTACGGGTTGATGAGTTTCAACAAATGTATATAACTATTGGTAAAATTAAGATGTATATTTTCATCATCCCCAAAAGCTTATTCATATTTGCAGTCATTTCTACCTCCACCTGTCTCCAGATAATTTCTGATTCTGTTACCTTTGCCTGGTCTAGAAAGTCATATAAATGAAATGAGACAGCACATATTTTTTTATGTCTGGCTTTTTCCTTTCAATATAGTGTTTTTGAGATTCATCCATTTATTTCATATCACAATAGTTTCTCCCTTTTAATTTTGAGTAATATTTAATTGTGTGGATATATCACAATCTGTTTTAACCATTCACCTGCTAATGGACATTTAAGTTGTTAAACTATTGGTCCATTATTCTTAATTTGTAGAAGTACAACTTCTAGGTCATATGATATGTGTATGTTTATAAGAAATTGCCAAAATATTTTCCAAAATGGTTGTATCTTTTTACACTCCTGTCAGCAGCATATGAAACTTTGAGTTCCTTCATATCTGCACTAGAATTTGTTATTATCCACTTCTTAAATTTTAGCTATTCCAGTGGTTTTGTAGTGGTTTAAATTTGCATTTTCTTGATTACTTTAATGATGTTGAGCATGCTCTTACTGGCGATTTTTTAAAAACAATTATTTTCAATGGACAAATAATAATTGTGTATATTTCTGGGATACAGTGCAGTTTGGATATACATTTACTTTCTGTAATGATTAAGTCAAGGTTATTAACAAATCCATCACCTCACATACTTATTATTTTTTTTGTGGAGAAAACATTTAAAATTTACTTTTTAAGCAATTTTTTGATATATAATAGTTGTATACATTTTGGGGGTACATGTTATATTTTGATACCTGTATAGAATGCGTAATGATCAAATCAGGGTAATTTGAGTATGTACCACCTCATATATTTATATTTTATTTGTGCTGGGAATATTATAATTCTTCCCTTCTAGCTATTTTGAAGTATACAATAAATTATTAACTATAATTTCCCTACTGTACTATTGAGTGCTAGCACTAATCCCTTCCATTTACCTGTATTTTAGATCCCTTAACCAACTTTTCTTTTCTTTTGTCTATATCTTTTTAAAAAATTTCTAATTTTTGTGGGTAGTAGATGTGTATATTTATACATACATCTATTGCACATACATCTACCATATATTTATGGGTTACATGAGATATTTTGATACAGGCATGCTATGCATAATAATCACATGAAGGTAAATGAGGTATTCATTCCCTCAAACTTTATTTTTTTGTGTTACAAACAATCCAATTATACTCTTTTACTCATTTAAAAATGTACAACTAGATTATTTTTGACTGCAGACACTTTGTTGTGCTATGAAATGCTAGCTCTTATTCATTCTTTGAAACTAATTTTTCATACCCATTAACCATCCTTACTCCCTTGTCCCCTCCCCACCTGCCCAACTACCCTTCCCAGCCTCTGGTAACCATCCTTTTACTGTCTATCTCCATGAGTTCAATTGTTTTAATTTTTAGCTCCCACAAATAAGTGGGAACATGCAGTGTTTGTCTTTCTCTGCCTGGCTTATTTCACTTAATATAATGACCTCTAGTTCCATCCATGTTGCAAATGACTGAATCTCATTCTTTTTTATGGGTGAATAGTACTCCATTGTGTATATGTACCACATTTCCTTTATCCATTCATCTGTAGATGGACAGTTAGACTGCTTCCAAATCCTGGCTATTGAGAATAGTGCTGCAGTAAACATGGGCATGCAGATATCTCTTCGACGTAATGATTTCCATTCTTTTGGGTACATACCTAGGAGTGGGATTGCTAGATCATATGGTAGCTCTATTTTTAGTTTTCTGAGGAACCTCCAAACTGTTATACATAGTGATTGTACTAATTTATACTCCCACCAACAGTGTACAAGTATTCCCTTTTCTCCATATCTTCACTAGCATTTGTTATTGCCTGCCTTTTGAATAAAAGCCATTTTAAATGAGATGAGATGATATCTCATTGTAGTTTTGATTTGCAATTCTCTGTTACTCATTGATGTTGAACCCCTTTTCATATACCTGTTTGCCATTTGTATGTCTTCTTTTGAGAAATGTCTATTCAGACATTTTGCCCACCTTTAAATCAGATTATTAGATTTTTTCCTATAGAGTTGTTTGAGCTCCTTTTATGTTCTGGATATTAATCCCTTGTTGGATGGGTAGTTTGCAGATATTTCCTCCCATTCTGTGGGTTGTGTCTTCACTTTGTTGATTGCTTTCTTTGCTATGCAGAAGGCTTTTAACATGATGTGATCCCATTTATTCATGTTTCGTTTGGTTTTGTGTGCTTGTGGGGTATTACTCAAGAAATCTTTGTCCAGTCCAATGTCCTGGAGACTTTCTCTAATGTTTTCTTGTAGTAGTTTCATAGTTTGAGGTGTTAGATTTAAGTCTTTACTACATTTTCATTTGATTTTTGTATATGGTGAGAGGGAGGGGTCTAGTTTCATTGTCATGCATGTGGATATCCAGTTTTCTCAGCATCATTTATTGAAGAGACTGTTCTTTCCCAAGTGTATGTTCTGGGCACCTTTGTCAAAAATGAGTTCACTGTAGATTAATGGGTTTGTTTCTGGTTTCTCTATTCTGTTCCACTGGTCTATATTTCTGTACCATATCATTTTGATTAGTATACCTCTGTAGTATAATTTGATATCAGGTAATGTGATTCCTCCAGTTTTGTTCTTTTTGCTCAGGATAGCTTTAGCTATTCTGGGTCTTTTGTGATTCCATATAAATTTTAGGATTTTTTTTTCTATTTCTGTGAGGAATGTCACTGGTATTTTGATAGAGATTGCATTGAATTTGTAGATTTCTTTGGGTAGTGTGGCTATTTCAACAATATTGGTTCTTCTAATCCATGAACATGGAATATTTTTTCATTTTTGGTGTTCTCAATTTCTTGCATCAATGTTTTATAGTTTTCATTGTAGAGATCTTTCACTTATTTGATTAAACTAATTCCTAGACATTTTATTTCATTTATAGTTATTGTAAATGGGATTACTTTCTTGATTTTCAGATTGTTCACTGTTACCATATAGAAATGTTTTTCTTCTTTTTTGATATAAGTGCGTAGAGCTATAAACATACCTTTTAGTACTGTTTTGCTCTATCCCATAGGTTTTGGTATGTTGTATTTCCATTATCATTTGTTTCAAGAAATTTTTAAATTTCCTTGTTAATCTCCTCATTGACCCACTGTGAATTCAGGAGCATATTGTTTAATTTCCATGTATTTGTAATAGTTTTCAAAATTCCTCTTGTTATTCGTTTCTTGTTTTATTGCATTGTGGTCAGAGAAGATGCTTGATATTATTTAATTTTTTTGAATGCTTGAAGATTTCTTTTGTGACCTAACATATGGTCTGTCTATACTTGAGAATGATTCATGTTCTGAAGAAAAGAATGTGTGTTTTTCAGCTGTTGGATGAAATGTTCTGTAAATATCTATTAGATTCATTTTATCTATAGTGCAGATTAAGTTTGATGTTTCTTTATTGATTTTATTGATTTTCTGTCTGGAAGGTCTGCTGAGTGCTAAAAGTGGGATGTCAAAGTCTCCAGCTGTTATTGTATTGGGGTCTAGCTCTCTCTTTAGCTCTAATAATATTTGCTTTATATATCTGGGTGCTCCAGTGTTGGGTGCATATGTATTTACAATTGTTATATACTCTTGCTGAAATGACCCCTTTGTCATTATATAATGACCTTCTTTGTCTCTTATAGTTTTTGTCTTGAAATGTGTTTTGTCGGATATGAGTCTAGCTACTCCTGCTCTTTGTTTAGTTTCCATTGGCAAAGGATCCCTTTCCATCCATTTATTTTCAGTCTGTGTATGCCTTTATAGGTGAAGTGTATTTATTGTAAGCAACAGATCATTAATTTCTTTTGTTTTTAAAATTCGTTCAGCCACTCTTTGATTTTTGATTGGAGCATTTAGTTGATTTACATTCCATGTTATTATTGATAAATAAGAACTTCCTCCTGCCCTTTTGTTATTTGTCTTTCTTCTTCCTTTCCTTTCCCCTTTCTCCTCTTTCCTTTCCTTCCCTTCCCTTTCTGTTTCCTTCATCTTCCTCTTTCCTTCATCTTCATTTTAGTAAAGGTGATTTTCCTCTGGTGATATGATTTAATTTCTTGCTTTTTATTTTCTGTGTATCTGTTATATGTTTTTAGATTTGAGGTTAGCATGAGACTAGCAAATACTATCTTCTAGCCCATTATTTTAAGCTGATAGCAATTTAACACTGTGCACAAACAAACAAGCAAAAAGAAGGCTAATAAAAACTCTGATTTTACTTCCTCCCCCTGCTTTTCAACTTTTTGTTTTTTCTATTTATATATATCGTACTGACTATGTCTTGAAAAGTTGTAGTTATTATTTTGATTGGTTCATCATCTAGTCTTTCTGCTTAGAATAAGAGTAGTTTTATGCACCCCAGTTAAAGTGTTATAATAATAAAGTGTTTTTCTTTGTAGGTACTCTTACCAGTGAGTTTTGTACCTTCAGATGATTTATTATCACTCGTTAACGTCCTTTTTCTTTCTGATTAAATAATTCCCTTGTACATTTCTTGCAGGACAGGTCTGGTGTTGATGAAATCCCTCAGCTTTTGTTTCTCTGGGAAAGTCTTTATTTCTCCATTATGTTTAAAGAATATATATATATATTTTTTTACCAGATATGCTATCCTAAGGCAAAAGTTTTCTTTTTCCAGCACTTTTAAATATGTCATGCCACTCTCTCCTGACCTGTAAGGTTTCTGCTGAAAAGTCTGCTGCCAGACATATTGAATCTCCATTGTATATTATTTGTTCCTTTTCTCTTGCTGCTTTTAGGATCCTTTATCTTCGACCTTTAGGAGTTTGATTATTAAATGCTTTGAGGTAGTTTTCTTTGGGTTAAATCTGCTTGGTGTTCTATAACCTTCTTGTACTTGGATATTGATATCTTTCTCTAGGTTTGGGTAGTTATGTTATTATATTTTTGAAAAAAGCTTTCTACCCCCATCTCTTTATCTACCTCCTCTTTAAGGCCAATAACTCCTAGATTGGTCCCTTTGAGGCTATTTTGTAGATCTTGTAGATATGCTTTATTCTTTTTTATTCTTTTTTTATTTGTCTCCTCTGTGGATTTTCAAATAGCCTTTCTTCAAGCTCACTAATTCTTTCTTCTGCGTGGTCAGTTCTGCTATTAAGAGACTCTGATGCATTCTTCAGTAGGTCAATTGTGTCTTTCAACTGCAGAATTTCTGCTTGATTTTTTAAATAATTTCAATTTACTTTTAAAATTTATCTGATAGAATTTTGAATTCCTTCTCTGTGTTGTCTTGAATGTCTTTGAGTTTCCTCAAAATAGCTATGTTGAATTCTCTGTCTGAAAGGTCACATATCTCTGTTTCTCCAGGATTGGTCCTTGATGTCTTATTTAGTTCATTTGGTGAAGTCAGATTTTCCTGGATGGTCTTGATGCTTGTGGATGTTCTTTGGTTTCTGGGCATTGAAGAGTTAGGTATTTATTATAGTCTTTGCCATCTAGGCTTATTTGTAGCCATCCTCCTTGGGAAGGTTTTCCAGAGTATTTGAAAGGACTTAAGTGCTGTGATTTAAGCCATATTTGCATTAGGGGTCACCCCAACCTCAGTAATGGTGTGGTTTTTTGCAGACTCTTAGAGGTACTGTCTTGGTGGTCTTGGATAATATCCAGAAGAATTCTCTGGATTACCAGGCAGAGACACTTATTTTCTTTCCTTACTTTCTCTCAAACAAATGGAATTTCTCTTTCTTTCTGTGCTGACTGTCTGGAGCTGGGGTTGGAGAGACACATTCCTGTGGCCACCACCACTTAGATTGTGCTGGATCAGACCTGAAGTCAGCATGGCACTGGGTCTCACGCAAGGCTTGCTGAAACCACTACCTGACTACTGACTATGTTCACTCAAGGCCCTGGAGCTCCACGATCAGCAGGTGGCAAAGCCAACCAGGCTTGTGTCCTCCCCTTTAGGGAGCAAGTTCTCACAGCCCCTGGGCAGGTGCAGAGATGCCATCCTGGAGCCAGGGATTGGAGTCAGAAACCTTAGAAATACACCTGGTGTTCTGTTCTACTGTGGCTGATCTGGCATTCCAACCACTTGACACAGTCCTTCCTACTCTTACTTTTTTTCCCATAGGCTAAGGACCCTCACCCTATGGCCTCTGCCACCACAGGCCCACAGGGAGTAATGCCAGGCCACCACTGATGTTGAGTTTAGGCCCAGTGATTCCTTAGTCAGCTTGTTGTGGGTGTGCAAGGCCTGGGACTCACTCTTCAGGGCAGTGGGCTCCCCTCTGTCCCAGGACAGGTCCAGAAGTGCTATCTAAGAGAAAAGTCCTGGAATAAGGGAACCCAAGAGCCCTCTTGGTGCTCTACCCCACTGTGGTAGAGCATGTACCTGAAGTCAGCATGACTAAGTTCTACTCCAGGCCTACAGCATACTACCTGGGTATCACTGTTCATTCTTTAGGGCCCAAGGGCTGTTTAGTGAGTAGGTGATTGATCCTTCCCGGATGGGGTCCTTCCATTCAAGGCAGCAGGTTCCCTTCTGGCCAGGGTGTGTTTAGAAATATCTAGGAACTAGGACCTGGAATGGGGACTTCACCACCCTGATCAGTGCCCTATCTTATTGTGGCTGATCTGGTATCCAAGATGCAAGACAAAGTCTTCTTTACTCTTCCCTTTTCTCTCAACCAGAAGGACGGGGTCTTTTTGGCGCTGTGCACTCTGCTGCCTGAGGCTGGGGGAAGGATGGCACAAGTGTTCTCTTAGCTTCCCTGGCTGGTGTCTCTACAGGTCACTTGCCCCTGCAGTCTGGCTTAGAGCCCAGCTCACCACTAGGACTTGCCTAGTCATTGCAGTCCTTGTGTCATAGATTGCCCCTCAAGTTCACTTAGGGCCCCAGAGTACTCCAGCCCATGGTGGTGAGGCTTGCTGGAACTCAAGCTCTGACTGATCAGAAGGATGATTCCCCTCTGGCTAGGGCTGGTTTATATGCCCCCTCTATGGATGGGTGTCAGCTGAGTATAGCCTGATTCTGCTTTACACTGTGTCAGGGCAACATTGAATTCAATGCAAAGCCTCATAGACACTGTGCTCTCCTCCCTGAGTCACACAGATTCTCCGCACCATGAAGCTGCTGCTGGGGGATAAGGGATGGTTGCTGTTGACAATTCAAGACATTCTTTCCCACCCTCTTTGGTGCCTCTTTCAGCAACATGAAGTCATTCAAGAGCAAGTTGTTTAATTTCCATGTAATTGTGTGGTTTTTGAGATATCTTCTTGGTATTGATTTCTATTTTTATTTCACTGTGGCTTGAGTGTATGGTTGGTATAATTTCAATTTTTAAAAGATTTATTTAGACTTGGTTTATGGTTGAGCATGTGGTTGATCTTAGAGTATGTTCTGTGCACGGCTAAGAAAAATGTATATGCTATTGTTGAAATGTGGAGTACTTTGTAAGTGTGTATTAGTATTAGGTCCAATTGGTCAAGTGTTAAATTACATTCAGAATTTCTTTTTTAGTTTTCTGTCTTGGTGATCTGTCTAACACTGTCAGTGGGGTATTAAAGTTCTCCACTATTATTGTGTGACTAAGTGTTTTTGTAGGTTTAGAAGTAGTTAGAATCTAGGTTCTACAGTGTTCAGTGCATATATATTTGGTACCATTAAGTCTTCTTGTTGAATTGAACTCTTTATCATTATGTGATGTCATTATTTATCTTTTATTACTGTTTTTGGTCCAAAGTTTGTGTTATCTACTATAAAAATATTGACTTCTGCTCTTTTTTGTTTTCCATTTGCATGATAGATCTTTCTGCAACCCTTTACTATTAGCCTACTGGCTTTGTTACATATAAGATGGATCTCTTGAAGACAGCAGATGGATGGGTTTTGTTTTTTTATTCAACTTGCACTTAGAGTCTCTTACTTATTTCTGCTTGGATCTATATTATTTCTTTTGTTCCACTAATTTTAGGTTTAGTTTCTTCTTGCCTTTCTAGTTCCTTGAGGTGCATCATTAGGTTGCTAATTTGAAAATTTTCTCCTTTTTTGATGTAGGCATTTATTCTTATAAACTACCATCTTAGTATTGCTTTTGCTGTATCTCATAGGTTTTGTTATGCTGTGTTTCTATTTCATTTGTTTCAAACAATTTTTTATTTTTATTCTTTATTTCTTCATTGACTATTGATCATTCAGGAGCATGTTGTTTAATTTCTGTGTGCTTGTGTAGTTTTCTAAGTTCTTGTTATTGATTTCTAGTTTTATTCCCTTATGATCAGAAAAGATACTTCATATGATTTTAATTGTTTTTTGAATTTGTTGAGATCTGTTTTTTAGCTTAGCATATGGTCTATTCTGAAGAATGTTTCACTTGCTAATGAAAATAATATGTATTCTATAGCTGTTTGAAGAAATGTTGTGTTAGGTCCATTTGGTCTAGAGTGTGGTTTAACTCTGATGTCTGTGTTGATTTTTTCTTTTTTGGTCTGGGTGATCTTTCCATTACTGAGTGAGGTGTTGAATTGTCCAGGTATTATTGTAATTTATTCTTTCTTTCTCTTTATGTCTATTAATGTTTGCTTTATATATTTGGGTTCACCAGTGTTGGGTGCACTGTATTTAGAATTATTATATTCTCTTGCTAAATGGACTACTTTAGTAGTATATGGGGACCACCTTTGTTTCTTTTTACAGTCTTTGACTTGAAGTCTATTTTATCTAATATAAATATAGCTATTCCTGCTCTTTTGTGTTTCCATGTGCATGTAATATATTTTTCCATGCCTTTATTTTCAGTCTATGTGTCTTCATACATGATGTATTTTTATAGGTAGCATATAGTGAGGTCTCGCTTTTTATCCATTCTGACATTCTCCATGTCTTTTAAGTAGAGAATATAGTCCAGAGGAAGGTAAGTAGGTTACTAGTTACTCTCTTGTGACTGGTAGTAAAAGTCCTACATTAGTGTTTTAAATATTTAAAGATGTTAAAACCTGTAACTATCAGCAGCATTCATATCCTTTTCCAAATTCAAACAGTAAGCCCATCAAAATATAACTCCTAGTAAAGATTTTACTATTGTCATGATGTATTTTTACTTGTACATTTCACTAATTCATAGCAATGTGGACCTGCAAGCTGTTGTGATTTTCGAACTTGTGTACTGAAAGACGGAGCAAAATGTTATAAAGGACTGTGCTGCAAAGACTGTCAAGTAAGATTTAAGCTTATGAACATCTTTCAAATATATAACAAATCATGTGCAGGGTACTTTACAACACAGACCTACAGCTGTAATTACATCAATTAAATTACTTTTCAGATAAAGAGAAAGATAATAAATTCAGAATCAGATTTCTGATTTTTATTAACTTTTCTTAGGTGTTCTATATGCCAATATTTTCACTAAGTTGATGCTGTTTTTTTAAGCCTTGATTTAGAGATATTATTGGATTCTTCAATACGGAAGACCTCTATTGAATGGAACAATTATTTATTTGCATGATACAATATTTATATTATTGTAAATAAAAACGTTTTTATGGGTTGTGAATAAGTATCTATTTATGTGTAATTGAAAGATATAGCAGATTTCCTTAAATGTATAAGGAAGGAAACTCACTAGAAGTAACATTTTCCACATGGTACATGTAGCATAACATTTAAACTTTGAACTTATTATTCAAAGATCATTTGACTTAAAGATTATGTTTTAGTTTATACAGTGAAGACATTGACTCCTGTTTTCTGTTTTTCTTTTCAGCTCTTCTAAAATATTATTAACAGGTTTCTCATAAGAGAATACCTCTGTTGAATTATCCGTAATGCAGTCTACCTTCATGACTGTCCTGGACTGATGCAGTTTTATGTATTCTTTCCTTAGGATGTTATTATCTGATTGCATTCTTACTTCTGTAATCTTTTTAGTGTCAGCTGGAAGTCATCAATTAAGAATTATGAGATAGATGTTTTATTTGAGATTCTTTTTGTAAATTTCCACAATTCTATGTATGAAAGAGTCTACGTATTTCCATGATTTGAGAGAAAGATTCTAGTTGTGTTCCTTCCTCTCCAAAGACTCTCATAGTTGAACTGCATTTTTAATAACACTTCTGTTTCCCTCTGCAGTTTTTTATGTTTCACAGTTGTCATAGAATTTTAAAGTATTCCACACTTAAAAACCATGGCTTGAAAAAGTATATTTCATTTAGAAATGGACTAAATTACATTATTTTCACCCAAAAGAAATAAATTTCCTAAGCTTAAAGTGAACATTCTTCTCTTACATTGAGACTACAAATAAAACTTTGGCTTTCATCACATCAGATTTTTGTTTTGCATTTTCTTGTACATATGTCTTATCTCCTATTTTAGTCAATAACATTCCATTTATATTTTTATATTATTAGCATAGTAATTTGTACAAAAAAGTATTAATATACATTAATGGATAGACTAAAGCGAAAATGATTAACACAATTTTGAAGTAAATATTAACAAACAGTAATCCTATTTGTAATGCTTTATTTTTTATGTTCTAACTTCTCTTAGATTTTACAATCAGGCGTTGAATGTAGGCCGAAAGCACATCCTGAATGTGACATCGCTGAAAATTGTAATGGAACCTCACCAGAATGTGGTCCTGACATAACTTTAATCAATGGACTTTCATGCAAAAATAATAAGTTTATTTGTTATGACGGAGACTGCCATGATCTCGATGCACGTTGTGAGAGTGTATTTGGAAAAGGTAATATCTTTTTGTTACATCTCAATAGCCCTTAACATTGTTATTAACATTACCAGGATAATGGGGTATATTTTCATATATATAAAATGTGGAATGTTTTATATAGTATAAAATGTGGAATATTGTTTATATATATTTTATTATATATATAAGCAGAATGTTTTATATAGTATAAAATGTGGAATATATATATTTTATTATATGTATAAGCAAACATATACGCGCTAATTCTTCTTGTTAATGTTTATATTTTTTCCATCTTTGCTGACGTATAATTGACAAAAATTGTATGTATGTTTTTAGGTGTATGATTTTGTTTTGATATATGTATACATTGTGAAATATTTGCCACAGTTAAGTTGATTAACATGTCCATCATCTCATATAGTTACCATTTTTTTTTATCCTTTAAAAGAATTTTTGTATCTATCCTTTTTGCAGATTTCAAATATATAATAGAATGTCGTTTACTAAAGTCACATTGTTGTACATTACATCTCTTGAACTTATTTATTTTGCATAACTAAAATTTTGTACCCCTTGACTAGCATTTTGCCATTTCTCCCCTTACCTCAGCCTCTTGCAACCATCATTCTACTCTCTGCATTTTTGAGTTTGACAATTTTAGATTGTATATATAAGTGAGATCATGCGTTATTTACCTCTCTGTATCTAGCTTATTTCACTTAGCATAATGGCCTCCAGGTTCATCTGTGTTACTGCAAATGGCAGGATTTTCCTCCTTACTCTGACTGAATAATATTGCATTTTGTGTGTTTGTGTATATGTATATATCTATATAAACACAGACATATATATATCATATTTTTAATACATTTATCTGTTTACCTAAGCTAAAAGTGAACTTTCTTCTCTTATACTCAGAACACAAATAAAACTCTGACTTTCATTCCATCAGATTGTGCTATACTTTTTCAATCAAATAGACACTGGTTGTTTCCAAATCTTGGTTATTATGAATAATGTAGCAATAAACATGGGGGTGCACATATCTCTTTTGCAATATTGATTCATTTCCTTTGAATCTATACTCAGTTGGGATTGGTGAATCATAAGGTAGTTCTACTTTTGATTTCTAAGGATGTTCCATATTGTTTTCCTTAGCAGCTGTACCAACTTATATTCCCACTGACAGTGTATGAGGGTTTCTTTTCTCCACATCTTCACCAACATTTGTTATCTTTTATCTTTTTGACAATAATCATTCTAACAGATGTGAAGTGGTATCTCATTGTGGTTCTGTGATTAGTGATGAGCATCTTTTCATATATGTCTTGATGAGTTGTATGTATTCTCTGGAGAAATGTTTATTCAATCTTTTCTCCATTTTTGATTGGGCTTTTTTTTTGCTACTGAGTTTTATGAGTTACTGATATATTTTGGAAATGAATTCCTTATTATATATATGATCTGCAAATACTTTATCTTATTTTATAAAAGTTGGCTTTTCACTATGTTGATTTTTTCCTTTGTTGTGCAAAAGATTTTTAGGATGCTGGTCTTCATCCCCTCACAAAAAACAAAAAATAGAAAACTATTTATGAAGGATAATAGTCTTGTGAAGGCTCCAAGGTCCATCTAAGAACCCTCTGGCAGCACGGCAGAGAAAAAAATGGGAAAAACTGTAAAGAAGGATTGCTGATTACAGCAGCATATCTGAGATATATGGAGGTGGTTATGAACAAAGAAGGGAGGAAGCTATCAGTATTAGCCACTCAGCATGTGCCATTGTCATCTCCAGTGGCCTCTGCAGAGGACAGAGGCGTCTTTTATCACTGAGGTAACCAACAGTCATCCCTGCCTCTGGCTCCATGGAAAATGAGATCCAAATGTGCCTTTCCTCCAAGAATCAGCTACTATTTTATAGCTCTGGGACTTGAGTGACTACCCCTCCCAACCCTGTGCACACCCCTGACCCTGGAGCTGTGGCTCTTGTCTGCACTGTGTGCACTCATACGTCAGTCTCAGAGACAGTGCAGCTATGTGTGAGTCTTCACACTGAACCTAGGAACTTTTGTTGCTCTACACCCACATGTGCTTGAGACGCTGACTCTCCATCTGCTCCACAAACACCCACTCTACTTCATACATCATTACTTATGTGGAAGCAGGGCTGTCTTCACCCTAGGCACCAGTGTGACTGCTGCCCTGTACCCTTTGGTCTCTTCATGTGTGTTTGTGATTCAGACCCTGGCTCTGTGGCTACTGCATGGTCACTGTGCATCAGACATCAGTGAGGGAATGCCCTCAAACCAGACCTTGTGCCAAATGAAATTGCCCGGGGCCATGACCTCCCTGGTGGGAGAAAAAGAGATTGAGGGCCCCAGGATCTTTCACCATTGAAAACCCAACAGTCTCACTGCCCCTGCAGATACCACAGCTTTAGCTGCTCAGGACCCCCTGGAATCTTTGTTAATGTTGACCTCAGCTGACAGAAATGCATGGAGGGTACACTGCTCTGTCTTCACCAAAGCTGGAACCATCCAACTCTACCCTTCTAACAGCCTTTTTCCCACCCATGGAGTAAGATTTTTTTTTTTAAATCAGTGAAAGCATTCTGTAAAGTTTCAAAATGGTGACTGCTCCATCGAATTTGAAGGTATCAATGCAATACAATAAGAAACATGAAAAACTGGGGAAACTTATCACCATTAAATGACACAATAATTTTCTAATAACTGATCCCAGAGAAATAAAGATCTTCAAATTGCCTGAACAAGATTCAAAATAATTGTTCTAAGGATACTCAGCAAACTTCAAAAGAACACAGAGAAACAACATACATTTTTATAAAAAAAAATCAAATTATTGGGCTGAAGAACACAATGAATAACATTAAAATGCAATAGATAATATCAACAACAGAATTCACAAAGCAAAAGAAAGATCTGTGAACTTGCAAA
This sequence comes from Homo sapiens, assembly GCF_000001405.40. Taxonomy (NCBI): domain Eukaryota; kingdom Metazoa; phylum Chordata; class Mammalia; order Primates; family Hominidae; genus Homo; species Homo sapiens. Next base: position 39,226,163 of record NC_000008.11, read on the forward strand.
CAGATTACTTGTATATATACAACTAGAGGAGAAATAAGAAAAAAGAATGAAAAGGAATGAAGAAACAAACACTATGGGATTTTGAAACAGCATCAAGAAAGCTAACATTCTCATTATAAGAGGTAAAAAAGGAGAAGAGAGACAAGGACAGAAAGCTTATTTAAAATAATAATAACTGAAAACTTCCAAAATCTTAGGAAAGATATAAGTGTGCAGGTACAGGAAGCTCAAAATCCTTCAGTCAGGTTTAATCCAAAGAAGATTATACCAAGCTCAAAATTCTTCAGTCAGGTTTAATTTGAACAAGACTACACCAAGACATATTATAATAAAACCGTCAATAAATATAATGACATTTTGAAAGAAGCAAGAGAAAAAAAAAGATTAAGTAACATAATCCAACATGTAAGTTGGATTTTCTCAGCAGATACTTTGTCAGTGAGGAGAGTGGAATGATATCGTGCTGAAAGAAAAAAAAAAAGTCAATCAAGAATACTTTATCTGGCAAAGCTCTTCTTCGGAAATAAAGGAAAGATAAAACTTTCTAAGACAAACAAAAGCTCAAGGAGTTCATTGCCACTCAATCTATCTTACAACAAATGTCAATAGGAGTTCTTCCATGTAAACAAAAAGACTAATATGTAGTATGGAAATATATAAAAATATAACGTTCACTGGTAAAAGTAAGTATATAGTCAAATTCAGAATACCAAATACCGAAATGGCGATGTGTCTCTAGTATAAAGGTTAAAAGACAAAACTACTGAAATAATTATTACTATAATAATTTGTTAAGGAACATGCAACATAAAAACTTATAAATTGAGATGGATCATCATGGCGGATGGGAGGCAGGACTAGATTACAGCTCCGGAAGGGACAGGGTGTGGTGGCTCACATTGTGAATTTTAGCTCCAAATCAACTGCAAGAACAAACCAACAATCCTGAGAGGACCCACAGACCCTCTAAAGGAAGTGGACTGCTCCTGCAGGACCTGGGAGATACCCCAAATACCATGAGTGCCCCAACTGTGGAAGTGGGAAAGGGGGACCCTCCCTTCCTCCTCTCCTGAACACACACCCCCACTGGAGAAACTGAAGGTCTGTTTGAGGGAGAAGTTTCCGACCTTACCTGGAGCTGAGTCAATTTAGAGAGCTGGGCAAAATACAGGGGTAGATGAAGCAGGAGAAAGACCGTGGGAGTTCTCTGGGTCCCCAGGCAGACCATTCCTGCCTGGCACCACAGGGATCTATCTGGAGGACGGCCAGAGGAGCATGGGGTAAAACTTCACAGGGAGAAGGAAACAGACTCGGGGCTGTTAAATTGGGGCACGGTGGGAGTGAGACAGGCCCTTCAGTTTGCATGGGAGCTGACTGAGGCCTGTGATTGCCAGCTTTCCCCCACTTCCGTGACAACCTGCATGACTCAGCAGAGGCAGCCATAATCCTCCTAGGTACACAACTCCAGTGACCTGGGAATCTCACCCCCACCCCACACAGCAGCCACAGCAGGACCCGACTAAGGAGAGTCTGAGCTCAGACATGCCTAGTCCTGCCCCCACCTGATGGTCTTCCTTACCCATTCTGGTCACTGAAGACAAAGGGCATATGCTCTTGGGAGTTCTAGGGCCCCACCCACCACTGGTCCCTCTCCATACTACCACAGCTGATGCTCTCTGGAAAGGACCACCTCCTGGCAGGAGGCCAACCAGCACAAAAATAGGGCATTAAGCCACCAAAGCTAAGAACCCTCATGGAGTCCATTACGCCCTCCGCTGCCTCCACCAGAACAGTCGCTGGTATCCATGGCTGAGAGACCCCTAGACAGTTCACATTAGAAGACTCTGTGCAGACACCCACCAGTACCAGCCTGGAGCTGGGTAGACTCGCTGGATGGCTAGACCCAGAAGAGAGACAACAATCACTGCAGTTCGGCTCATAGGAAGCCACATCCATAGGAAAACGGGGAGAGTACTACATCAAGGGAACACCCCATGGGACAAAAGAATCTGAACAAAAGCCTTCAGCCCTAGACCTTCCCTCTGACAGAGGCTACTCAAATGAGAAGGAACCAGAAAACCAATCCTGGTAATATGACAAAACAAGGCTCTTTAACATCCCCCCAAAATCACACTAGTTCACGAGCAATGGATTAAAACCAAGAAGAAACCCTTGATTTACCTGAAAAAGAAATCAGGAGGTTAGCTATTAAGCTAATCAGGGAGGCAATGGAGAAAGGAGAAGCCGAATGCAAGGAAATCCAAAAAATGATACAAGAAGTGAAGGGAGAATTATTCAAGGAAATAGGTAGCTTAAAGAAAAAACATAAAAAATTCTGGGAATTTTGGACACACTGTTAGAAATGCAAAATCCTCTGGAAAGTCTTAGCAATAGAACTGAACAAGTAGAAGAAAGAAATTCAGAGCTCAAAGATATGGTCTTTGAAATAACCTAATCCAACAAAGACAAGGGAAAAAGAATAAGAAAATATGAACAAAGCCTCCAAGAAGTCTGGGATTTTGTTAAATGATCAAGCCTAAGAATAATTGGGGCTCCTGAGTAAGAAGAGAATTCTAAAAGCTTGGAAAACATATTTGGGGGAATAATGGAGGAAAACTTCCCTGGCCTTGCTAGAGACCTAGACATCCAAATACAAGAAGCACAAGGAACACCTGGGAAATTCATTACAAAAAGATCATTGCCTAGGCACATTGTCATCAGGTTTTCCAAAGTTAAGATGAAGGAAAGAATCTTAAGAGCTGTGAGACAGAAGTACCAGGTAACCTAAAAAGGAAGACCTATCAGATTATCAGCAGATTTCTCAGCAGAAACCCTACAAGCTAGAAGGGACTGGGGCCCTATCTTCAGCTTCCTCAGACAAAACAATTATCAGCCAAGAATTTTGTATCCAGTGAAACTAAGCATCATATGTGAAGGAAAGATACAGTCTTTTCAGACACACAAATGCTGAGAGAATTCGCCATTACCAAGCCACCACTACAAGAACTGCTAAAAGGAGCTCTAAATCTTGAAGCAGATCCTGGAAACATATCAAAACAAAAACTCTTTAAAGAATAAATCACACAGGACCTATAAAACAAAAATATAAGTTAAAAAGCAAAAACAAAAAACCCAAAGCACAGAGGCAACAAAGAGGATGATGAATTCAATGGTACCTCACATTTCAATACTAACAGTGAATGTAAATGGCCTAAATGCTCCACTTAAAAGATACAGAACTGCAGAATGTATAAAAACTCATCAATCAACTATTTGCTGCCTTTAGGAGACTCACCTAACACATAAGAACTCATATACACTTAAAGTAAAGGGGTGGAAAAAGGCATTTCATGCAAATGGACACCAAAAGTGAGCAGGGGTAGCTATTCTTATATCAGACAAAACAAACTTTAAAGCAACAGCATTTAAAAGAGACAAAGAGGGACATTATATAATGGTAAAAGGCCTTGTCCAAGAGGAAAATATCACAATCCTAAACATATATGCACCTATCACTGGAGTTCCCAAATTTATAAAACAATTACTAATAGATCTAAGAAATGAGATAGACAACAACATAATAATAGTGGGGGACTTCAAGACTCCACTCACAGCACCAGACAGTCATCGAGACAGAAAGTCAACAAGCAATGGATTTAAACTATACCTTGGAACAAATGGACTTAACAGATATATACAGAACATTTCATCCAACAGCTGCAGAATATACATTCTATTTAACAATGCATGGAACTCACTCCAGGATAGACCCAAAGATAAGCCATAAAACGAGCCTCAATAAATTTAATAAAATTGAAATTATGTCAAGCACTCTCTCAGACCACATTTATCTCAGACACCCACATTTATTGCCCTGGTGCCATCCATGCACACCTATCTATGACATGCATCCACTATTTTAATGCACGTCAAAGCATTTGATAATAGGCTACTGCACATCAAAGCATTCGATAATAGGGTACTGGGGATCTAATTACACCATTTGGACTGTGGAAGAGCAAATTCTATTGCTTACTAAACTTAGTCAATATACTGGATTATAGGGAATATTTAACATATGACTTCACATTTGCAAAGTGCTGCCCTTTTTATTAGTATTTTCATTTCACTTTTGAAAACCAAGACAAGTCTGAGAGAAAGTGATCATCTAATACTAATGGGAGAGAGCGTTTAAGGGAGAAATTAATGAGAGGGGGTTATTGGTAACTTTAGATGCCACACGTAGACTAATAAAATTGAGTTGGTTGGCGACTATACTTTCAGCAGAATTCATCTGACTGCTTTGTGACCAAACATATTCTTTACATTATCTTTCTAAACTAAACTGAATTTTCAAATTCCTTTCTTCGGATAATCTCTCAGTGTTTAACAAGCCCTGCATTGGCATTCCTAACCTGGTATCTCACATTCACTATTGAACTGGTTAAACATTGTGAATACTCTGAACTAGCATTGCCTATCCTCATGGAATCTATACAATCTCCTGTGATGGGCCAATATCAAAGATGGTGGAAAGGGATAAGATGAGGGGAAAGCAAAAAACCAAAAAAGAACAGCAGAAAGAAAAAAATGTGTATCATAGAAGGTGCAGGTAAACAGGAGAAACTTTCTTGATCTTGAAAGAGAATGGAGAGGGATTAGATGGGAATTAAGAGTGACTAAATAGCCATAATATTAATTCTCATAACAATTCATTGACATATATATTATTATCTACTTTTGTCAATAAAGCAGATTTAGAGAGGTTCATTTTGGAGAAGGTAACTGTGGTAGGTAGAATCCTAAAGTGACTCCCAAAATTTTTCTGGTGTAGACAAACCTTGGATAATTCCCTCCCTTTGAGTTGGGGTAGAACCAGTGAATATATGATTGAATATCAATCCTGTGATTAGCTTATATAGTAAAGGTCAAGGAATTTTGAAGATGTAGTTAAGGTCTACAATCAGTCAGTTTTGAGTTAATCAAAAGGGAGGTCGCTCTGAGTGCACCTGAACTAATCATGTGAGCCCTTAAAAGACAGGAAATGTCAGCAAGATTCTCCTGTGGGTTTAGAGGAAGAAAGCTGCTGTGTTCTGAGGTGCCATGTGACTAGGACCTGTAAGGAACTTCTAAGAGCCAAGAGCAATCCCTAGCAGACAGCTAGTAAAGCTACAACTGCAAAAAACTGAACTACTAACAACCAGTGACCTCTGAAGGTAAACCTCAGATGACACTGCAGCCCCAGCCAGTATTTTGATCTCAGCATAGAGAAAATATGCAGAGAAAACCTGTATGCCTTGCTGAACTAACTACTGAGTCCATGACAATAAATGGGTGTTGTTTTAAGCTGCCGAATCTTTTCTAATTTTTTACAGAGAAATAAAAAATCCAATATAATGAAGGAAAAAATAGATAAATACATAGGTTGCTAATTTTGGTCCCTTAAATTTAGACTACCTGAAGATACAACGAAGTTTCTTCTCATTGAAGAAATTTTCTTGATTTTGTTATAGACTTGGTTTTTTATGAGTTCACACTCAGAATCTAGAAGAATGGTATAGTTTTCTTGGTTTATATCTCTATTGCTTTCTTTCACAGAGCCCTCTTCTAGTTGACACTTCTATACCATCTCCCTTCCACCTATATTATCTTTTATGATGGAAATTGATGAAAATGAAGCAAAAGGAGCAATAACAGTGGGCATTGCCTTTCACTTTACTTTTTATTCTTTCCTTACAACCTCACTAGGAAAAATGTTTCAATTAGATATTAATGGAGAGATAAAGGGAATATTATATGAAGAAATGGAGGAAGATGAAAAACCAATAAACATTTTAATCCAAATGTATTTCTAACTTTAACAGGTTCAAGAAATGCTCCATTTGCCTGCTATGAAGAAATACAATCTCAATCAGACAGATTTGGGAACTGTGGTAGGGATAGAAATAACAAATATGTGTTCTGTGGATGGAGGTATGCTCTACAAATATAAATGATACTTTTCTTATATTCTATTAGATTTTTAAAAACTTTGCCCCCTTCTGTGTCATTCATTCCAGTGGTTTAAAGTATTACATGTGCATAGGAGTGAACCTCAAATCAAAATCCCCAGCCCTGACACCTCTTTTGTGCTGCAGGCTAAAATTTCATCTTATTTCTAAACATTTATACGTGAATGGCCATTATGTTTCTAAATCCAATCCAAAGTTGAAATTCATAATACCCACTGTACCTTTCCCGCTCATTTTTCCTTTCCATCCCACTTGGTTACTTGCCTAAGAGGAAGACTGCTCAGTGTCTATAAAATGCAGTTCAATTCCTCCTGAATCTGAAGAGCCAGGTTTTTGATATTTTGATCATGAGTTTATTTTTACAAAACATCTCTTAGGACCCTACTATATGCCAGACACTGGGCTAAATCCTAGTTAGCAAATCATACTCATACACTCATGGAATTTGTAGACTCATAAACATACCATAAAGTTGTATGCTTCCTTGACTTGCTTATGCTGTTACTTTTGTTTAGAAATACTTCACTGTTTCTGTTGAAAGCTTACTAATTTGTGAGCTTTGACTCAGATGGTGTCTCCTCTATGAAGTTTTTCTTAACTGTGAAGTTAGAATGTGTCCTCTAACCTCACAGTTAAGGAAAACTTCACAGAGCTTTTAAGAGAATCTTAAACCTCTGTAATGATTTATTTCACTTGTAACATTTTTAATGGAATTTGAATCATATTAATATCATAAACCATAGTAAGAGTATTAGACTGTAAAGTCCTTAGAGTGTAGGGGTTACAACTTTTTCATCTTTCTTTCCTTCTATGGGGTGATATAAAATGCTGTAGTGAATTGATTATTTGACAGTAAATATATAATCTGCCCAGTAAGTAACAGATCTCTAGTATTGTTACCAGAAAGGGGTCTGAATACGGACCCCAAGAGAGGGTTCTTGGATCTTGTGGAAGAGAGAATTTGAGGCAAATCCATACAGTAAAGTGAAAGCAAATTTATTAAGAAAGTAAAGGAATAAAAGAATGACTGCTCAACAGGCAAAGCAGCAGCATGGACTGCTCAGCTGCTTACACTTATTGTTACTTCTTTATTATATGCCAAGCAAGAGGTGTCTTATTCATGAGTTTTCCAGGAAAGGAGTGGGCAATTCCCAGAACTGAGGGTTCTTCTCCTTTGTAGACCATATCGGGTAACTTCTTGATGTTGCTGTGGCATTTGTAAACTGTCATGGTGCTGGTGGGAGTATCTTTTAGCATGCTAATGCATTATAATTAGAGTATAATGAGCAATGAGGATGACCAGAGGTCACTTTCATCGCCATCTTGGTTTTGGTAAAATTTGACTGGCCTCTTTATCTTAATGCTGTTTTATCAGCTTATGACCTGTATCTTATGCCGATCTCCTGTCTCATCCTGTGACTAAGAATGCCGTAACCTCCTGGGAATGCAGCCCAGTAGGTCTTAGCTTTGTTTTACCTAGCCTCTATTCAAGATAGAGTCATTCTTGTTCAAATGCCTCTGATAGTACCTTTGAAAGTTAAGCTAGGATCAATGGATTTATACTTTTTTTACTTTTTACTTTGTTACCGTGAAAACATTAACGTTTTCTGTAAGTACATTGCCATAAGTGGAAAACCATTCTTTTTGCATCACAGAAAGCAAATCCAAAGCATTCCTAATAAATTCCTAATGTATAATAATCATATATATTTTTTATGTTTTCAGGAATCTTATATGTGGAAGATTAGTTTGTACCTACCCTACTCGAAAGCCTTTCCATCAAGAAAATGGTGATGTGATTTATGCTTTCGTACGAGATTCTGTATGCATAACTGTAGACTACAAATTGCCTCGAACAGTTCCAGATCCACTGGCTGTCAAAAATGGCTCTCAGTGTGATATTGGGAGGGTAAATAATTTAAAATCTATTTAAAAAATATAGTTTTATTTATTGTTTTCATCTTTTTATTTAAGTATCAAATTTTAATTTAGTGCTAGTATTAGGTAATCTTAAATGTTTGGAGGCAAAATGAATGATCTTAAATTAGTCTCCAAATAGTAAGAGGGAAATGGGAACATCGCACCCCACCCCCTCCCACCCCCCATTAGAATTTCAGTGTTCTGAGCAAGGAAACTCCAAATATTTGGAGCTTTCCTTGGGAGAGAGTCTTGGGAATATATTGTAGTTAAGAACCTCATAGCATGGGAACTTGCTTTTCTTCTGGGAGAAGAAAGAAGAAATCTCACTTAGTAACATAAATCTCTTTGTGGCCCCATGAATAACAGCACAACTTAGATCAGGCTGCTTAGATAGAATCAAATATTGTTTAACATTTTGCAAGTTATCTAGCTAGTCTGAGATATCTCAACTGTACATAAAGTAGGGATAATAATAGCATTTACTCTACAGGGTATTGTGAAGATTAAATGAGATAATATTATAAGTGCTTAGCACAATGCCCAGAACATAGTAATAACTAAATACAGTTTGGCTATTATTGCCGATTGTTATCATTATAATTTGTCATCTTTGAAACCAACCCAAATCTGGAGAAGATAGAGCAAATAAATTTAACATCTCATTTAGAGGGAATAACACAGCAAAGGTTCCTGCTTAGGCATTGGAAGTAGAACACAACATCCAAATAGCTCAAGCCAGCCAGAGATAAGAACTTAAAGGCATTTCTCCTTCCTGGGGGACTGGGCTCTCAACTTTCCCCATGCTTTTCTTAAGTGGACCATTCAGGAGTTTGTCTGCAAACCTAAAGCAATCCATACCCTATTCTTCCATATATGTGTATACTGTTACTTCTTTCTCTCCTTCCCCCCGCCCCTCTCTGTCTGACTCTTCATTCCTGTGTCCTGTGACCTGGGGATGGAGGACTGCCCTCCTGGTACAATGTGCTCTCCCTGCCCAGGATCTGTAAATAATAAATCTTTGGATATATGAAATAAATAAATAAATATTTAGAAATTAAAATAAAATCTTATTTAATTCCTGACCAGATCTTTGCTCATAGGGAAATATAAAAAGTGTAAAGTGTAGGCTTTAAAGATAGATGTTCATAGATTTGAATTCTGACTCTGCCACTTACTTGATAGATGATCTTTAAGAAATAATTTAATATTATTAAGCCTTGGTATCCTTAGATATGAAATGTATATTTCAATAGCCACTTTTAGTGGTTTTATAGTATAAATAAAGCTTACTGTAGGTAAAGTATATAGACTCATTAATATTGATTTATTTTTATGCATTCGAGTCATAAGTGCCATCTTGATGGAGGTTTGGGCCAGGGAGCTCAGTGGATATATTTAGGTCATGGAGCAGAAAAGAAAAAGCCTAAAAAATGCAACACAACCAATAAAGTCTTTGAGATGATTTGATAAGTAATTTAATAAGAATATAATCTTTTTAATAACCCAGACAATTCTTCTCAGAAATAATGTGTAAAAACAAATTTTACTGGGTAGTTTTTAATGATAGTATAAATTATATATGATGAAACATTCTTAGTATTGTTTCTGTAAGTTAGTGTCCTTATTCAGTGGGGAATCTATCTCAATTTCAACTGAGCCAGGCAGACAGTAGATACTATATTCCAAAAAGACTTGTTAGACACATCATCATGGTCAAGGACCAGCGAGAAGACTCAACATATTAAAAGTTTAAAAGGGTTAGATTGTTTGTATTTAGAAGAGGTTTATGATGCCATTTATCTGAAGAAGGTTATGCTGTGCTTTAATGTTTAACAGGAAATGATTTTCACATATGTCATCTCATTTTAAACTAAAAACAAGCTCTAATGTTACTTGCTTTTTCTAAAATAACATTTTTTAAAAAAGTATTATTGTACTCGTGTAAAAACTGCAACTTAAGGAAATTGAGATTGCCATAAATAATGGAGTTGGGAATATATCTTCAGCCCTCTGATTATTATACTTTAAAGTTAGAAGAATTATGTCAGAATTTTTTATACGTTCCATAATATAATGATAGACAACTCTGGTACATTTTAACAAAAATTTCTATTATCTTCATTAAATACTTATGAGACTCTAATGATAGTTCATATTTTATGAAAACAATATATGCCATTATTATATGGAGTTAATTTTTTACTATGTAAAACTTTTGTATGTGCAATTAATACAAGATATTCTTTGAACTGTGTACTCAGGGATAGTCTTGTTAGATTTCATGGTGTTATAATGAAAAGTGGTTCTTTGATAATAATTATTTATTTAATAGCCAATCTTATTTTATTGATATCCTCCACTTTTCTGCCCTGAATCATTAAAAAAATTATTTTAAAAAATATACTTTACATTTTAGTGCCATTTTAGGTTCACAGCAAAAATTGAGTGAAAAATACAAAAAAGTATTCATATACTCTTTATCCCCTACTCCCCCACAAAACCTGTACCACTGTGCATAACCTACATCAGCGTGGTACATTTGTAATAATTGATGAGCTTATATTGACACATCATTATCACCCAAAATTCATAGTTTACATTATGGTTACCTGGAAAATCCCCATACTCTTTGAGGCTAAATAACACATGGGTCAAAGAAAAATTCTCAAGAAAAAAATTAAAATATTTTGAACTAAGTGAAAATGAAAATATAACTTATCAAAACTTGTGGAGGACACAGGGAGAAAAATGGCAGATAGGAGGCAGGACTTACTTGCAGCTCCCACTTGGATGGACAGCGTGTGGAGACTCACATTATGAACTTTTGCTGCAAGAACCACTGCAGGAACATAACAGGAAAACTTAAAGAATTCACAGACCCTTCAAAAGAAGCAGCTTGCCACTACAAACTTCGTGAAACACCCATAAAACTGTAAATGCCCAATATGTGAGTGGGGGAAAGTCTGGCTCTGGACACACATCCTTACTGGAGAACCTGAAAATCCAGATCACAGGAGAATAATTTAACCTTACCTAGAGCTGAAATGAATTTAGAGAGCCGAGCAAACCATAAAAGTAGAAGAAGCAGCGGGAAGAGCCTTGTAGGCACTCCCAGTTCTCAGGGAAGCCCTGGGAAGCGATTTCTGATTTAATCTGACAGCAGTGCCTGGGGAGGACAGCCAGTGGAATTGGGGAAGGGCCACAAGGATAAGGAGACTTCCAGCTCAACCTTGTAAAAATTTTGACTTAGTGTGAATTTTCCTGGGCAGATGTGGTGGGGTGAACAAGAAGTGCAAATATGAGCACAGAAGCCATGGCAGGCAGGTAGAAGCAAGGCCTGAGAGCTCTGCTTGCTTTCTCAGTGGGGAGGCTTGTAGCCTGGAGCAAGATCTCAGCCCTGTGCACCAGAGGCCTGGATATACACTGGGCTGTGTTGGCTGCTTGGGGAGCATGGTGGGAGTGACACTGGCCTTACTGGCTGCATAGGAGCTGGGTGAGACCTGTCACTGCCGGCTTTCCCCCACTTCCCTGGTGACCTGTATGAAGCAGCAGAGGCAGCCATGATCCCCCTTGGAAGGTAACTCCATTGACCTGAGAACCACCTCCCCCAATCCACCACAACGGCCATAGCAAGCCCTACCCAAGGAGAGTTTGAGCTCAGACATGCCCAACTCTGCCCTCATCTGATGGTCTTTCTCTACCTGCCCTGGTAGCTGAAGACAAAAATGACAGTAACTCATGGGAGCTCTAGGGCCCACCCATCACCTGAAAAACTTGAATACTTACCTGGGTGACCTTAGGGCAAGCTTGTATTCCCCCTATACTACTACAGCTGATGCTCTCTTGAAAGTGCTGTCTCTTGGCTGGAGGCCAGCCAACTCAAGCCATTACAGCAGTTCATAACAGAACAACCCTGCTCCAAGGAAGGAAAAAACAACAGCTAATTCCACTGCCTACAACATTCTGGCTAACCAGAGGTCCTGAGTCTGTCCACATAACAACTTCATTGCTAGCATAACCAGTCTTGAAGGAAACCAGTGCACTAAACAAGACTATAACCAAGGACTCTCACAGAATCTACTTCACTCCCCTGCTACTTCCACCAGAGCAGGTGCTAGTATCAATGGCTGAGAGACCTAAAGATGGACCACATCACAGGATTCTTTGCAAACATTCCCAAGTACCAACTGAAAGTCCAGTAGCTCCACTGCGTGGCTAGACCCAGAAGAGCAGTAATGATCACTGTGGTCTGGCTCTCAGGAAGCCCTATCCCTAAGGGAAGGGATAGAGCACAACATCAAGGGATTACCCTGTGGGACAAAAGAGTCTGAACAGCAGCACTTGATTCCCAGATCTTTCCTCTAACATAGTCTACCCAAATGAGAAGGAACCAGAAAAACAATTCTGGTAATATGACAAAAACATGGTTCTATAACACTCCCAAAAGATCACACTAGCTTACCAGCAGTGGATCCAAACGAAGGAGAAATTTCTGAACTGTCAGTAAAAGAATTCAGAAATTTGATTATTAAGCTACTCAAGGAGGCACCAGAGAAAGGTGAAAAACTACCTAAAGAAATTTTTTAAAGTACAGAATATGGACAAAAAATCTCCAGAGAAATAGAGATCAGAAATAAAAGAAATCATAACTTATGGAAATAAAAGACTTAGAGAAATGCAAAATACACTGGAAAGTTTCAACAATAGAATTGAACAAGTAGAAGAATTTAAGAGCTTTAACACAAGGCTTTGGAATGAACCCAATCTGACACAGACAAAAAAAATAAAAAATAAAACAATGAACAAAGCCTCCATGAAGTTTGGGATTATGTTAAATAACCAAACTAAGAATAATTTGTATTCCTGAGGAAGAATAGAAATCCTAAAGTTTGGAAAACTTATTTGAGGGAATAATCAAGGAGAACTTCCCTGGCCTTGCTAGAGATCTCGACTTCCAAATACAAGAACCTCGAAGAATACCTGGAAAATTTATCACAAGAAGATCATCATCTAGGCACATGGTCATCAGGTTATTTAAAGTAAAGATGAAGGAAAGAAGCTTAAGAGCTGGGGGCAAAAGCACCAGGTAATGTATAAAGGAAAACCTATCAGATTAACAGCAGATTTCTCAGCAGAAACTCTACGAGCTAGAAGGGATGGGGATCCTATCTTTAGTCTCTTTAAACAAAACAATTATCAGCTAGGAATTTTGTGTGCAGTGAAACTAAGCTTCATAAATGAGGGAAAGATAAAGTCTTTTTCAGACTAACAAAAGCTGAGAAAATTTGCTACTACCAAACCAGCACTACAAAAACTGCTAAAAAGAGTTCTAAATCTTGAAACAAAACCTTGAAATACACCAAAATAGAACCTCTTTAAAGCATAAATTTCACAGGGTCTCTAAAAACAACAACACAATGAAAAAATAATCAAGATATTCAGGAAACAACCAGCATGATAAATAGAATAGTACCTCACATCTCAATACTAACATTGAAAATAAATGGCCTAAATTCTTCACTTAAAAGATTCAGAATGGCAGAATGTATAATAATTCACCAAACAGGTATCTGCTGTCTTTAAAAGACTCACCTAACACATAAGGATTCACATAAACTTAAGGTAAAGGGGTGGAAAAAGATATTACATGCAAATGGACATGTAAAGTGAGCAGGAGTAGCTATTCTTATATTAGACAAAACAGATTTTAAAGCAAAAACACTTAAAAAAGACAAAGAGGGGCATTATATAATGATAAAGGGACTAGTCCAATAGGAAAAAAATCACAATTGTAAATACATATACACCTAACACTAGAGCTCCCAAATTTATAAAACAATTCTTGATAGACGTAAGAAATGAGATAGATGGCAACACAATAATAGTGGGGATTTCAATACTTCGTGACAGCACCGGACAGGTCATCAAGACAGAAGGTCAACAAAGAAACACAGTACTTAAATTATACCCTAGAACAAATAGACTTAACAGGTATTTACAGAACATTCTGCCCCAAAATGCAGAATATGTATTTCTATTCATCAGCACATGGAACATATTCCAAGACTGATCATATGATAGACCACAAAATAAGCCTCAATAAACTTAAGAAAATTGAAATCATGTCAAGTACTCTCTCAGACCACAGCGGAATAAAATTGGAAATAACTCCAAAAGAAACCCTCAAAACCATCCAAATACATGGAAATTAAGTAGTCTGCTCCTGAATGATCTTTTAGTAAACAGTGAAATCAATAGAAACTAAAAACTTCTTTGAACTGAATGATAATAGTGACACAACCCATCCAATCCTCTGAGATACAGCAAAAGCCGTGCTAAAAGGAAAGTTTATAGCATTAAATGCCTACATCGAAAAGTCTGAAAGAGAAAAAATAGACAACCTAAGGTCATTGTCATTGTATTAGTCTGCTTTCATGTTGCTCATAGACATACCTGAGACTGGGCAATTTACAAAAGAAAGAGGTTTAATGAACTTAAAATTCCATGTGGTTGGGGAGGCCTCACAATCATGGCAGAAGGTGAAAGGCATGTCTCACATGGAGGCAGACAGGAGAAGAGAGCTTGTGCAGGGAAACTCCCCTTTTTAAAACCATCAGATCTTGTGAGACTTATTCACTGTCATGAGAACAGCACAGGAAAGATCTGCCCTCATGGTTCAATTACCTTCCAACACATGGGAATTCAAGATGAGATTTGGGTGGGGACAGAGCCTAACCATATCATTCAGCCCAAATCTCATGTCCTCACATTTCAAAACCAATCATGCCTTCCTAACAGTCCCCCAAAGTCTTAACTCATTTCAACATAAACTCAAAAGTCTATAATCCAAAATCTTATCCAAGACAAGGCAAGTCCCTTCCACCTATAAAATCAGAAGCAAGTTAGTTACTTCCTAGATACAATAGGGGTATAGGTATTGATAAATACAGCCATTCCAAATGGGAGAAATTGGCCAAAACAAAGGGGCTACAGGTCCCATGCAAGTCCAAAATCCAGCAGGGCAGTGAAATCTTAAAGCTCCAAAATGATCTCCTTTGACTCCATGTCTCACATCCAGGTCATGCTGATGCAAGAGGTGGGCTCCCACAGCCTTGAGCAGCTCTGCACCTGTGACTTTGCAGGGTATAGCCTCCTGGCTGCTTTCACAGGCTGGCACTGAATGTCTGCAGCTTTTCCAGGCAAACAGTGCAAGCTGTAGGTGGATCTACCATTCTGGGGTCTGGAGGATGGTGGCCCTCTTCTCATGACTACACTAGGCAGTGCCCCAGTAGGGACTCTGTGTGGGGGCTCCAACCTCACATTTCCCTTCCACACTGCTCTAGCAGAGGTTCTCCATGAGGGCTCCACTCCTGCAGCAAACTTCTGCCTGGACACTCATACATCCTTTGAAATCTAGGCAGAGGTTCCCAAATCTTGACTCTTGGCTTCTGTGCATCCACAGCCTCAACAACACATGGAAGCTGCCAAGGCTTGGGCTTCCACCCTCTGAAGCCACAGCCTGAGCTGTACCTTGGTCCCTTTCAGTCACAGCTTGAGTGGCTGGATGCAGGGCACCAAGTCCCTAAACTGCACACAGCAGAGGGACCGTGGGCCTGGCCCACAAAGTCATTTTTTCCCTCCTAAACCTCCAGGCCTCTGACTGGAGAGGCTGCCACCAAGGCCTCTGACATGCCCTGGAGACAATTTCCCCATTGTCTTGGTGATTAACATTTGGGTCCCCATTACTCATGTAAGTTTCTGTAGCTGGCTTGAATTTCTTTTCAGCAAGTGGGATTTTCTTTTCTATTGTGCTATCAGGCTGCAAGTTTTCCAAACTTTTGTGATCTGTTTCCCTTTTAAAACTGAATGCCTTTAATAGCACCCAAGTCACCTCTTGAATGCTTTGCTGCTTAGAAATTTCTTCCACCAGATACTCTAAATCATCTCTCTCAAGTTCAAAATTCCACAAATCTCTAGGGCATGGACAAAATGCTGCCAGTCTCTGCTAAAACATAGTAAGAGCCACATTTGCTCCAGTTCCCAACAAGTTCCTGATCTCCATCTGAGACCACCTCAGCCTGGATTGTGTTGTTCATATCGTTATCAGCATTTTGGTCCAAACCATTTGACAAGCCTCTAGGATGTTCCAAACTTTCCCACATGTTTCTATTTTCTTCTGAGCCCTCCAAACTGTTCCAACCTCTGCCTGTTACCCAGTTCCAAAGTCACTTTCACATTTTTGGGTTTCTTTTCAGCAGCACCCCACTCTACTGGTACCAATTTACTGTATTAGTTTTTTTCATGCTGCTGATAAAGACATACCTGAGACTGGGCAATTTGCAAAAGAAAGAAGTTTAATGGACTTACAGTTCCACATGGCTGGGAAAGCCTCACAATCATGGTGGAAGGTGAAAGATACATATTAGCAGACAAGAGAAGAGAGCTTGTGCAGTGAATCTCCCTTTTAGAAAACCATCAGATCTCATGAGATTTATTCCCTATCACAGGAAGAGCACAGGAAAGACCTGCCTCCATGATTCAATTACCTCCCACTGGTTACCTCTCACAATATGTGGGAATTCAGAATGAAATTTGGCTGGGAACACAGCCAAACCATAACAGTCATACCTCAAGGAACTAGAGAAACAGGAACAAACTAAACCCAAATCCAGCAGAAGAAAATAAGTAACAAAGATCAGAGCAGAAGTAAATAAAATGGATACAATCAAAGGAAAAATAGATGAAACAAAAGCTGGTTCTTTGAAAAGATAAACAAAACGGATAGACCATTAGTGATATTAACCAAGAAAAGAAGAGAAAGTTCTAAATAAGCTCAATTAGAAATGAAATGGGAGATATTACAACCTATAGCATAGAAACACAAAAGATCATTGAAGGCTACTATGAACACCTTTATGAACACAAAATAGATAACCTAGGGGAGATAAATAAATTCCTGGAAATATACAACCCTCCTAAATAAAATCAGGAAGAAATAGAAACTCTGAACAGACTAATAACAAGCAGTGAGATTGAAATGGTAATAAAAACCATTACCAATGAAAAAAAGTCCAGAATTGGATGGATTCATACCTGAATTCTGTCAGAGATTAATAAAAGAACTGGTACCAATCCTACTGAAAATATTTCAAAAGATAGAGAAAGAGGGAATTTTTCCTAAATTGTTCTATGAAACCAATATCACCCTAATATCAAAACCAGGAAACGAAAGAACAAAAAAGGAAAACTACAGACCAATATCTCTGGTAAACAAAAATGCAAATTTTCTCAACTAAATACTAGCTAACTGAATGCAACAGCATATCAAAAAGATATTCCACCATGATCAAGTTGGTATCATACCAGAGATGCAAGTTTAGCATATACAACTAAATAAATGTAATACAACACATAAGCAGAATTTAAAACAAAAATCAGATGATCATTTCAATAGACACAGAAAAAGCATTTGACAAAATCCAACATCGCTTTATGATTAAAACCCTCAGAAAAATTGGCATAGAAGGGACATACCTTAAGGTAATAAAGGCTGTATATGCCAAAGCCGCAGACAACATTGTACTGAATAGGGAAAAGTTGAAAGCATTTTCCCTGAGAACAGGAAGAAGATAAGGATGCCCATTTTCATCACTTCTATTCAACATAGTACTGGAGGTCCTAGCCAGAGCAATCAAACAAGAGAAAGAAAGAAAGAAAGAGTATTCAAATTGATGATGAGGAAGTCAAACTGTCACTGCTTGCCAATGATATGATCATATACCTTGGAAACCCTAAAGACTCATCAAAAAAGCTCCGAGATTAGATAAATGAATTCAGTAAAGTTTCAGGATACAAAAGTAATGTACACAAATCAGTAGCATTGCTATACACCAACAGTGGCCAAGCTGAGAATCAAATCAAGAATTCAACCCCTTTTATGGTAGGTGCAACAAAACCCCCCAATATACTTAGGAATATACCTAACAAAGGAAAACTGTGAAACATTGCTGAAAGAAATTATAGATGACACAAACAAATGAAAACACATACCATGCTCATGGATGGGTAGAATCAATATTGTGGAAATGACAATACTGTCAAAAGCAATATATAAATTCAATATAATTCCCATCAAAATACCATCATCATTCTTCACAGAACTGGAAAAAACGATCCTAAAATTCATATGGAACCAAAAAAGAGCTGCATGGGCAAAGAAAGGCTAAGCAAAAAAACAAAAACAAAACAAAATAAGAAAACCCAAAAAACAAATCTGGAAGCATCACATTACCTGACTTCAAACTATGCTACCAGGCTATAATCACCAGAACAGCATGGTACCACTATAAAAATAGACACATAGACCAATGGAACAGAATAGAGCTCCCAGAAATAAAGCCAAGTATTTACAGTCAACTGATCTTTGACAAAGCAAACAAAAACATAAAGTGGGGAAAGGACACCCTATTCGACAAATGGTGGTGGGATAACTGGCAAGCCACATGTAGAAAAATGAAACTGGATCCTCATCTCTCACCTTATACAAATATCAACTCAAGATGTGTCAAAGACCAGGAAGGGGAACATCACACACCGGGGCCTGTTGTGGGGTGTGGGGAGTGGGGAGGGATAGCATTAGGATATATACCTAGTGTTAAATGACGAGTTAATGGGTGTAGCACACCAACATGGCACATGTATACATATGTAACAAACCTGCACGTTGTGCACATGTATCCTAAAACTTAAAGTATAATAAAAAAAAGATGTGTCGAAGACTTAAATATAACACCTGAAGCCATAAAAATCCTAGAAGATAACATCAGAAAAACTCTTCTAGATATTGTCTTAGGTAAAGAGTTCATGAACAAGAACCCAAAAGCAAATGCAATAAAAACAAAGATAAATAGATGGGACTTAATTAAACTAAAAAGCTTCTGCATAGCAAAAATATAATCAGCAGAGTAAACAGACAACCCACAGTGGCTAAGAAAATGTGGTATATAAATACCATGGAATCCTACTCAGCCTTAAAAAGGAACAAAATAATGACATTTTACAGCAACCTGGATGGAGTTGGAGCCATTATTCTAAGTGAAGTAACTCAGGAATGGAAAACGTAACATCATATGTTCTCACTCACAAGTGGGAGCTAATCTCTGAAGATGCAAAGGCATGAGAATGATACAATAGACTTTGGGGACTTGGGGGGAAGGGTGGGAGGCAGTAAGGAATGAAAGGCTACATATTGGGTACAGTGTGCACTGCTAGGATGATGGCTGCACCAACATCTCAGAAATCACTACTAAAAATCTTATTCGTGTAACCAAACACCACCTGTTCCCCAAAATCTATTGAAATAAAAATTAAAAAAAGAAGAAGTAGTTAAGGTTAAATGAAACTGCAGCCTTGTTCCAATCTGACTTGCATCCTTATAAAAAATAGATTTGGATACACAACGAGACACCAGGGGCTTGTGCATGTAGAGGAAAGGCCATGTGAGGACATAGGGAGAAGGCAAGTCTAGAAGAGAGGCCTCAGGAGAAACCAACCCTGCAGACACCTTGATCTTGGACTTCCAGCCTCTAGAACTGTTAGAAAATAAGTCACTGTTGTTGAGGCCACTTAAGCTATAGTACTTTGTGGTGTCAGCCTAAGTAGACAATATAATATCCTTATTTAGATGTTTGCTAAAACTCTCTTATTATTTAAACACTGGGCTTTTTGTTATTGTTTTAATTATTCTGCTTTAGAACTACATGAAGAAACATAGTAATAATAATATCAATTTAAAATGCAAATAAATCACAAATGTCTTTTCTTGCAAAAAAAATAAAACACCCTTCTGGAATGCAGCAAAAGCAGTACTTAGAGGAAAATTTGTATCATTGAATGGCTATGCTTTTATATCATATAATTATTTACTGTAATGTTATGATGACTGTACCCCTCTGACATGGGAACTTTTTTTGTATGTGTTTTTCTTTAGGTTTGTGTAAATCGTGAATGTGTAGAATCAAGGATAATTAAGGCTTCAGCACATGTTTGTTCACAACAGTGTTCTGGACATGGAGTAAGTAACCACATGTTTCCCTGAATCACATTTCTTGGACACTTTTTTGCATCACTCATTAATTTACTGACATTTTTTGGGTCACTACCATGTGACAGACTCTGTTGCATCTAGCTTCAATTGAGAGCTGAATTAAGTCATTAAATTCAGCAGCCATAATTAGTTACAGAAGATATATTGAGCAGAATTAAATTGCTAATGACCTAAATATATATTGTTATAATTGGGTACTTTTCAGAGGGTGTTAAATTTTCTGATAAATACATTAACCTGGTTCTCAAAGGAAAGATAATTATGCTGTAATTCCTGTGTCTGTGAATACACAGGGATCATGAAAAACTATTGTTTTATTTATCTACTTTTAAAAATAGACTTTATTTTTTAGAGGAGCTTCAGGTTCACAGAAACTTTGGAAAGTAGAAAGTACAGAGATTTTCCATATATCCACTCATCTTACAGAGGCACAATCTTTCCCAATTTTAACATCACACACCAGAGTGGTCTGTTTGTTATAATTGATGACCTACAAGGACATATCATTGTCACCCAAAGTCCAGTTTACATTAGGATTCACTGTTAGTGTCTCACATTCTATGGGTTTTGACAAATGTGTAATGATATAGATCCATCATTATGATATACAGAGAGTATTTTCATTACTCTAAAAATTCTCTGTGCTCCATCAGTTCATCCTTCTGTCTCCACTAACCCTTGGCAACCACTTATCTTATTACTGTTTTCCTAGGTTTTTCTTTTCCAGAATGTCATTTCATTGAAATCATATAGTATGTAGCCTTTTCAGATTGGTTTCTTTCACTTAGTAATATGCATTTAATGTTTCTCCGTGTTTTTCTATGGCTTGATAGCTTATTTCTTTTTAGTGCTAAATAATATTCCATTGTCTGAATGTACCATAGTTATTTATCCACTCATCTACTGAAGAACATCTTGGTTGCTTCCAAGTTTGGTAATTACAAATAAAGTTTCTATAAACATCCTTCTGCAGGTTTTTGTGTGGACATAAATTTTCACCTATTTTGAGTAAATACCAAGCATTGTGGTTGCTGTATCATATCGTAAGAGTATGCTTAGTTTTGTTAGAAACTGACAAAACATCTTTGAAAGTGGCTGTACCAGTTTGCATTCCCACCAGCAGTGAATGAGAGTCCCTGTTGCTCCACATCCAAGCCAACATTTTTTGTTGTCAGTGTTTTGGATTTTGGCCATTCTAATAGGTGTGTAGTGGTATTTCATTGCTGTTTTAATTTGCATTTTACTGATGACATATGTGAGGCATATTTCATATACTTATTTTCCATCTATTTTTTTTTGGTGAGGGGCCTTTTAAAGTCTTTTGCCCATTTTTAAATCAAGTTGTTTTCTTGTTGAGTTTTAAGTTTTCTCTTCATATTTTGAATAACAGTCATGTATCTGATGTGTCTTTTGCAAATATTTTCTTCCATTCTGTGGCTTATCTTTTTATTCTCTTGACAGTGCTTTTCACAGAGAATGTTTTAATTTTATGAGGCCCAGCTTCTTAATTATTTCTTTCATAGATTGTGCCTTCAGTATTGTATCTAAAAAGTCTATGCAATACCCAAGGTCATCCAGGTTTTTTTTTTTTTTCTGAGTTATCTTCTAGGAGTTTTTTAGCTTTGCATTTTACATTTAGGCCTATGACCCATTCTGGATTAACTTTTTGAAGGGTGATAAGTTTGTGTCTAGATTCTTTTTTTTTTCCTGCATTTTGATGTCTAGCTAGTACCAATTGTTGAAGTCTTTCTTTTCTCTACTGTATTGCTTTTGCTCCTTTGTCAGAGATCAGTTGACTAGATTTATGTTTGTCAGTTGCTGGGCTCCTTATTCTATTTCATTGATCCATTTGATTATTCTTTCTCCTATATCATATTGCCTCGATTACTACAGACTTACAGTATGTTGAAGTTGGGTAGTGTTAGTCTTCTGACTTTGTTCTTTTTCTTTCAATGGTAACTTGACTATTCTTGATCTTTTGTGCCTCCATAGAAACTTTAGAATCAGTTTGTTAATTTCCACAGAACACCTTGCTGGGATTTTGACAGGGATTGTGTTCCATCTATAGATCAAGTTAGTAAGAACTGATATCTTGACGATATTGAGTCTTTCTATCCATTCACATGTAATGTGTTTTCATTTATTTAGTCCTTTTTTATTTCCTTCATCAGTGTTTTGTAGTTTTCTTCATATTGATCTTATATATATTTTGTTAGATTTATACCAAGTACTTCATTTTTTGGGGGGGCTAATGCAAATAGTATTATGTCTTTAATTTCAAGTTTCATTTGTTCGTTGCTGGTGTATAGGAAAATTATTGGCTTTTGTGCATTAACCTTGTATATTGCAACCATGCTACAATCACTTGTTAGTTCCAAGGGTTCTTCAATTCTTTTTAGATTTTCCAAATTGGTGTTTATGTCATATATGAACAAAGACAGTTTTATTTCTTTCTTCCCAATCAGTATACTTTTTTTATTATTTTATTGTATTAGTTAGAACTTCCTGTATGATACTGAAATAGGAGTGGTGAGAGGAGACGTCCTTGCATTGCTCCTTATCTTACTGGGAAAGTATCTAATATCTCACCATTAAGTACGATGTCAGCTGTAGGTTTTTTTGTTTGATAGTTTGTTAGATGAAAAAATTTCCCTCTATTCCTAGTTTACTGTTAGTTTGCTTTTAAAACACAAATGAGTGTTGACTTTTTTTTTTTTTTTTGAGATGGACTCTCACTGTGTTGCCCAGGCTGGAGTGCAGTGGCATAATCTCGGCTCACTGCAAGCTCTGCCTCCCAGGTTCACGCCATTCTCCTGCTTCAGCCTCCCGAGTAGGTGGGACTACAGGGGTCCTGCCACCATGCCCGGATAATTTTTTTGTATTTTTAGTAGAGACGGGGTTTCATCGTGTTAGCCAGGATGGTCTCGATCTCCTGACCTCATGATCTGCCCGTCTTGGCCTCCCAAAGTGCTGGGATTTCAGGCATGAGCCACTGTGCCAGGCCTGAGTGTTGGCTTTTTAATGTTAAATGCTTTTTCTGTATTTATTGATATGATAATGTGATTTTTCTTCTTTAGCTTATTGATGTGAGATGAAGTACATCAGCTAATTTTCTAATGTTGAACCAGTTACATGCCTGCGATAAATCTTGTTTGTGGTGTATAATTCTTTTTATGCATTGTTGAATCTGATTTACTAATGTATAGTGAGAGTTTTTTGCATCTTTGCATCGACAGACATTTTTCTGTAGTTTCCATTTCTTGTAATATTTTTCTATGGTTTTGATGTTAGGGTAAGGATGGCCTGATAGAATGAGTGAGGAAGTATCCCCTCTGCTTCTGTCTTCTGAAAGAGATTGTAAGAGATTATAGAAAATTGGTATAATTTCTCCCTTAAGTGTTAGGTAGAATTTAATAGTGAACCCATCTCAGCAAACAATTATCTGTAACATCAATTAAGAATAAGAAAAATAAAAATTTTTAGTTTACTTTCACTTAATTCCTTCTCTAATACTATTCTTTTTATGTAAATAACATTTGCTGACCTTTGTGATTATCATTCTCTCTGAAGAATCTCTTCTGACATTTATTTCAAAGGCATGTCTACTGGTGATATATACTCTCAATTTTTGCTTGTTTGAGAGTCTTTATTTCATTTCCATTT
The DNA here is from genome assembly GCF_000001405.40 of Homo sapiens. NCBI lineage: Eukaryota > Metazoa > Chordata > Mammalia > Primates > Hominidae > Homo > Homo sapiens. Next base: position 39,249,863 of record NC_000008.11, read on the forward strand.
TTGCAAGATAATTTCAAAGGATTAAATATTTCACTCCTCACTCTTTTTGCTTGCATGGTTGCTGAAGAGAAGTCCAGTATAATTTTTATCTTTGTGCCTCTATAGATATGGTATTTTCTCCCTCTGGCTTCTTTCCAAATTTGTCTTTATCTTTGATTTTCTGTAGTTTGAAAGTTATTATGTCTAGGTATAAATTTTTGGCATTTGTCCTGATTTTTTTGTGGTAGGGGTTGCTTGATCTGTGATTTGTTGTGAGACATTAATTTTGGAAAATTATCAGCTATTATTGCTTCAAATATTTCTTCTATTCCATTCTTTTTTGTTCTCTTGGTATCCTCATTACATGTATGTTATACATTTTTTTAGTTGTCCCACAGTTCTTGGATATTCTGTTCTGTTTTTTCAACCTTTTTTTTTTGACTTTTTAGTTTTAGAAGTTTCTATTGAGACACCCTCAAGCTCAGAGATCTTTTCTCATCTCAGCCATAATTATTCTATTTACGGGCCCATCAAAAGCATTCTTCATTTCTGTTGCAGTGTTTTTGATCTCTAGTACTTCTTTTTGATTCTTTCTTAGAATTTTTATCTGTCTGCCTACACTGCCCATCTGTTCTTACATGTAGTCTACTTTATCCATTAGAGCTTTCAGCATATGAAGTATAATTGTTTTATTTATTTATTTTAGTTTTATTTTTTATTGGCAATAGTTGTACCTGTTGTGGGGGTATAAATGATAATACATTCATATAATTCATAAAAATCAAATCAGTATAATTAAGATATCCATCACTTTACATATTTGTCTTTATGCTAAAACATTTGAATTTATTTTTCTAGCTATTTTTGAAATATACAATAGGTTATTTTAAACTCTGGTCATCCTACTGATCTGTCAAACACTTGGTCTTACTTCTTCTTTCAAACTGGATATTTGTACCTATTAATCAACCTCTCTTCATCCTTTCCTCCCATTACACATTCTGGCCTCTGGTAACCACCCACCTACTCTGCATCTTCATGAATCCACTTTTTTAGCTTCCACATAAGAGTGAGAACATGTGATATTTATCTTTCTGTGCTTATCCTATTTCATTTAACATAATAACTTCCAGTTCCATCCATGTTGCTATGAGTGATGGGATTTCATTATTTTTATAGCCTATGTTTTACATTGTGTATGTATCTCACATTTTCTTTATTTATTCATCTATTCATGGACGCTTACATTGATTCTATATTTTGGCTATTGTGAATAGTGCTACAATAAACATGGGAATGCAGATAGCATTTTGAAGTATTGATTTCCATTCTTTTGGTTATTTACTCAGTAGTAGAATTGCTGGGTCATATAGTAGTTCTATTTTTAGTTTTTTTGAGGAATCTCCACACAATTTTTTATAGTGGCTGTACTAATTTACATTCCCACCTATAGTGTGTGAGTCTTTCCTTTTCTCCACAGCCTCGCCAGCATTGGCTGTTCCATCTTTTTTTATCAAAAAGATGGTCTTTTTGTTACAAAAAAAAAATGGCTTTTATAAGCCATTTTAACTGGATTGAGATTATATCTCATAATTCTGATTTGCATCTCTCTCATAATTAGTGATGTTGAACATTTTTTCATATACCTGTTGGCCATTTGTTTGTTTTATTTTGAGAAATGTCTATTCAGATCTTTTGCCCATTTTTTTAATCATATACTTTGTGGAGTTTTTTCCTATTGAGTTATTTGAGCTCCTTATATATTATGATTGTCAGTCCCTTGTCAGATGGATAGTTTGGAAATATTTTCTTTTATTCTGTGGGTTGTCTCTTCACTTTGTTGATTGCTTCTTTTGCTGTGTAGAAGCTTTTTAGCTTGGTGTAATCCCATTTGTTTATTTTTGCTTATGTTTCCTGTGCTTTTGAGGTTATATCCAAAAAATAATTACATAATCAGTGTCTTAGAACTATTTTCCTACATTTTCTCCTGGTAATTTTATAGTTTTGGTTCTTAGATTTAAGTCTTGAATACATTTTGATTTTATTTTTGTACACAGTGAAAGATAATGATCAAGTTTTATTCTTCTGCATATGGTTATCGAATTTTTCCAGCACCATCTATTGAAGAGACTGTTCTTTCTCTGTTGTACATTCTTGGTGCCTTTGTTGAAAATGAATTGGTGTAAATGCATGTATTTGTAGCCGGATTCTTTATTCTGTTCCATTGGTCTATGTGTTTGATTTTATGCCAGTACCATGGTGATTTGGTTACTATAGCTCTGTAGTATAACTTGAAGTCAGATAATGTTATGCATTTGGCTTTGTTCTTTTTGCTCAGAATTGCTGACCACATATTAAGTCACGAGACAAGTCTTAACAAATTTAAGAAGACTGACATCACTCCAAGTGTATTTTCTGACCACACTAGATTGAAGCTAGAAGTTAATATTAAAAGAAAGTGGGAAAACTTAAAAAATACATGAAAATTAAATAACACATGAGTGAACAACCATTGGGCTAAACAACAAATCAAAACGGAAATTAGAAAATATCTCAAGACAAACAAAAAATGAAAAAAAAAAGGGATGTGGCAAAAACAGTACTAAAGGGAAATTTATAGTGATAAATTCTTACATTAAAAAGAATAAAGATTTCAAATAAACATTCTAACTTTACACCTCAAGAAACTAGAAAAAAATTGAACAAACTCCAAGTTTGCAGTAGGAAGTTATGAAGATTAGAGCACAAATAAGATAGAGAATAGAAAAATAATAGACAAAATCAAGGAAATTAAGAGTTGAGTTTTTGAAAAGATTAAAAAAAGGACAAACTCTTAGGTAAAATAGCAAGAAAAAAAGAAATAAGACTCAAAATCAGAAATGAAGGAGCAGATATTACAACTGATGTCACAGAAATTTTTTAAGAAGATACTGTGGTGTATATTTATACACCAACAAGTTGGATAACCTAGAAGAAATTTATAAATTCCTAGGATGATACAACCTGCCAAGACTGAATCAAGAATAAATAGCCTGAACAGAACAATAACAAATAAAGAGATTAAATCAGTAAACAAAACTTTCTAGCGAAGAAAATCTCAGGACTAGGGGGCTTCACAAATGAATTCTGTTAAACATTTACAGAAGAATTAAACAAGAAAATAAAATTGCAGGCTAATATATCTACAAACATGCATGCAAAAATTTACAGCAAGACATTAACAAACTATATTTGCCGCACGTTAAAAGAATCATACACTATGACCAGATGGGATTTATTCCTGGGATGCAAGGATGGTTCAAAATGCACAGATCAATTAATGAGATATGCCACATTAAGAAGATGAAAGATCAATTTACTTTATGACATTAAGATGCAGAAAAAGCATTTGACAAAATCCAACACCCTTTCATTATAAAAACTCAATACGTTAGGAATAGCAGAAAGCCTACATGTAAAAATCCATAGCTAAAATTATACTCAATGGTGAAATAATGAACGCCTTTACTTTAAGATCTATAACAATGCAAGGATACTCAGTCTCTGCACTTCTCTTCAACTTGGTACTGGAATTCCTAGATGAAGCAATGAGGCAAGGAAAAGAAATAAATAGCATCCAAATGGGAAAGTAGAAATAAAGTAGCTTCTGTTTGCAAATGCCATGATTGTATACACAGGAAACCATAAAGGTTCCATAAAACTAGTAGAAGAAATAATGAATTCAGTAAAGTTGCAGGACACAAAAACAACACTCAAAAATCAGTTCATTTTTATACGTCAAAAACAGACGGTCAGGAAAGGAGATTAGTTAAACAATCCCATTTACAACAGCATCAAAAAGAATAAAATACTTAGGTTTAAAACAAACCAAGGAGGTGAACGACTTGTACACTGAAAACTATGAAACATGAAAAAAAGTAAAAGAGACACAAAAAATTGAAAGATATTCCACGGATTGAAGAAACTAATATTGTTAAACTATCCCTAATAGTCAAAATTATCTACAGATTCCATGCAATCCTTATCAGAATCTCCATGTTATTTTTCAAAGAAATAGAAAATAAAAAAATTATATAAGATGAAAAAAATCCAGATAATTAGAAGCAATTTTTAAAAAGAAGAACAAAGCTTTTCAAAATACAGTACAAAGGTACAGTAACCAGAACAGGATGTTACTGTCATAAAATAGAGACATATAAA